>NC_000020.11:46011688-46314719 GCF_000001405.40 Homo sapiens | reverse complement strand
GCTGGATTAATACTTAAGCTGGATTTCAAAAGATAAATAGGAGTTTTCCAGCAAAACAGAGGAAGAGAGGGAGCTCCAGGTGGCAGGGACAACATTAAAAAAGCTCAGAGTGGATAAAAGCTAAAAGAGTTTGGCACTACCAGAATATAAGGTGCAAGAAGGAAACAGCTGGAGAGGAAGCTGGAGAGGCAATGCCCTGTTCCTCATGCTGAAGCCATAATGGTGGGCTTTCAGGTAGCTGCAGAGAAGCTATTCTTAGATGGGTCCTCCTCTCTTGCCAGAACAACATGAATGAAATGGTACGGCAAAGTCCACTTCCTCATGGGTGAGAACCTTCAGGTGAAGGAAGGTCCGGGTTCCCTGGCATGTTGGCCCCAGCCCTCCTGGTGCTCAGCAGGTCACTCGGCCCGGGGTGGGTCCCTCGTCCTCATCCCCTTGCAGATCCCCTTTCCCTTCCCACTGGCGGCTCTTCTCTAGGCCAGGAATAGAACCTCACATCTGACAATCCTCAGCGGTGTTTAAATTTAATGGGCCTTTCTGCTTTTTTCCTCCTCAGCACCTGGGCTGGGCGCTCTGCAGCAGCCCTGGGGAGAGGCAGGTGAATAATTCAGGGAGAGTCGGTGTTTGAAGTGTGTGTGGGGAGTGTGGTAGGGCTGTCTCACCCCACCACCCCAGGGAAGGGGGCTCAAGAGGGAAGGTCCAAGTGCTCAGTTTCTGCTGTACTCTGCTGTGTCTTTAGGGACTTTCAGGGAAGCTCAGGGGACTCTTATTCCCATCTCCACGCAGCCACCTGCAGTGTCAGGCCTCAGGGCTGCAGAAGCTGTCTAGGGCTGACAGGTAGGGAGAGGGAAAGGAGGGAGGCGCGTCTTTCCCACTGGCTTTGGATCTGGGTCCAAAGAGAGAGAGAGAGAAGAGACAGAGTGTGTGTAGGAGACAGAAGGTTGGGACCTAGCCCCAGACAGAGGTTACAGGAGCGGGGTTAGGGAGCTGGGATGTGGGCTGAGATGTCATGCCCAGAAGCAGGGCGGGCCCACCAGGCTGCGGGAGAGCTTCCGGTGTAAAGCTGGATCCTGGCCTGGGCCATAGCCACTGTCCATAGTGCTGCCGTTGTGCTTAGGCCCTGGATGGAGTGCCAAGTTCCCAAGGCTTGGAACTTGGCAGGTGCTGGGCTCCTGTTTTTCCCACCTGGCCCCACCCCAGCCCACCACAGACAAAGTAGCCTTTCCATTTTCTAACCTTGGCACCTTTCCAGCATTTGCATTCATTCATTCATGCATACCTTTAACAAGTATTTATTGAGCATCTACTATATGCTGCATTCGGAGGATAGTGCAGTGAACAAAACAGACTCAATTCTTAAGCTCCTAGAACTTGTGTTCCATCCCTGCACCCACTTCCTTGAGGAAAAAGAGGGGAAAGGAGAGGAAGGAGCTGGCCTTAAATTCCTGTTCGTCCCCTGACTTGGTCTGAGTCGTCCAGCAAGTCACTTTCTCCCCTTAAACCTTGGTTTCCCCAGCGGTAGCATGGGGACGATAACCCTGTTTTGTGAGTTGTTGCTGCTATTCTTCTTATTAATTACAGCAAACACTTATTCTAAGTGCCTTACAAGGATTTGCTCATCCAATCTTCACCATCTCTATTTTACTATAAGGAAATTGAGATGTGGAGAGGTGAAGTCACTTGCCCAGGGTGACACAGCTGGCAAGTGGCGGTGATGGGATTTGAACCCAGGCAGTCTGGCTGCGGGGTCTGCGAGGATTAACGCCATGAGGTGGAGGTGCTTAAGGGCGCAGCGGCCTCGGCGCCTGTGGCTCCCGCAGGCTCGCCCCTCCCCGTCCTGGCGCCCCCAGCCAAGGGCGGCCTCCCCGTCCCCTCGAAGTTCCCTTCCCATGGAGTCCCCTCCCCAAGTAGTCCCCTCCCCCTCCCTGCGGTCCCGTCGGCCCCGGCGGAGAAAGCGGGCTCGCAGAGGTGCAGAGCGCCCGGAGTCCCAGGTGGGGCGCCCTCGTTCGGGTCCCGGGTCCCTCTGGGGAGGGGCTAGGGTGTGCCCCGGCTGCTCCCTACGCCCCCCGGCGGGCTGGCGGCCCCGTCCCCGCGCTGACATTTCTTTGGTTGTTCATGTCACGGCCCTTCAGTCTGCGCAGTTTTACAAATGTGCTGGCGAGATGAAAGGCGCCGGGAACAGCGACTGGAGAACAAGTTCGGAAAAGCTTTTAACTTCCAGCTCCCACAGACAAAGCGGGAGGAGGGGGAGGAAGGGAGGGAAGGGAGGGGAAGCACAGAGTGGGGAGAGTAGAGGAAGGGAGCGGGAGGAGGGGAGTGGGAAGGAAGGAGGGAAGGAGGAAGAGGAGAAGGAAGTGTGGGGAGAAGAGAGAAAGGGAAACGGGGCACTGAGAGTGCGGGATGAGGACAGAGAGAACCAGAATAGGACAGGCAAGAGGGAGACAGAGGGAGACTGGGTGCCCCGAAGAAACAGAGATGGGAAGAGACAGAGAAACAGAGAGAGGGAGACAGACATGGAGGCAGAGAGAACAGGACAGAGGGAGGGGGAAACGGAAAGAGAACGACAGACGCAGGGACACAGCTAGGAGATAAGCAGATGGGGGGAGGGGAGAAGGGTGCTAGAGAAGATGTAGGGGCAGGTAGCAAGAGACTGACACCCATTCAGAAACAGTCAGAGAGACCAGAGACACTGAGGGGGAGGAGACAGAGACAGGAGTGGAGGCAGTCAGAGAAGCGAGGACAGATGGACAGTGCATGAGAAGGCGACAGACAGATAAAGGGATGACAGAGAAGTGTAGAGAAGAAGAGGAAAAGAGCCAGGGAGAATAGCAGAGCCTGGAGCTAAGAGCAGCCTCCCCATCCCCAACACACACGCGTGTATGCACTCACACACACACACACACACACACACACACACACCCTTCACTGACCCCTGCTCAAACCTGCAGGCTCCCTGGAGCAGACCCTGCTGTTAGGGCGTTCAGACTAGAGCAGTGGCTCTCAACTGGGGGTGACTTTGCCCTTCAGGAGACATTTGGCAATGTCAGGACACATTTTTAGTTGTCACAACTGGGGAGGGGGTGTGCTGCTGGCATCTAGTGGGTAGAAGCTGGGGATGCTACTAAGCATCCTACATGGGACATGCCCAATGACGAAGAATTATCTGGCCCAAATGTCAATAGGGCCAAAGTGGAGTGACCCTGGGCTAGAGAGAGAGAAATGCCCATGGACCCAGATGACTACTCCAGGGGAAAACATGTCCCCTGTGCCAAGACAGGGCTGTGTGCCCTTCTGATGGAGTGGGAAGGAGAATTCTCACAAGCGCCTCCTCTTGGAATCCTTCCCTAGCCATGCCTCTCTCCCCAAGTCCTTCCTCATCCTACCCAATCCCTGGAGGAGTGGTGTCTCTCTTATTTGTAGACTCACCACACGATATAAAAAAGCACACGTTCAAACTCTAACTACAAAGCACTTGGCATTTTATTTGCCCAGAGGCAATATTGCACAACAGTTCAGTGTGCAGGCTTTGGCCCCAGCCTGCCTTGGTTTGAATCCCAGCTCTGCCATAAACTAATTGTGTGACCTTGGGCACGTTTCATAGTTGCACTGTGCCTCAGTTTCCCCATTATGAATTTATAAATTTGTTGAAAGTAAAAGGAAATTATCTGTGTAAAACATTTAGGAGAAGGCTTGACACATGGCACAGGTTCACTAAATGTTAACTGTTGTTACTATCATCTCATTTTCTCTTCACATCAATGCTGGGGGAAGTGGCTTGCCCACGTGTCACACAGTCTGCATGGGGCAGAACTGCTCTCAGAGCCCAGGCCTGCCCAGTTCTTCCTCTGTCACACTACACTGCCTCTTGCTGCCCCTGCCACACTGCAGCAGGAGTCCCAGCTTACCTTCTCCCAGACCAGAGTGAGAGGTCTGACCCAGGCCCAATGCGTCAACCTGATCTCTCTACTTGCCGTCTGAATGATCTTGCTATTTCAACACCGTGTCTCAGTTTCCTCATTTGTAAAATGGGCTAATACTAGTATCTGATTATTGTGAGGACTTAAAAGCAGAACTATGGCACACAGCAAGTGCTCAATAAACATTCAATGTGTTCTCAGAGCCTAGCCATAGTGCTCACAACAGAGTGGACACTCAGAGAAAGTTTGTTGAAGGAAGGAAGAATTGGAAATAACGGTAGAATGAGCCTGAAAATAGGAAACATTGGGATAGGAAAACCTGAGGGTCTAATAAAGAGTCATGGGGAGCTGGGTGCAGCAGCACATGCCTGGTGTCCCAGTTACTTGAGAGGCTGAGGCAGAATGATCACCTGAGTCCAGGAATCCAGCCTGGACAACATAGTGAGACCCCCATCTCAAAAAAAAATAAAAATAAAAGAGAGAGAAGAGAGAGACCAGAGCAAAAGAGAAAGATGTGACAACAGTTCATTCAATAACATTTATTGAGCACCTACTGTGTGCATGCAGATGTGACAGCAACAGTGTCCCAGACCAAAACAACCTGTGGACAACTAAGTAGGTCTGACTCCAGAGATGAACAGCACACACCAGAGCCTGGAGGAAGAGGCAAAGAAGGAATGGGAACTGGAGCAAACAGCAAAAGTGAGTCAGAGCGGGAGGAGAGAACCAAAAGTGAAGAGATGCACCTGGAAGGCTGGCCTCTGGTCTCTGAAAGCATGAAAGAGTGGAGGCTAAGAATAGAGAGGAGAGGGGAAGAGAGAGATGGAGAAAAGGAAGGCGATAGAAAGGCAAGGCTGGAAGAGATCAATGAAGGGAAATAAACCAAGAGAAGGACGTAGGGGAGGGAACAGACTGGCACAGTGGAGAATACATCTCAAAATAAATAAATGAATGATGGAGTTTAGTAGGAGGGGCCAGAGGGGCAGCCAGCAGGAGAGGTGATTCCAATCATCAGCAAGACGGACTAGGGTGTGGAGATGGAGATGGAAATTGGGGAAGGAGGCGAGGAGGAGAGAAGGATAGGGGCGAGGTAGAGCTGGGGGTCCTGGAGGGCCCTGCCCCCTCTTTGCCATGAACTTCAGCAGCTGCTTGTGGGTGATTAAATGGCTGGTCATTGGCAGCTTGGCGGGACAGAGGTCTGCAGCTGTCCAGTCTCCTGTTATCCTTCACTCACCTATCTGGAAGCCATGGGGAATAGGGGGGCGGGCAACTCCTAAGGGGACCTACAACCCAAGACAAAGGGTGGGTCTATGGGAGTCACTGGTCCTATCCTACCATCAACGACCTCATATTGGGAACTCAGGAGTGGGGTGGGAGGGTCTCCTCCATTAGGCCTCATCCCAGAGAGATGAAGTAGTAAGGAGAGCCAGGCAGCCAGGAGAAAGAAACAGGGCCAGGTGGAAAAAACATCAGGGAGCAGACCAGCCGGATTTTTAAAAGAACGGAAAACCCAACCAGCAAGGAGTTTCTGGGCAGTGGGAAGATTTTATTGGGAGACTTCTCCAGGTCAAGGTGGCACCAAGTTAAGGATGGAGGTGTCTTGTTTTGCCTGCTTACTTTGTTGGTTGCAAGGATGTCCAGCGGGACTCTCCAGAGGAAAAGCCCACAAGTTTCTCTCCCGGGGACACCCGACCTCCCACCTGCCTGGAGACTCAGCCCTGGGCACCTGGTCGGTGTCCACCTCAATGCACAGTGACTGTTTCTGAACTGGCAGATCTGGTCTGTGCAAGGTGCCTTTCTGGGCAGCAAGCCGGGGCGGCCACTGTTCGAGAAGCCTGCTCCTACCCTGGCCTGCGCCCCTGCTCCTCTGAAGGCGGCCTCCCGCAGTAGTCAGGGGGCGGAAATGGGAAGCCCTATTCGCAGTAAAATCAGGTGGGGAAATAGGCTCTGGTCTCAAACTGCGGCCACCTGGGGAGCTGCCAGGCGAGGAGGTAGATGGTCCCCCTCCTGGGGGCGCTCCCTTCGCGCGGATCTGGGGTTGGAGGAGGGAGGGGCACTGTCCCCTGGGGGGTTTCCTGGGACTGGGCCGCCCGAGAGAGGGAAAGGCTGTCCCCTCCTGGTGTAGGAGGGGCGCGATCCGGGGGGCGGGGGCTGGGGTTCCCCGGCTGCGGGGGTCCGGGCCGGCGGCCGCCTGCGGCTTGGCGCTGCGCGGCTCCTGCCCGGCGGGCCCTGCATTCTCCGAGTCTCCACCAGAGGCTGCGGGAGGAAGGAAGGGATCCGTCCCTTGCACACTTCCCCCCAGTCAGACACGCACACTCCCTCGCTCCCGCTCGCTCGCTCACTCCCTCGCTCTCTCGCTCTCTCGCTCTCTCGCTCACACACACGCGCGCACACGCCGCCGCGGCTCCCCCTCTCGCTCCCGCTCTCCCTCCGGCTCCTGCGGGCGGCCGCGGGGCTCCGGACTCGCCCGCTGCCCGCGCCGGGGCTCCCGCCCCACGCAGCGTCCCGAGGCGGCAGGACTAGGGGGAGCCCCGGGCCGCTCCCCGAGGTAAGAGCGCGGGGTGCCGCGGGAGGAGCGGCCGGATCGCCGCCGAGGGGAGGCTGCCCGGCAGGGAGGGAGCCCCCTGGCCGGCGGGAGCGGCCGGGCAGGCGGCGCGGGGGGCGAGCCTCCAGCCGCAGGAGGAGCCGGGGTGCCTGCGCCCGGCCCTGCGCGCCCCCTCCTCTCGGCCGGGAGGGCGGGGAGGGAGTTTCCCACGTCCAAACTTTCCCCGGCGCGGAGCCGAGCCGCCTCTCGGCCCGAAGCCCGCAGCTCCCACCCGTCCCCACAACCTCGTCCGCCGCGCGCCCGGGAGCCTCCGGGACCCCCGCGGGCCGAGGGGTGGCAGCGCCAGGGGCCGAGCCGGCGCGCCAAAAGGGGCTGGGAAGGTGGCGCACAGCCCTGACGCGAGGGCTGGGACCCAGGCGTTCCCGGTCCCCCAACCCTGCTAGCGGGGCTCGGCTCCCCGGCCCCTCCCAGAGGCGGGGTCCGGGGCCGGGAAAATACCGCACGGCGCGAGCGTGTGCGCGCGGTGTGTGTGTGCGAGGTCGTGCCGCGTCCGGGGACACCCGGAGGCTGACTCCAGCCGCGGCGACACGCACGGTTCTGGTCCCCTCTGAGCCGGGGAGGCGGCCCACAGGGACCCCTGCCGGCCCCACCGGCGCGACCCCCCCTGCCCTATGGCCGTCGGGCGGGCTGGCGGTGAGCGAGAGCCAGCGCTGCTCTCTTCCTTAGGACCCGACTCCGGAGACACCGTCCCCGCTGGGGAAGAAGGACGGGGCCCCCGACAGCCTAACGTCCAAAGAGAGCGCCACTTAGGGCTAACCCTCGGGGGCCGCGGCGTTTACTGTGAAGAGTGGACTGCGTGGGCGCGCGGGGTGCCGGGCAGCCCTGGGTGGGCACAGTGTGGACCCGTCTCGCTCGCGCCTCCCCGCTGCCTCTTCTCTGGCAACGTCGGGCCCTGTCCCAGGCGGGGCTGCAGAGGGTAGGGCTGATCCAGGATCCCCCGAGGTCTCCCCGAGGTGCAGGGCACCCCCTTGTGGCGGGCAGAGAAGCTGCTGTTTGAAGCTGCTCAGGTCTTCCGAGGTGCTCGCTCCTTGGAACCTCTTCTCTCCAAACCCTTCGGGCGTCGCCAGGGTTGCGCATGCCAGCTTCTTTTTCCGTGGGGCTGATTCCAGCACTCCCCAGGTTTCTGGGGCTGGCCGAGGTGCCCCCAGCACAGGCAGCGGCTCATTTGAGGGCTTTGGCTGTTGCCAGCTCTCTCTCCCTCTCCACCCAGGTTCAGGATCTCATCCTCTTCTCCCACTGGTCAGCGCCAATACCCTATATCAGCATCACCACTGCCCTAGGGCCCAAAGGCTCCTCCCTAACCACCGCGACTCTCTGTCCTTCATTTGTATCCCGTATATGTGTCCATCAGTGCCCACTCCGTCCCCCTCAGTTGCCCCTAGTCTACAGCCCTTGTTGAAACTTGGCCTCTACACCCATAGTGACATCCTTTGGTCTTTGCCCACCAATGACCATTTCCTCGTCCCCCCCAACCCCGACCCATCTTCTATCCTGTCTGCCTCAGTTTTTCTGTAGCACTCAACTGTTCCCTGCCCCAGCCATTTCTCTACTTCACCCTTATTTCCCTCCTTGTCCCAGTGTCTGGGACACTCCTCTTCCATTCCTCCTGGAAGGGAAGGGCATTGCCAACATTTAAACACTGCTTCCTGGAGATGTCTGTGTGCCCTTCCCGGTCCACCACTGCCAGTGCCTCGGGGGCAGGTACTTTATAAAGCCAGCCAGGTCTCTCTCAGCTAAGGGGCACCTGTACCTCTTGGGTGGCCCCATCAGGGGACCCCTGGAGACAACCCCTTTCCCTATTCCTAACTGTGAGCAGCACATTGGAGACCACCTGGGCTGCCCTCTTTTCCATTTTCAAGGATTGGCAACAGCAGCCCGAGGTCACATGGTAAGCTATACCCAGAGCCGGAATAGGAACCCAGGCATCTTGACATCCAGGCCTCACCAACGCTGCTTATGTGTTGGGTAGGCCTGGGGCAAAACAGAGCCGTTTCTTGGCTTCACGCTGCAGGCAGGACAAGAAGACACTTGCTCTAAATTCAGCATGAGGTGTTCAAGTTAGACCCCCAGTGCTCCCAGGCCAGTGCCGGAGGAAAGCTGTTGAATGCCTTTAGCAGAGACGCCGAGTAGCAGAAGCAGAGGACAAAGTTTGGCCCCTAAAAGTGTGTTGTGACCTCCGGGTGAGTCACAGCCTTTCTGTCAAAAGGGTGGCTGTGATCTCTGGATGTTTCTGGTCGTGCTCTGGAATAATCATACCTAGAGGTTGGAACCCCCAAAGCCCCTGCTGCTTCCCCAGGCACTGGTCTTTCTGAGAGCTTTGCAGGAGCGCTGCATTCTGAAGTTGTCTGACAGGGGGCCGGGCCATAGCTAAGGCAGGGAGCCCAGGAGGGCCCGTCTCCTCCCGAGTTGGCAAAGTTCGGAGCAGCCAGTTTATTTACCACATGGGCGATAAGAGTCAGCCAATTAAACTTCCTCTCCTCTCTCTCTCTGTTCTTCCCCCTCCCCTTTTTCTTCCATCAGGAAGCTCCAATCTGAAATGCAGCCTCAGGTAGAGTGAGAGAGAGTGAATGATTTCTGTTTATATAACACGGGTAGCAGCTGGCACTGCATGGCCTGGGAGGGAGTGAGGGAATAGAAGACCCTACGGTGGTGTCTGGGCTGAGGCCCCGGGGCCAAGGACTTCCTCATTCCTCCCCATAGCTGAGCCAGGAAGGGTGCTAGGGGCTGGGGACCAGGTGGGGAAACAGGCTGAGAGGAAACCCAGGCCTCAGGTCAGGCTCAGAGAGAAAAGCCTCATGCCCCCCGCAAGAGTGGGCACACCCTCCACCCCGGGTTCCTCAAAGCACCTTTAAGATGGAGCTCTCAACTCAGGCCTCTCCTTCCTACAACCTTGTGTTTTGATTCTGGCCTCTCTAGAGAAAGCCTAGATATTTCACCACGAGGACAGGCTCTGACCTCAACTTTTCATCAGGGCAGTGGGCATGATAGGACTGTCTTTCCGCCCATGGAGGAGACAAGGCCTAACAAGAAAGTTGTCTGTGGAGTGATTTGAGCTCTGTGTATCTGGCAGGAGGGACGTTTTCTCATTGTTGATGATACACAGTGGCTGCTTGGAAACAGAGGTGCAGGACAGGAAGGCTGGAGGCATGGCTGTTATATGCAGTTGGGCAGGTTGTTGACTGTCCAAGGGCATTTAATGCAGGAGGAGAGCGGGGACTGAAATCTATTTTAAGCTCCACTCTCCAAGTCAGGTGCCCCAAAGACAGGCTGTGCCTGCCTGGAGGAGGGGGCATCTTTCTCTAATTTGCAAAAAGGCTTCATATACTTACCAGCCATGGGCCTATGGGGCTGCTTACCCCCAGAAAAGGATCCCTTTCTTTAATTACTCCAAAGGTGGCCCATCTGGGGGTTAAGGATATATTCACTACTCACTCCTTAGCTCAGCTCTCTTACAATGGGCACACACCTTTCCGAATATGTGGGTCTGATTTCAAACACATGAGGTACAGCAACCTGGAGGAATTCCCTTCTTCCCCCACATTTCCCTCCATGCCCCATCAGCAGGCTCCTTCCTGCTGTCACATTGGGATTAGGCTGGGAACTTCTTGCTTTGTCGTCAGACCCACAAGCCTTCAGCCATCCACTTGTTACCAGCTCTTTCCTGTGCATAATATAAATAGATGATTAAGCGCGTAGGCATTGGAGTCCAACCAGCCTGAGTTTGTGACTTGCTGGCAAGTTACTTTACCTCTCTGAGCCTTAGTTTCTTCCTCTGTGAAATGGAGGAAAATGTAATACCTGTCTCATTGGGTTGTGAAGATCAAATGTGCATGAGCATGTATGGTGCTGAGCACAATGCCTGGCACATAGGACACCCCATACATAAAGCAGTATTGTTATTGCTCATATCCCTCCATTTATATTCCTTGGTTCCCATGGGGTAAATGCAGCAGTTCCTCCTTGTTTGGTTTTGCACATGATCTCAGCTGCCTGCACCCCTGCAGGAGGGGAATTGAGTTAGGACCACCAGGATCTGTCTCTGACTTCAGGATCCGTCTCTGACTTCAGGATCCTTCTTCCTTTGCCTTGAGGAAGGTGGAGTCCCTGCATGCAGCCGGCAGTGTGGGAACATGTTCTAGAGTCCCACAGATTCATTTCATCCTAATCTCTACCTTTTCTCCCCTCTCATCCATCTCGCGATCCCTTCTCCAGCTCAGACCTCACTGGTTCATGCCTAACCTGTTGTGGCAGCCTCCTCCCTGGTCTCCCAGCCTCTGATACCCTCCCGCTGCAACCCCTGCGGCAACCAGAGCGATCGTTCTCTAACGCAGGTGGGATCGTGTCACTGGCTTGATTAAAACCCTTCCATGGCTCCCCATTGCCTACTGAATTAAGTCCAGACTCGGCACTATGACATTCAAGGTCCTTGTAATCCGTCTGCATCCTCCTTTATCTCCCACTGTGCCTCCAATCTGACACTCCTGCATCCAGCCCCACCTGCCCTTCCACCTGAACAACCTTCCCCGAAGATATTCCAAAGCATTAAGGACCCAACCCAAATAGCACCTCTTCCTTGCATCACCCATCTGCCTGTCTGACCATACATTCATTATCCAGTTTAAAATGTATATATATATATTTACATATAAAGCATTTACATATATTTACATATAAAGCATTACTATGTGTTAAGCATTGTGCTGCATGGTGGAGACACAATGGTGAGCAAGCAGCCTGAATCCCAGCTGACAGGAGTCTGGTGGTCCAGGGAGGAAGATGAACAATTCTCATAACTGTGACAGCCAGTGGGCGGGGCAGCAGAGGCTTCTAGGAGGAAGTGCTGTTGAGGCACACCTGCAGGCTGTCTCGCAGTTATCTATGGGATAAAGGAGGGTAGGGAGGAATAAGAGCAGAGAAGGCAGCCTCCATGCCAAGGGGTACCAAGGCCCCAAGGGGAGGGAGAATAGCAGAGGAACTGAGATTTCAGTTGGCTGAAGGAGAACACACAGAGGTTGGGGTTCAGGGAGTGGGAGTCATGGGAAACCAGGCCAGCGAGGTGGGCAGCAGCCAGGTCCCGTGGGTCTTGAAAGCCACACAAGGAGCTTGGCCTTCATCCCGAGAGCAGCGGGGAGCCACGCACAGGTTTTCAGCAGGGGAGTGGCGCGTGGAGATTCGCCATTAGAAGCCTCATCCTGCTGCTGGGTGGGGAAGACCAGGTCCCGGGCTGCTGGTGTCTGGGTCTGAGGCATGGAGGGGGACTCACTTGTGAGGGTTGTGGGAGTGGAATGGACAGGGCTAAGTAACTGCCTGGGCATGGGGGAGAGAAGGAGTTCCCATTCCTGGCTCGGGAGGCTGTGTGGGTTGTGAAGATGCGAAATGAAGAGGAGAAGGGCTTTCAAGAAGAGGTGAGGACCAGCTGTGGACAGGTCGAGGGTGAGATCCTAATGGGATACATGAGTGGGGATGCTGGATGGATAGTCATGCAAAAACATCTAGGCCCACTCAGAGAGTTCTGGGCTGGAAATAGAGTTTTGAGGCCATGAGGAAGGAGGAGCTCACCATCCAGGATGAGTCTGTAAAATGGAAAGAATCTTGAGGCGCTCTCAAGGTTCGGGGACGGGGTTCATCCCCAGAAGCCTTCTTGGACCCAGCCAGGCACACGTGACTCCTGTCTATATTTTGAACCTCTGTAGCAATTAGTTTAGTTTTCTTTTCTCACTGCCTGCCTTGTGTCATCTGCAGCACATTAGATCAGTGTTTTTCAACTGGGGGCAATTTTGCCCCCCAGAGGACTCTTGGCAATGTCTCGAGACATTTTTGGCTGTCACTACTGCGTAGAAGGCTGCTGCTGTCATCTGATGGGTAGAGGCCAGGGATGCTGCCAAACCGCCTACAACGCACAAGACAGTCCCCCCCACCCCACTGCAAAGACTCATGTAGCTCAAACTGTTGATAGTGTGGAGGCTGAGAAACCAAGCCCTGTATGAGAAGATCTTGAAGGCAGGCACTGGGCTTTTTCATTTTTTCCTCCCTAGGGTCTAGCGTGGCATATGGTGCAAAGCTGCACTCACTCCATTCACTGAATTAAATTTGGGTGTGAGGAGAGGGGGCCTGAGGCCATGCAGCCTTGAAGTCTGCAAGACTAAGGCCCAACTCTGACCAGGGTTGCCTGGCCCCTCCCCAGAGAGCTGGACCATGCTAATACACAGGCACTTAGAGAGGAGAGAAGGATGCACCCGCTGGTGGGGACCTCCTGTCCAGGAGCCCAGAAGTTGAGGGCACATTGCCATGTATAGTTCACCAGCCTCATTCTTTCGTTGTCTTATTAACTTCTGTTGTTTCTTTATCACTCAAGTCGATATAATATATATACTATATATATATTTGAGACGGAGTTTCACTCTTGTTGCCCAAGCTGGAGTGCAAGGGCGCAATCTCGGTTCACTGCAACTTCTGCCTCCCGGGTTCAAGCAATTCTCCTCCCTCAGCCTCCCGAGTAGCTGGGATTACAGGTGCCCACCACAACACCCGGCCAATTTTTGTATTTTTAGTAGAGACAGAGTTTCACCGTGTTGGCCAGGCTGGTCTCGAGCTCCTGACCTCTGGTGGTCCACCCTCCTTGGCCTCCCAAAGTGCTGGGATTACAGGCATGAGCCACCGCACCCAGCCATATATATACATATATATATATATTTTTTTAATAGGCAAGTTACAGATAAACAAAATGAGAAAATGAGAAACATGACAACCTACTGATTAGGTGCATGGGCTCTGGAGCCAGACAGAGCAGAGTTGAAGTTCCAGCTCTGCCACTTAATAGCTGAGTGAGCCTCTGTTTCCTCATCTAGAAAATGGTTGTAACAAAACCTACCTCCAAGGACTGGAGAAATGAAGTAATACAGACAAAGCGCTTAACACTGCACGGGGCTCATATGAAGTATTTAATACAGAGTGATTCTCTCTCTGTGTGTGTGTGTATGTGTGTGTGTGTAAATTTATATATATGTATATATGTATGTACCTTTTTATATATGAAAGCATTTTTAATTAGCCATAATTTTACCACCACTTGGCTACCATTTCAGTGCATATCCTTCTTGACATATATAGATTTTTAAAAAATAAAAATGGCATCTTGCTTTATACATATGCCTCCGTAACCTGCTTTTTTTCACCCTATAATATATTGTGAATGTCTTGCCATTTCGATAAATATACATCTACATCATCATTTTTCAAGAGCTGCATGGTTCTCCATTGTGTGGCTGCCCATAATTCATTTAACCAGCCCCCACTGTTGGACATTTGGGTTGTTTCCAGTCCTTCGCTATTACAAACAATTCTGCCATGAACATCCTTGTACACACATCTTCACGCTCTTGTCCGATGATTTCTTCAGGGACCACTGGGACGTTTTTGGCAGGAGTCGTGTGGCGCTCACCAGATTCCTCAAGTAGAAGCCCCTTGGGGCCAGCGAAGAGGGGACTGGGGGGTCCCTGGGGAAGGGAAGGATGCTGGATGGCAGAGAACTGTTTTGGCCTCTGGAAAGTTGGTCCAGATGTTAACACCACAGACCCCTCTGCGAGTCAAAAAAGCAGAAAGCCCCGCCCCATATTCTTTGTTGTCACCGTAGTGCTTGCAGAGTAGGGGAGGGGAGCTGGGGAGGTGGAGTGTGTGTGTATGTGTGTGTGCACGCGCACGCACACGCGCGCTTGTGTGTGTGATGGGCAGAGTGACAGGCACCAGGCAGGCGGGGGACATAAGGTGGATGGGCCCGGGCAGGCTGATGGATGGGAAGCAGAAGCAGGTGGATCCAGGTCAGTGGGTAGACAAGATGATGGGTAGGTGACAAGCCAGACAGACTCAGGTAACCAGACATAGGACTGTGGCCTCACAGCGGGGCCCACAGGGACCAGAGGCTGAAATTGTGTATTCAGGGACAACAGAGAGTTCCTGGGAGAGGCAGCCCACCCCCCAGGCCAGGAGGTTGCCAAGGCCTGCGTCTTCTAGGATCCAAGTGGCTGTGTTTAGGGTTATGCATTTTGGAGTTGAAAGGGCCTTTAGGGACTGACGAGTCCAAGTCCTTGATACAGAAGGGAAACTGAGGCCCAGGGAGAGGCTGGAACTTGCCCAGGGCCCTATGGTGTCTCAGAGCAGACTGAATCCTTTGCCCCTAGCTCAGTCTATTTCAGTGTCCATTTATTCAAATGGCTTGAAGAGAAGGGAGTTAAGTTGGCAGAGTGGGAGGGGGCTGGGAGGTCAGAATGAGCCTTGTCATGACTTTTCTCTGTCCACCCCACTCCAACAGCGCTATTTATGACCCTACTGTGTGCTGTTGAGAGAACTGCCTAGGAGCCAGACTACCAGGGTTCCCATCTTTGCCCTGCCACTTACTAGCTGAGTGAACTTCTGCCTCAGTTTCCTCATCTGTACCTATCTCATAGGATTATTGAGAAGGCGAAATGAATTATTAGAAGTAAAGCACTTAGAACAGTGCACTTAGGCCCATATTCAGTGCTCTATGAGCCCTAGCTACTAATACTGTGCTATTTTGCCCTTATTATTATTATTATTATTTTAATTTTTTTTTGAGACGGAGTCTCGCACAGGCGTGAGCCACTGTGCCCTTATTGTTTTCCCTTGAATTCTGTATATGTTTGTACGCACCTGCGTGCTCACACAAACGTGACTACATGAGCAGGCTGTGTACCTTGGAAGGCAAAGGTTGTGTCTCTCCTGTGTCCTAGCCCTCCCACCATCAGGACCCTATTAGCCAGCTGGGCACATAGTAGGTGCTCCATAAATGCTCTTGAGGAAGTGATGCGCTTGACTCTGTCTGGTCGAAGGCACTGGGGGAGGCTTCGTGGGGGAGGCAGTATTTGAGCTGTGTGTTGAAGCTAGGATGACGCTGCTGCAGGTGGAGGTGTTTTCTGCAGGTGGAAAGAGCATGAGCAAAGAGGAGGAGCTTGGCAAAGGCTTCGGTGTCAGCTGGTTGCCCCGTTGACCAGGGCACAGAGGACATGGAGGGGAGGAAAGACAGAGAGGACCAGAAAGGGAAGGTGCAGCTGAATTCAGATGCGTGGAGCTCCAGGCTGAGGAATGTAAGCAGTAGGAAGCTATTGAAGGTTGCTGGCTGGAATTAAGCTGTAGAAAGATCTTGCTGTTGACAGTGTTTTAGGATGGACTTGAAGGAAAGAGAAAGGAGGCAACAGACGGGGACAGCTGAAATTGTCCAGGAGATAAGTGGGGTGGGGGCTTAATGAAGTTGTAGAGAACAGGGGCCAGGGAGAAAGGCCCCAAGGAAATAGGATCAACAGGACTCAGAGCTGCTTGGTTGTGGGAGATAAGGGAGAGGGTGGAATGAAATATGACAAAGTCTCAGGCCTGGTGTCTGGGAGAACTGGGGTCCATTAACCAAATTAGGGGAGCCTATGCTTGGGAGAGGCAGGGGAAAATTGAGATGCCAGCTGAGATTATTCATCCAGCCAGCATCCCATCTAAGCCAGCCATCCATCCACTCATCCATCCACCCACCCATCCATCCATCCATCCATCCACCCATTCATCAATCCATCCATTTATCCAATCCATCATCCTCCAGCCCACCCACCTCCATTTAAACATCCATCTGCCTGCAGTTCACCCCTCACCCACCTCCACCCATCTATCCACCAACCCGTTATTTACCTACACGTGTATCACCACCTTTCTTTCCGTCTTCTTACTACCTGTCTCTCCACCCTCATTCACCCTCAGAATCTACCAACTTCTCCATCCATCCAAGATACATTTCTTGTGAGCCTACTATGTGCCAGGCTCTGATAAAACCTTAACACAGCATTTGAAGATACCTGATACTAAAGATAATGATTAGAAAAGCCAAGGAAAAGAACCAGAATGATTTTACCTAGAAGAGAGAAGTTTGAGAGGAGACTTTATGTATCCAAAGTGAAGAAGAATGGAATGAACAGTGGCCTGTAGATGAGCCTTTTTTTTTCTATTTCCAGGACAGAACAGAAGAAATTGGCTGCACTTGCAGCTAGACAGATTGAGGTTGGCTGTGAGGGAGGACAACCTTATTGATCATTACAGGTGTCTGAAGTACCGATCTGATAATGCATTTGGGCTGTAGGGGGATATCATCTATAGAGGTGACTTTGAGGAAATGGGTGCAGAGTGGGACATTTGTGGAGGAGTTAGTAGAGGGGGCGTCGGGATCTTGCCTTGAGAAGAGGTGGGTAGGGGGAGTGGTGGAGCAGAGGACGAAGGTGAGGGGACCATCAGGGGCACAGGGCTGTGTAAGCCAAGGAGACAAGCCTGTGGCTAGGATGGGTCAGCTGAGGTAGGGCACCTGGGTAGTGGGTCAGGGAGGAGATGGCTGCATTTAATCCCCAAAACAACCTTGGAGGAAGGGCCTTCCCACTGTCTCACTGCCACTGTCCCTTCATAAGCCACCATTTCTCTCCAAGCCCTCATCCTCTTGGAAAGCCCCGAGCCCCTCCCAGAACCCCTGTCCCCAGCATGTTAGCCCCCATCCCCTCACTGAGCCCGCACTCTCTTTTCTGAGCCTTTGTGCTCACAAACCCCAGCCCTGCAGCTGAGCCCCTGGCCAGATCCCCACCTCCCACAGAGCGCCCGTCTCTTCTTGGAGTCCCCATCTCCTTGTGGAGGCCTGGTCCTCTCTCAAGATAGAGCCCCCAATTCCCCAGAATCTCCACAGAGCTCCTGCACCCCCTGTGAAAGCTCTAACCCTCCACGGAGCCCCCCACCCTTCCTGGAGACCCATCCCATCCCTGAGCCCCCGTTCCATCCCTGAGCACCTCCTGTTACTTAGCTCCTGGTCACCTTCTGGAATGCCTGCCCCTTCCAGAGCCCCTGTTCTCCCACAGAATTTCTGTCCCCTGAACTGAAGACTCATCTCCTCTCTGAGCCTGCATTCCCTCAAGGAGCCCGCATCCCTACTCACAGAGCCCTGACCTCCTCACTCAGCCCCTGCCCCTCCTGGAGCCCTTGAGCAGCCCCTGGCTTCGAGCCCTCATGCCACCCTCTGTCCCAGGGTACCAGCCCTTGATGTCCGCGGGGCACAATCAGCCAGCAGTGGGTGGCCCCAGCTTAAAGTCACTCCCAGGTCTCTGCATCAACTCAGCCAGCTTCAGGCTGGGAAAGAAGCCCCTGGATTTGGGACCATAAGACCCTCCCCGCAGCCTGCCTAGTACCATGGGTGGGCTTTTAGGACAGAGGGACTTGTAAGTCCCCAAGTGGGCTGGGCTGGGGGTGGAGACCTGCAGCTTTGGCAGCTCCATCAGGCTCGTCTTACGGGCTGGGAGAAGCTGGAGACTCTTGCTGCTTCTGGTTAGAAAAACAATCACAAATTAGAGAAAATGCTTTGGGAAATTGCTCTGCTGTGCGAGAGGGAGGCTGCCTCAGGAGGGAGGGAAAGAGGCTCCTAAGACAGCAGTGGCTCCCTGTGGCCTTGCCTGTCAGCGCCAAACCATCTGCTTGGCGTTCAAAGCCCCAACTCATCATCTGACATGGTCACCTGATGAGCTCAGACACATACCCGCTAGGCCATTGCTCCAGGGCCCATTCCCACCTGCAAACCTTTGCTCACCTGGGCTGAGCCCTCACATCTATTCAATCTCAGTGCCCTGTTTCAGCCCTTTGCGAACCATTGTTACCTGTCTTGCCTCTCTAACTGGTCCATTGAGGACAGGAATAATGTCTTTTGCTAATGGCAGTCAGAGACAGGCAGATCTGGGCACCAATCCCTGTTGGATACATTTTAGCTGGATGGCCTTGGGCAAGTGTTTGACTTTCTGAGCCTCTGTTTACTCATCTGTAAAATGAGGAGTGTAAGACCTCCCTTGCTGGAATGAACGAGATAATGAGCAAATAGTGTCCTCACAGTGGGTACCAAATTAATGAAGATGCCCCTCCCTGCCTTACAGCCAGATCAGGACTTCGGGCTGTGAGAACCAGCACTGATCTACAGACGTCCACTTATTGGTAACATCCTCAGGTGCCTCTTCTCTTATATCTGTCTGCCACTCCCCTACTGCGAAGATACAAAAAGAGGGCCCAGGAGTTTCAGGACAAGCACCTGGGAGGCTCCTGATATAAAAAGATGAGGCAACAGGCCCGGCATGGTGGTTCCCACCTGTGATCCCAGCACTTTGAGAGGCCGAGGCAGGAGGATCACTTGAGGCCAGGAGTTTCAGACAAGCCTGGGCAACATAGCAAGACCCCCATCTCTACAAAAATTAAAAAATTAGCCAAGAGTGGCAGCACACGACTGTAATCCCAGTTACTTCAGAGGCTGAGATAGGAGGATCGCTTGAGCCCTGGAGTTTGAAGCTGTGGTGAGCTATGATCATGCCACTGCACTCCAGCCTGGGTGACAGAGCGAGACCCTGCCTCTACAAATAAATAGATGAGGCAACAAAAGTTGAATTTTTGAGTCTTTTGACTATCAGGCAAGACTTAAGCTGGATCATCACCTATCAGGAGGAATGAGGATGGCAGCCCAGAGCTTGGATTCTGGAAGCTGGACTTGGATTTTGGAAGCTGGACTTCCTGGGTTCTGCTCCCTGAGCTGCCCCCCTTCCTAGCTGCCTGTCCTTACACAAGTTACTTAACCACCTCAGTTTCCCCATCTGTAAAGTGGAGATGATAATCACAGTAGCTGCGTTACAGGCTTGTGGTGAGAATGAAACAAGCTAATGTTTGTAAAGTACTTAGAACAGTGCCTAGCATTCATAAGCCCTATGTAAGGGTTTCTTTAAAAGTAAATGTGATGAGGGATTCGGGAACACAGGAGTGGACAGCGGAGAGCTCAGGCTGGGTAGCAAATGGGCTTTCAGGAGGGAGTTCTGCAGAGCTAGAGTCCAGCCAGCTTCCTGTCAAGTTGGCCTCTTTCTGAATAGGGAGAGCACAGGATATTCTCAAAGCAAAAACATTTTTTCTGGAGACCACTGGGGTGCCTCATTTGGAGAAGTCTGGGCCAAAGGACGTTGCATGGAGAGGCGGCCTCTGCAGAGGGCAGCAGGGAAAGACATCCAGGGCTCTCAGAGACACCCCAGAACCTCACAGATCTCACCTGCCAGTGAGAGGCTCCTCGCATGCCTGTTCTCTTCCTGGCAGTGAAAGACAAGGCCAATTGTGTGTGCCCTTCGTGGAAGAGGTCTCGGAGAATTCTCTCCCTCCAGACAGTGAGCAGAGAATGAAGGGTGTGAAGAAGAAACCCCTCCTCAGCCACAGGCAGCTCTGGAACAAGCCCTGTTACTGTCTGCCGGGTGCCAGGCCTGTGCTGGGCACCGGGAAGGTGCAGTGGGTCAGATATGTTCTTGCCCTTGAAGAATTTGGGATGAACAGCCAATGCCAGGAATCCCACTTCTCCTAGTGCCTCAGTTTTTTCAGTTGTCCTCTTCCCTTCTACAGAGTAGCCTTTTCCTTGCCCCTTTCTTTCCCTCTTTCTCCCAAGCCCCCACCTACCCACCCCAGCAGAGGTTGGGGGGAGCCCTGTGGAGAAGGGAGAGTTTGTACAAACTGGGGCACAGTTGGAACTTCTGATTGGCTGGTCAGGGCCATTCTTTTCCCTGGTTGCCATAGCAGCCATTTCCCGGGGTTGTCAGTGATGAAACTCATAAACATTGTTTTCAAATAATCCGTGTAATTGAAATAACAATTGAGCTGTTAACTTGTCTCTCACACCCCAGCTAGGACAGATCTTCCTCTTTCCGCACCCTCCTACCACCCCTGGGAAGCTCTGGTGTGTCCCCATCTCCTGTCTGAGGCCCCAGCCCCTTCCTTGGGGCAGGAGGAAGAAAGAGGAGGTTGCATGGCTCCTCAGCATCATTATAGAATCCTAGAAACTCAGGACCCCACAGCTGAACCAGAACTTAGAGAACAGAACCCACTTCGTTTGCAACCAGAGACTCAAGGAAGGGAAGGGGCTTAACTAGGGCTCCACAGGAAGGACGCAGCTGAATGAGGACATCCAGTCCTGCTTTTAGGTGAAGGTTGAAGCTGATGTGTTGCACTGAGGATCAATGCATAAACCATAAAGCTGCCCCCTTTTAAGGATTTGGTCTTGCAGGCATATCTACCTACCCCTACCCCCATTTTACAAGTGAAGAAACTGAGACTCCAATAAGTTAAACATAATATAAGTGTTTTTTTGTTTTGAGATGGAGCCTCGCTCTGTCGCCCAGGCTGGAGTGCAGTGGTGCAGTCTCGGCTCACTGCAACCTCCGCCTCCCAGGTTCAAGCAATTCTCCTGCCTCAGCCTCCTGAGTAGCTGGGATTACAGGCATGAGCCACCATGGCTGGCTAATTTTTTGTATTTTAGTAGAGATGGGGTTTCACCATGTTGGCCAGGCTGGTCTCAAACTCCTGACCTCGTGATACGCCCGCCTTGGCCTTCGAAAGTGCTGGGATTACAGGCATGAGCCACCGCACCTGGCCTCTGTGTTTTTATAGCTTCTCAGAAAATACCTGTTGAATGGATGGATCTCAAAGAACACAGACCACCTCTCTCCTCCCCACCCCCAAAACCAGGAACTGAGATCTGGTTTCTTTAGTCAGAGGACTTCGTGGAATAGGGTTGTGGACAATTTGGGGACATGTGGCTCAGAGGAAGAGTGGATTCCTCAAACGACTATTAGAGGGAGGGAATTCCAAAGTTCTCCCCCTACCCCCAGCCACCCCTATCTTGGGTCGGAGACTGCACATTCAGAAACATAAACATGAAAAACATAGGTTCCCTGCCTGATCCTCAGAAAGGCCTGGGATGGATTGAAAAATGGAAGAAGCAAGGCCTCTTCTACAAGCACATGTCTCCATGCACACACGGAGATGCAGGTCAGCACAGACAGCTCCCTGTAGCGGCAGCTTCATGGAGGATAAAAGCATTTTTTATAAAGTGTCTGGTTGCTGTCCAAGGTACTCTCTGAGTCCACAGAATGTGTGGGTGGCTGAGGCAACAGGCCATTGCTAGGACTGGGGATGGGGGCAGTCTTCAGACCAGATGACAGCAAGAGGTTGGCCTCCTTCCCTGGATTCTAGAGGGTTGTAACCACTAAGGGGTCTTGGCAGTCTCCTCCCCCAATTCATTCATTCTTACTTACTCAACATATACTGAGCATCTACTCTGTGCCAGGCACTGTGTGGACCACAAAAACATTAGGATTAGGAAGACCCAGGATCTGTCTGCAAGGACTCTTTCAGTCTAGTGGGGAAGACACACATACACACACACACACACACACACACACACACACACAACCAGTGGCTGGTGCTCTTCTAGAAGCACCAGAACAGAACAAAAGAGGGAGTGATTAACTCTGCCTGCAGGAATCAGAAAGACCCCCTGGAGCAAATGACTTGGGCTCAGTCTTAAAAAGATGAATAGTTCTCCAGGTGGATAATGGGCAGGAGAGCATTTCAGAGGGGCAGCATGAACCAACGCAGGGAAGAATTCACGGTTTAGATCACAATGAGAAGTTCTGTGTGACTGGAGTGTTGGCTGCTTGAAGGTGAATGGCAGATTGAGGAGAGTGGGTTCTGGAGAGGGGCAGTGACTTGCCCAAGATGCCACTTTGAGTTGCAGGCACAGCCAGGACTAAGACACCGGATACCCTAATTTGTCAGAAAATCAGAACATCAGAGTTAGTTGGGCGTTTGCGATTCTCTAATCCAAACTGCCCATTTTTCAGATGGGGAAACAGAGGGTGAGAGATGTTCAGTGCTGTGCCTGGAGTCCCACAGTATGGGTGTGGCAGAGCTAGGATTTGAAATCTGGTCTGTTTGACATCAAAGCCACAGCTGTTTTCCTAGTGCCACAGCTAGGAGCAGAGCGAACCCCACCTCAGCTCAGCTGGAGAGCAGAGGGCTCTGAAAAGGACGGGCTGCTCATGGGACCTTTGCATTTATTGGGACAGGCAGCCAGCTCCTGCCATATCGTTGGCACTCAACACTCACCCTGGGGGAGGGAGCCTCCAGTGGGAAAGCTCAGCAGGCATGCCTTCCTGTTGGCTGGAGAGACCTAAGTCCTACCACCAACTCTCTGAGTGACCTTGGGTAAGGTGTGACCCTCTCTGGTCCTTTCTTCCATGATCCACTATGTCATAGGAGGATCCTCCTTTGCCTACTGTCTGGAGCAGTCATTCTCCATTGGGGTGGGAGAGCAGTTGATTTTGGCCTCCAGGGAACATTTGGCATTGTCTAGAGGACAATTTTGGTTGTCACAACTGGGAATAAAGAGTGCTACTGGTATTCAATGGGTAGAGGCCAAGAATACGGCCAGCCATCCTACCCTGCACAGGACAGCCCCCACCAACAAAGGGTTATCCAGCCAAAATGTCACTGCTGCTGAGGCTGAGAAACCCTGAAGTCTGAGGCCATTTGTGAAGATCAGATATGGCCACAAGAGTGGGCACATGGGGCTGTGCAGAGGTGCACCCCAGGCTGCAACGCAGAGGAGCAGAAGTGGCCTTGCTGTCAGGCAGACCTGGCTGTGTTGAGAGGTCGTTCACCTCTCTGTGCCTTGGTTACTTCATCAGTGCAGCAGGGGCCGTAACAAGAGCACCTATCTCGGGAGACTATTGAGAGGGTGTGATGAGATCATGAATGTCGACGGCAGAGGAAGCAAATGGAAAACAGAAGCCTGGAGCCAGCTCTGGAGCCAGCAGGGCCGCTCAGGGCTATGGGATCTTATGCAACTTACCTGACCCCTTTGCCTCCATTTCCAATCTGTAAAACGGGGATTATGGTAGTACCCATCACACAGGCTCAATGGAGGATTAAAAATGAGTTAACAGATGTAAAGCATTTAGAGCGACACAGAGTAAGTGCGATGCAAGTGTTAGCTATTATTATTTGGTTTTGTTTGTTTTTTGTTTTATTTATTTATTTATTTATTTTTGAGATGGAATCTCGCTCTGTCTCCCAGGCTGGAGTGCAGTGGCGCGATCTCTGCTCACTGCAACCTCTGCCTCCCAGGTTCAAGTGATTCCCCTACCTCAGCCTCCTGAGTAGCTGGGATTACAGGCACATGCCACCACATCCAGCTAATTTTTGTATTTTTAGTAGAGACAGGGTTTCGCCATGTTGGCCAGGCTGGTCTCGAACTCCTGACCTCAGGTGATCCACCTGCCTCTCTTCCCACAGTGCTGGGATTACAGGAGTGAGCCACCATGCCCAGCCAGCTGTTATTATTTGAATTCTGTCTTGAACAAGGCAGTCACATAAGTTGCAGAGGGTGCATTGGACACCAGGCCCTCCAGATGCCAACTCTCTCTGCAGCTCTCTGACTATCCATGCCACACCCCCAGCCTTCCTTCCAAACACACCCCCCATAGACCCTGCTTGGGCTCTCTGCAACTCTGCAAAACTATTACTCTCTCTCTCTCTTTCACCAGCTCCCACCCTGCTTGTCTCTAGCTTCGTGAATTCCCTGACACATTGGGCTGGCCCTCTCCTCCTTCTCCCTCCCCATCTCCACCCTAACCCCCTTCCTCTCCCTTAGAGTCTGCCAGAGCCAGAGTTAGCTGTCAGCAGCTCCATCCAGGAGGAGGGGGACACAAGGGTGCCCACACCTGACTCTATAGCTCAGGCCCGCATCGCACTAGCCCTCCCCCTAAACACTCATATCCTGACTCCTGGCCCACTTGGATTAGCCTTGGCTAACCCTTCAGAGAATGAATAAATCCTCCAGTGCTGGGTTTCTCAACCTCAGCTCTATTGACATTTGGGGCTGGATAATTCTTTGTCGTGGAGGGCTGTCCCGGGCATTGTAGAATGTTTAGCAGCATTCCTGGCCTCTACCCACTAGATGCCAGCAGCACCCTCCCACCCAGTTGTGACAACCAGAAACATCTCTAGTCATTGCTAAATGTCCCCTGGGTGGCAAAATTGCCCCTGGTGGAGAAAAACTGTTCAAGAACTTGACTATATATTGTGAGCTTCTGTCTCATAGTGTCCTGGCAAAGAAGCTTTGAAAATCTAATAAATATCCTCAAGTTGAGCCCCTCAAGTTGATGCCACCTTCAACTTTGTACAGTTTTCTCACCAAAGTTTTCATTTCTTGACCCATTCTCAAAACCAGTTGACCACAAACATTAGGCCCAGCTCCCAAACACTCAGCTCTAACTAGAATTCTGAATATTAACTTTAAATCCAAAGCTTCAACCTGTTTTCCAAACTCCAAACCTTAATTCAGACCCTAACCCTAAACTCTTGGCCTGTTCTAAAACTTTAGTTTCCTGAACTTCCAACAGAATTCTAAATCCACAGGTTAGCCTCAAACATGAAGCCAAGTTGGAAACCTGCACTTCCAGATCCTTCCATCACCAGCTCCTAAATTTTAATCTCTATCCCTTCTGGCCTCTAGAGATTCCTTGGCTCATGTTTCTAGCTTCCTCCCCTCCCAGGTGACCCCAGGTCCTTCAGAAATGGCAGGAAAATTTCCAGTAGGCAGCTCTGTCTAGCCATAATCCCTCCCTCATATCGCCCCAGGCAATCCATCTGGAAATTCTATTATTATTCATTTGTTTATTCAAACATTTGATGAGCACCCACTCTGCAGACTCTGTGTTGGACACCAGGAAAGCAGTGGAGAATCGGATCCAGTGGCTTCCCGCTGTCTGCTGGGGGAGACAGACAAGCAGACAAACAGGAAGACAGATAGATAAAAACTATGCGAGTCATTCAAGAAATATCCACTGAGCACCTATTATGTGCCATGCGCTGTTCTAAATGCTGGGAATACAGCATCAAGCAAAAAAGACAACACCCCTAAAATCATGGCACTCACATTATAGAGAAAGGAGGCATCCATTTATAATATATCAGATAGTGATAAGTGTTATGGAGAAGGTGAAGAAAGCAGGATGAGGGGATATGAATGGCCTGGGGAACTGAGGAGCTAGTTTATCACAGGTTGTAAGGGAAAGGTGCATGGGGTCAGCCATTTGAGCAGACCCTCGAAGGAAGGGAGAGAGTGAGCCAGGCAGACATCAGGGGCGAGGGTGTTCCAGGCAAGAGGACCAGCAAGTGCAAAGGCCCAAAGGTGGGATCATACCTGGTCTATTCAGAGAAGAGCCAGAGGGCCAGTGTGGCTGAAATAGAGGGAGAGGGGAGTAGGAAAAGGTCAGAGAAGTAACAAGAAGCCAATTCTTGTTGGATCTTATGAGCCATTTTACTCCGAGTAAGACAAGAAGCCAAAAGAATTTTGAGAGAAGGAGTGTTACGGCCTGATTTATGTTTTAACACCATAACTGAGAACAGTCTGCAGGGGGCCAGGGCAGAAGCAGGGATACCAGTTAGGAGGCTGTTGCAATCATCCAGGTGAGAGATGATGGTGGCCGGACCAGGCTGCTAACAATGAAGGTGGCAAGATCGGCCAGATTCTGGATCTATTTTAAGGTAGAGCTGGCAAGATTTGCTGATGGATTGGATGTGGGGTGTGAAGTCAAGACTGACTTCAAGGCTTTTGGCGGAAGCAGCTGGAAGCATGGAGTTGCCAGTTACCGAACTGGGGAATGCTGGAAGAGGAGCAGTTTTTGAATTTATGTTCTCATTATTTGTGTGTGGTTGGGGGTAGGACTCAGGAGTCCGGGTTCAGACATGAGGGTTTTGAAGGGCGTTTTAGATATCTGCACTGAACAGGCAAGAGGCTCTATGTGTTGGGTTTTGGGCAGACATCTGAGTTGGACACACATATTTGGGTGTCATCAGCAAATCCATGGGGTTTCAAGCTGCGGGGTTACATGTGGTCATCTGAGGAGGAGTGGCCCAGGGACTACCCTCTGGGGCCTTCGAAAACTTGGAGGGAAATGAGATGGAAACAGCAGAGGAAACTGAAGGAGCCAAGAGCTCTATGAGGTACAGGGTGCTGGGAGAGGTGTGGACACATAGGGGAGAGAGACCAAATCTGGGGTACCAGGGAGGGATTCATATATTGGAGGGGATATTGGAGCCTGGCTTTGAGTGATTCATACAAAATCCCCCATCAGACAAGATTGGGGAAGGACATTCTCCCTGGAACAGTACATGCAAGGGCTCACAGGCCTCCACACATTGGGGAATGTTAAGCTACATAAATGGTTCCTTATCCTCCAAACTTGCTACTTCCCTCTCTTCCCCAAATCTGTGAATGGGGCCACCTCAAGGTCTTACCGAACAGGTCCTCATCTTGCAGCTCCCCGTAGCATTCCTACTATATCCCGAGGATTCTGCCTTCCGTATGTCTCTAGAAATAGCCCACTCCTCTCCAACCTCACTGCCCCCACCTACTTCAAGCCACCATTATTGTTCACCTGGACAACATCCTCCTCTCCCATGTCCGTGTTTCATTCTCAGCCACCTGATGGGGGACCCCAGCAGGTGAAGGGGCGGGGGCCAGTCTGCTTCACACCCACAGTAGCCTGGGTGAGTTCCAAACAGAATAAGATTCATGCCAATCCTCTGCTTCGGAAGCTTTCAATAGCTTCCCATTGCTCTTAGAATGAAATCTAAAATTTAACAAGGCCCACGAGATCCTGCACGGTGTGGCCTCCTGCCTGCTTCTCCTGTCTCATCTCGGCCTTCTTCCCCATTGCTCCTGACGTGCCAACCTCCCCGCTGCCTTTCAGGTTCTCAGCTTGGCAAAATCCATCCAGCCTCAGGGCCTCTACCCAGGCTGTTCCCTCCACCTGGCTGCCCTCGCCCTCGCCACCCCCACACTCCAGTCTGAGAACAAATCACTTTCTCAGGGACCCCTTCCCAAGAGCCCCAGACTAGTCCGAGCTCCCTGTCAGATGCTCTCCTTGTACCTTTCTTTTATAGTCATCATCGCATGTTTTAATGAAGTCGTGAGTTAATAATGATAATAACAGCTAACACTTACGGAGTACTTCTTACTCCATAGTAAATGATCAGAGGAATATTGAGTGATTCACATATCTTTTTAGCTATTTAAGTCCTGACACCACCGTGTGAGGTAGCTACTGTTATTATTCCCATTCTACAGAGGAGGAAACTGAGGCCCAGAAGAGGTTATTCATGCAAGGTTACACAGATGATAAAGAGCTAAACTGACACAGACCTAACGTCTGTCTTTTCTGCTTGATATTAAATTCCATGGGATGACGGACCATGCCCGTCTTGTTCACAGCTTCATCCCCTCTATCCCTCAGAGGGCTTAGTAAATGTTTATTGAATAAATGGATGATTGATTGAATGGATGAATAAATGAATAAGAGTTTGAGCAGCACAGGACTCCATGGTATTGGAATGCAAGAAAGGAGGCTGGAGCCACAGAAAGGAAGAGACATGAAGGACCCTGAATGGCAGACAGATGAGTCTGGAATTGGGTCTGGGCCACAGGAGCCATAGGGCTTTCTAGAGCAGAGGAGGGCAGAGCTCAGATAAGGATGTTAGACAGATATAGCAGCTGGCTGCCACGGAGGAAGACCAGAGGTGGGGTCCTTCCCCGCCCAGCAACCAGGCAAGGCTGGCACCCACCCCCTCTCACTCAGCCCTATTAGCATTCTGCATGTGGCTGGGCTCCACAATTAACACAAAGGTACAGTCATTCATTCTGACTGGTAGACTCGGGGGATCGGCGGATCGGGGGCTGGCTGCGCAGGGTTTCTGCTGGGAAGGCATGTCACAGCACAGCGGCCACTGAAATGAAAAGCTATTAATAATGATCCTGGAACTTCACTCCCATCAGCTGTTTGTTTAAAGGTGTTCCATACTTGGAGCTGCCTGATTTATGTGGGCAATAACGCGCCCTGGTCGGTCCGCACTTTTTAAAGCAGCGCTAATGGGGTGAGACTGAGACCCCGGGGGATGCTGGGGAATAAGGCTTGAGGGCCAGGCGTGGTCAGATTTGGACCTCGACTCCCTGCCCAGCATCAGAGTGGGAGAGCTGAAAGAGCCAGGCAGCTGGGTTCAAATCCAGCTTGAGCATGTCCCTTTCCCTCTCTGAGCCCCCGTTTCCTCATCTTCTCTTTGAGTAAGAGAACACCTGCCTTCCAGGGTTGACAGGAAGATCCCATGAAAAGCATACAGTAAGTGCTCCATAATGTCTTAGTTTTCTCCCCTTTCTCTTTTCCTTGTAGAAAAACTCTCCCCACCACCTGCCAGCCCTCTCCAGGAAGGAGAAGCATTCAATCCACTTAAATGTTTATCGAGAATCTACAATTGTATTTGACATTTAAATTCCTGAAGGCCTGACAAAAATGCTGGGACAGACAGCCTGTCGTGCCCATTTTAGAGATTAGGAAACTAAGGCTCAGAGGAGGAAGAGACATGCCTAAGGTCACCCAGCTCAAAATCCACTACATGGGAGTCCCAAACGGGCAGAGATTGTATATATTTTAATCCACCACTGAGTACCCAGCACCTTGTCCAATGCCTGGTATGTCACAGGAGCACAATGTATATGTGTCAAATTGAAAACAAAAGGTGTCTGAACCCTGAATCTTGCCTCAGAGGTCCAATTCCCTTTCCATCATTTAATCTCAGTGGTAGAAACAGTCAGGAGACCTGGATTCTATCCCCAACTCTGAGGTAAGTTGCTTAAAGGGAACGTTGGATCAGATGACCGCAGGGCAGTTTCTTAACATCAGCACTACTGATATCTTAGGTTTGATAATTATTTTGTGTATGGGTGTTTGGGGGGAAGGTGTCCTGGGCACTTTGGAATGTTTAGCAACATTCCTGCCCTCCACCCACTAGATGCCAGTAGCAGCC
Organism: Homo sapiens; assembly: GCF_000001405.40. Taxonomy (NCBI): domain Eukaryota; kingdom Metazoa; phylum Chordata; class Mammalia; order Primates; family Hominidae; genus Homo; species Homo sapiens. The sequence goes on along the minus strand of NC_000020.11, from coordinate 46,285,460 downwards.
TCTCAGTTGTGACAAGCGAAGATGTCTCCAGACGTTGCAAATGTCCCAAGGGTCGCAAGGTCCCCCCTGGTTGAGAAGCACTGCACTAGGGGCTTTCTCCAAACACACAAATTCTGCACAGCAGAGGTCTACATTGTGGTGGGGGAGTGGGGGAGACTTGGCCTGTGACCCAGGAAAAATGTCATGTTGACATTTTCACAAAGTCTCGTTTTCCCATTTGGCCTGTTCGAGAACAATTCTCCTTTGGCAGAGCCAATCACCAGGCAGTTCTGCTAACAATGCTGCAACCTGGTCCACAGACCGGATGGTCACGGCACATGCAAAGGCAAGCTTCCCAGAATGCAGCTAAACATGGGAACCAATGAGTCCCCACCAGGTACAGGGGCGAAAGAGAAGTCTGGGGCTGTTGGGGATGAATGAAGACCAGGAGTGATCAGCACTGGGTACAGTGGTCAGGTTGGGGGTCGGGGGAAAGCCTGAGCAGAGATGGAGAGGCAGGAATGAGTGCTGATGAGGAGTGAGGGAAAAATGATCTGTGCCCATCCCAGAAGGACAAACACCTTTCAGACTTTCCCTCCCATTTTCCCACCTAGTAAAGCTGCACTATCTCGGCAGGAGACAGTTTCTCCTGGCTCCAAGTCATCCCCTCCATGCCTCCTTCCCACTGGGACTCCTTACACAGAGGCGGCCTGGAGGGACAGAAATGGCGTGCTTTGGTGTCAGACACCATGGGTTCCAGTTTCAGATGGGAATCTACAGCCCTGTGGCCTTGGCTCACATGACAAAGAGAAATATTAAAAATACTGAGCCACTGGACCAGCATACTCACTGATCAATCAGAACAGGTGACAGTTGAAAACAACTGACAGGGCTAGCTGAACATCGGCCCCACCTCTGAGTCTGCACCTCCACCTCTGTACATCTACCTCCTGGGGCTGTCAGGTGAAATGGAGAGAAAGCAGCCAGCACAGCAGCTTGCATACAGCAGGGATTCAATAAATGTTCCTTGGCTTCCCCCAAAGATCCCAGAAGGTGTTGAGGTCTGAATTTTCTGCAGTGGGTCCCTGCAAAGACATCATTCTTTCCAGATGTTGAGGAAAGTTGTGAACCGCTTCTTCCAGCCAGGGCTTAGGAGCAGGGAGGCTGAGAACGATGGTCTGGGTGCAAAGACGAACTGCAATCAGGGTTCACTGATCACCTTTGTCCCCCTGGTGGTCTTTGTCCTGCCCAGGGACTCTGGCACACCTTCCTGTCATGCACTCCAGGAAGATCTGGGTCTGTGCGTCAGACCCGGGCCAGCCAGCCCCCTCTCGGTGTGTATAGGCAGCTTGTCACTACAAAATCCATTTTCTTATCTCCTGCCATATCTATTTTTCTAATTCTTACTTAACGAGCTCCCCTGAAAATAAGAAAATCATTGGAACAATTTCCTTAAGTGTGAAAGATTAGTCTGAAGTCGGCATTAAGGGGACTAATTACCTTCATTCTCCCACCTTTCCGACAGCCGTTTGTTAGCTGTGAGGACTCATTCATCTGCTGCTCAGGGAAGTCAGGCAACATTTGGCTGTGGTGGGATCCTCCGCTCCTGCTTTGGCTCACGGGGTGTGTGTATGCGTGTGGTGTGTGTGCATATGTGTGTGTGTGAGACAGAAACAGAGAAATGGATTGGGGAGCAGAAAAGTGCAGAAAGGCCCGGGACTCCATGTGAAGCTGCTCTCTGGGACTCTTTGGTGATGGCGGTGGGGGTGGGGAGGGTAGACATCCAACTCAGAATCAGGGGTGGGTGGATACCTGGGGAGGTGCTGGCATGAGCCAGACACACATGGTCTGCCAAGCTCCTAGAGGTCTGGATTCCCTGCCGCTGACTCACTGAATGACTATGGGGAAGTCTCTGTGACTGCAGGCCTCAGTTTTCTCATCTGTAAAATGAGGGTCATTTCTTGTAACTACGGTAATGACAGCAATATCCAGCTTCCATGGAGGGCAGGCATCGCATAGTGATTCCACCCCCTCTTCATCCTCACCATAGCCCCGGGGGCAGTTCCTATCATTACTGCAGTGTACGGATGGGAAAGTGGAAGACCAGAGATGTTAGGGAACGTGTCCCAGGTCACGCAGCTGGAATCGGAATCTGAGTCTGTGTAATTCTGGAGCTCATGTCCTGTCCACTCTACTCAGACTCCAGACCTCCCCCTGCTCCCAGAATGCATTCCCAGTGCACTTGGAGGCTGAAGACATAGGTTCCAACCCCAACTCGAGCTTGCACCACTTGTGTGACCAGAGGTACATCCAGGCATCTCCTCTGTAAAATGGAGACAGTTATGCTTCTTGCCATAACTGGATGTGGGGGGCACCCCATGCCGTACTGCATGCTGTAAACAAAAATGAAAGGATGTGGAAGCAAAGGATGGCAGTGGAGGAGGGCCAGGAAGAGGCGAGAGCTGCACAGAGTCTGTGGAAGCCCTGGGCCATGAACCTGGGTCTCTGGACTCCAGGCTCCCCTAGACCTGGCCAGCTGCTCCCACTCCTGTCCCTAGCTTTGAAGAGCCCGCCTTCCTGAACAAAGCTCTGAGCAGCAAGGAGGCTTGTGACGAGGGAGCAAGTTGACAAATGGTGACGCCCAGAATTAGGCAGGGATTACGGGTTCCAGCGTCCAGGCCTGCACCTGGTATGGGGGAGGGGCAATCACCCACCCACCCTTCCCTCCCCCGGGGGAGAACTCACTGGGGGAGGCGGATAAGCTCTGAGAAGACGACGGGAACATCTTCCATTTTCCATTTAACCACCCGATATTGAATTATAAATAATTCATACACCTGCCAAACATTTGATTAAAAGAACCCAATTCGCACTGCATTTGTCAAGGGGTAAGAATTGCATTTGGTGTTTTTATTTTAATCTGTCCTTTAACTCTTTTACGAATATTTATTTACACTTGGCTGTCAGGTTTTATTCTATTTGCCCTGATTTTATTCTGGCTGTAGCTGGCATTTTTTCCTTTCCCTTTTTATTTTGTCACTTCTGCCTAGTAGTCATGCATTTGAGAGCCCAGAGGTAATAAATAAGGAAGCGAGACTCCTTCCTGCTCTCTCAGGGCACTTGGCCCCATGCATCTCCACCCACTGTGTGTAGAGACCCCTTTCTCCCCAGTGCTGCTCCCACCCCCCGGGCAAATCTACTGTGGAATCTAACCTGCCAAACTCAGGGTATCCTGGGCACGTTGTATTCATTTCTGTCTCTGGATCTTTGTCTATCCTGTTCTACCACCATTCTCTTCCCTCTTTGCCAACCATGGTGCAGGCACTCAATAATTATTTTTTCAATGAATAAATGAAGCATGATCATCAGACTCATCAGTATCGGTATCTTTGGGGACAAAAAGGAAGGTATTCGTATTCAAGTCTAGTGATAGGAGAAAGCTGTCATAGTGGACCTTAGATCCAGCTCCTGCTCTGCCAGCTGTGTGAATTTCGGTAAGATACTTTCATTCCCTAAGCTCTGCATTCTGTCATCTGTAAAAGGCATCTGTAATAGTAGCACCCGCATCAGACATTGATATAAGAATTAATGCGTGTGCTCCGCACATAGTAAGCATTCAAAAGCCAGGAGCTGTGATTTTTATGATGAACTGTAAACTCCTTTCTCATATCCTGTCCATATTCCTGCCTTTCCCTTGAATCTGAAGGTCTGGGCATCTGTGATATTATCCTGAATGCCAGGTGTGGGTCGACAGATGTGTCTGTGACAAACAAGAAAAAAGAAAAACTGACCATTTCCCTTTGTTGGCTACCTACCTTCGAAATAATGCACTCTGTGTTTGTTGGAGGGCTTACATGGGTCAGTTTGTGAGTTGACATAAAAACTTGTTCTGCCAAGTGATTCAGGTGAGCTGGGAATTTCCTTGAGACCCGTGTCAACGCTCCCTGAATACAAAGGCAGGATGTTATATGCCCAAGAAAAGCTGTCGACAAGGACAAGAGAGTATCAGGGTAGGCGTATGTGATTTTTTTCCATTTACAAAACACGTCCTCATATACATCACAGGTTTCCTTTCAATCTCCAAGAAAATCCTAGCATCTTTCAAAATCCAGTCCAGCCACTCTACTCTTCCCTGGCCTCCTCCAGTCCCCCAGGCATCTCACAGGATTAGAAGGGATCTCAGGGCCCCATCTGTCACCTGAACTGTTCACCACAGCCTCCTCAAGGCCTCCCTGCCTCCAGGCAGTCTCTCTACCGCTGGGCTTCCCTTCCAAAGCCACCCTCCACACAGACAACATGTTCTTTCAGAAGTCTATTTAGACATGTCACTCCCTTGATCAAACTTTCAATGGCCCCCTACTGCCCTAAAGGTAGAGTTCAAGATGGCCCCAGTGAGCTGACCCCAGAAATCAATTGAGATTGGGAAGACCTTTGCTTGTGAGTAGGTCTGCTACCCCAGTTAGATTGTGGTGACTTTTCCTGTTGTCATTGGTCCTTTAACCCCACAAACTTCCTGAAGCCAAATCACAGACTTTCCTGAGAACCTACTTTGTGTTGGACACTGTGGCTCACACAGCATTCAGGGTTAAGCCAGACACTGCCTAGAATTATCCAGGCCCCTGCTCAGAGTTGGAGAAGCTCTTGGAAGAGGGAAAGAGAGCAGGACATAACATTCACTGAGTGCCCACCATACACATTTTGCCCGCAGCAACCTGCAAACTAGGTCTTATCTTACAGAGTGAGGAAGTGGATTGCTCAAGGTCACTGTATGTGACAGAACTGACATTCAAATCCAGGTCTCCCTGAGTCCAATAGCCAAGGTCTATCCTCAGCACTACACTGCCTCCCAGGGAACAGTGAGTGAGGGTCTCAAGAGAGAAGGCAGCCCCCAGACCATAGGCTGAGGTCTTTAGGGCCGGTTCAGATGGGACTGTGGTACTTCTGCCTGGAGACTGCCAGCCCCCCTGAGAAGGTGCTCAGAGGACTCTGCCCCCACCATCATTATCCTAATGACAACAACGGCCAGCAGGCAGTTTAAAAGGTGTTGTTGTTGTTGTTATTGTCCTCAGAGCCTCACTCTGTCGCCCAGGCTGGAGTGCGGTGGCGCGATCTCAGCTCACTGCAACCTCCACCTCCCAGGTTCAAGCGATTCTCCTGCCTCAGCCTCCCGAGTAGCTGGGACTACAGGCCCACACCACCACACCTAGCTAATTCTTGTATTTTTAGTAGAGATGGGGTTTTGCCATATTGATCAGGCTGGTCTCAAACACCTGAGCTCAAGTGATATGCCCACCTCGGCCTCTCAATGTGCTGGGATTACAGGTGTGAGCTACCGCACCCGGGCTGTTGTTTTTACCCCAGAGCTTGAAGCAGCAGAAAAAGAGGCCCAGCCTGTGGAACCAGACAGCCCCAGGTGTGACTCCCAACTCGTCCCCATGACACGTATGTGACCTGGGACAAATCACTGCAGCCCTCTGTGCCCCGGTTTCCTCCTCAATAGCACAGAAATTATAATCCATCCCTCAAAGTCTTGTTGGGAGGATGGAGTAAGTTCACATGGGTTAAAAAAAATGCTCCGTCAACTAGAAAATGAATTACACATTCTCTCTGCACGTATAATTTGATCCTCCAAACAATTTAGTGAAATAGGCAGGGCAGAAATTATTTAAATAAAGTGGTTAATTTCTTTTAAAAATAATTTTAATTTTATAAGAAATACCTGAATCCATTCTCTTAGAAATCAGGGCACTGTCGATGAAGCTGAAGTCCCTTCCCCACCACCTCCAATCTGGTCCCCTCCCACTTCCTCAGCGCCAGCTCCTAGGATGAGCTTAGTATGTATCACTGCAGACCATTTTTAGACTTTAGCATACATTATATGTACCCACAGAAAATAACTAGCATTGTTTTGTGGTATTTTTAATGTAAATGGATTCATACTGATGTATCACTCTGCAATTTGCTTTTTTCTCTCCAACAACGTTTTTGAAAGCTATCAATGTTGTCATATATAGCTCTGGTTCACTCCATTTAAGTGGCTGTGTTCCATCAGATGAATACACTCCATTTTATTTGTCCACTCCCTTAGCGATGGACCCGTAAGATGTTTCCCCTTTTCCCCTTATCATCAGCCATGCCATGTGACCATCTGTGTACACACCTCCTGCTACACATGCTGATATTTCTCTCACACTGACTCCTGAGTCATGAGTTTTTTGCGTTTTCAGCGTTAATGGACCAGGGTGGGGCTTATTAATTATGATAATAGTTATAATATACCGAGCTTTTGCAATGTTGTAGGAGAGCGTGTGCGCATTGTCTCATTCAGCCCTTGCAGTAAAACCACGTGGGAGCCAAGATTCTCTCCAGTTTTCGGCAGACACCGCTGAGGTCCACCCAGAGAGACACAGGATTCACTTAGAGCCACATAGCTGGGTTGGAACAGTGTCTGGACCAGAACTTGGCCTTCCTGAGCCGAAATCTGCCCCCTCCCCCAAGCAGTGGTCTTTCCTGCTGCTCTTGAAGATTTAGAGCAAGAATCTCTGGAAAAACTAACTGGGCCATTCCGGACCCAGAGCCAGAAATCCACAAAATGGCCCAGTGCAATGGCTCACACCTGTAATCCCAATACTTTGGGAGGCCAAGGCGAGAGGATTGCTTGAGGCTAGGAGTTCAAGACCAGCCTGGGCAACATAGTGAGACCCCATCTCTATCCCCCCAAAATTTGTTTAATAGCCAGGTGTGGTGGCACGCACTTGTAGTCCTAGTTACTTGGGAGGCTGAGGTGGGAGGATTGCTTAGCCTGGGAGGTCAGGGCTGCAGTGAGCTGTGATTTTGCCACTGAACTCCAGCCTGGGTGCCAGAGTGAGACCCTGTCTCAAAAAAAATAGATAATAATAAAAACAAAACAAAAAGTCCACAAAATTCCAAGTGGCAGGTCCCTTCTGATGATATGAAAGGTGTCTGTCTAGGTCATCTCTAGGTCAGAAGGCCCATCCTGAGTTTTCCTTAATCCAGACATTGGTGGCTGGGGTGGCAGAGGCAGGACTGGAAGGGGCATTGAACCATGGAGTTCTAGTCTCCTGGAGCTGAAACAACCTTTAAGGAGAAACTGAGGCCTGGGGCAGAGGTGGGGAGGACTCACTGAAGGTCATGCAATGCACCAGAGATGCACAGAACCAAGAGGCTGCCTGGGCCCTGAGGCCAGCTGAAGGGCCTGCAAGCCCAGGCTGGGCTGGTGGCCAGCACGAGAAGCAAAGCTGGGGACTGCCCCCAGAAGTGTAGAACTGGAGGGTGGTCCCCCAGAGGGAGTGCCTAGGAGCCCAGGGGGAGAGGCCTGGGTTCTGTTCCCAGCTCCCTGGGGCCCCCACCCCTTGATCACCCTTTCGCTCCTCCTCCTTCTCCTCCTCCTCCTCCTCCTTGTCACCTGTCATCACGGAGGATCCTTCCTTCCTCTTGTCTCGGCCAACGCCTCCTGCCCCCTACCTTCTGCCTGGATCTACACTTTCGCCCCCTCTCATTAGCACTGAGCACACCCAACTCTCTCCTTTAAGAAAGCCCTCCCTCGGCCCTGCCTTCCTCTCCAGCTACCGCCCCCTCCCTCCTTCCCTTCAAAGCCCAACTTATCAAGTTGTCTTCGCTTCACTCTCCCACTCACTGCTCAGCCCACTCCAATCTGGTGCCCGCCCCCTCCTCGTTACAACCATCACCAGGTCACAGGTGGCCTTCCTGGTGCTGTCACTGAGGACGCCCTGATCCTCACCTCAAGGGGCCCCTCCCCCTTGGTCTCTTATCAGCACTGGACCAGTGGGGGGCGGGCCCTCCTCCAAACTCACCCCCCTCTGATTTCCTCCACCCCACTCTCTTCTGCTATTCCTCCCACCTCTCTGACCACCCCTTTTCACTCACCTTCACCATCTCTTCCCCCACCTACCCCTTCATTGGTTAACAACGTTTATTAGTTAAAACAAAGAACGATAGAGAAAAAAGCCAAACAAAAATGACTTAAAATCTTACCAACCAGTTATTGCCTTATTCATTTTTTGCAAAAATAGACGTGGTGTGTGTGCCACCTGCATAAGCCCATGCTGTGTCCACAGAGAGGACAAGGGAGGCTGTGACAGCGCCCTCCCAACCTGGCCCGCTGCTCTCCAGAGGTAAACCCTGCCAACACTATCTTCTAATGCCTTCTAGAAAAACGTTTGGTTCATACACCACCATATATGTCTTGATATTATGTTTAGTTACCCCAAAGGGACCATTCTAACAGCCTGATTTGTACTTGTGCCACCCCTTAAATCTCGGGGCTGTCCTGGGCCTTTCCTTTTTTTTTTTTTTCTTTAGAGGTGGAGTCTCACTAGAGACAGGGTCTCGCTATGTCGCCTAGGCTGGTCTCAAACTCCTGGGCTCAAGCAATCCTCTCCCCTCAGCCTCCAAAAGTTCTGGGATTACAGGCATAGGCCACTGCACCCGGCCTGGGCCTTTTCCTACTCTTCACACTGCCTTGAGCCAGCCATCTCAGCCACCCTGTGGGGTCTTTGTGGTGATAAGACCTGATTCACTTCTTGCCAGCTTTGATTTCTTCTTTGGATTCCAGACCCGCAAAATAAACCATCCATTTGACATCTCCACTTAGGTGGAGAAGCTCACACTCTGTGGATCTGGCATCTTCCCTGGAAAACAGAAAACTGTCTCACTTTCTCTGGCCCTGCCCACACCCATCTCCCCAGATAGCTCCACTGCTAACCCCAGCCAGCAACCTGTGAGTCACCCCTGAAAGTCCAACGTCGTCATTAGACTCTACCTGCATGCTGGATACACCACTTATGTTTGTGGAGCCTCATCTGTAAGATGGGGATGCCAGCAGTTCCTTCCTCCCAGTATAGTTGCTGATGTGTGGATTAAAGGAGATAGAACCTGGAAGGTGCTCGGGTAGCCCTTCCTGGCACAAATATCTGCTTACTAAATGCTGGCCATGGTTATTAGTGTCCATGATCCTTCCTTATCCCTCTCTTTGCTGACCACCTACATCCAATCAATCGCCCACGACTGTCAATTCTCCCAGCCGGACTAGCTAAACAGTCTCCTATCCAGCCTCCCTGAAGCAACTCCGGCCCCTCCAGTCTGTTCTGCTCTTGACAGCCGAAGTGATCCTTTAAAAGGTGAATCTAATCACTGTCACTCCCTTGTTTAAACGCTTCAGGGATCACCAACATGTCTAAAGTCCAGGGTCTCTCCTTTGGCTTCAGGCTCTGCAGAGATTCAGTCAGAGAGTTCCAGCTGTGTGTGGCCAGCATCTTCTCTGATTGGTGGGTGCCCCACTGAGCTCACTGCTACATATTTGGATGTGCCCAAAGTCCTCTGCAGCCTGGCACCAGCAACCACCTCACCAGCATCTCTCCTCTGCCCCCATCACAGTTCATATTTCAGCTGGAATAAATTCCCCAAACAGGATGACACACTTTCTCCCTGACCTCTGGGCCATCATATGTGCTGTTCCCTGGGCCTGAACCCCTCTTCTTCCCACCCCCACCTGGCCAATTTCTACTTATCTAGTAGATCACTCTCCAGGAAGACCCTCCCTCATCCTGCTCCCATAGCAGCCTTTTGTAAAGTTTCTTTCACTCGTGATTTCTTACTGATGGGGCTAAGAGGGTTTCCCTCTATTACTGGCTTAATTTTTTTTTTTTCACCTATGGTCTCTACCACTAAAATGCAAGACATCTAAGGGTGAGAGATTTGCTCATTCAATGCGCTTCTGAAGGCTCAGCTCCTGGCACAGAGAGGGTGTTCAGACAACGTTTGTTGAATCACTTATTAATTCAACCACTCAACAAATATTTGTTGAGCACCTTTCCATGCCAGGTACTATTCTATGCCCTAAGGATACATCAGTGAATTGAACCAACAAAGATTCCTATCCCCTTGAAGTGTACGTGCTATGGAGGAGAGAGGGTGACAAAAAATAAGCATCATAAATAAGTAAATCGCATAATATGTTAGAAGGTGATAAGAGCTATGGAAAGTAAAGAATAGAGAAAGGGGAGTTGGCAGAGCCTTGGAGAGGGGCTGTGATTTTAGGTGGAGTGGTCGGGTTGCTTTTCATTGAACAAAGATAGTCAGATGGCAAGGGAGGGAGGCCCACAGATATGGGGAAAGGAGCATCCAGACTTGGCGAACAGCTACTGCAAAGGCAATCAGGTGGGAGAATGCCTGCCAAGAAAGGAAAACTCAGCAGGCCAGCAGGGCTGGAGCAGAGGAACAGGGAGAGGGGGAGCGGACAGGGTGAGAGGGGCCACAGGGGCGGATCATGTAGAGCCTTATAGAAACACTGGCTTTTGTACTGAGAGAAATGGGGGCCACTTTTTCCAAAAGCTTTATTGAGGTATAATTTACATGCTCTAAAATTCACCCATTGTAAGCACACAATTCAATGAGTTTTCGTAAATTACAGAGTTGTGCAACCACCACGCAGTTGCAGAACATTCCTTTCACCCCAGAAAGAGCCTCCGTGCCCATCTGCAGTCAATCTCCATCCCTACTGCCAGCACCAGGCAACCATTTCTTTCGCTTTCTGTCTCTATAGAGTTGCCTATTCGGGACATTTCCTATAAGCAAAGGCATACAATATATGATTTTTGGTTTTTTTTTTTTTGCATCTGGCTCATTTCATTGCACATAATGTTTTTGAGGTATAGCCATGTTATAGCAGGTATCAGCAGCTCATTCCTTTTTATTGCTTAATAGTACTCCTCTGGTTTGGATATACCACATTTGCTTATCCATTCACTGGTTGAGAGGCTTTGGGGTTGTTTCTGCTTTTTGGCTATGTTGAATCATGCTGCTATGAACATTTTCGTATGAGCTTTTATGTGGACATATGTTTTCATTTCTCTTGTGTAGACACCTAGGAATGAAACTGCTGGATCGTATAGTACATTTACATTTAACTTTTAAAGAAACTACCAAACTGTTTTCCAAATGACTGCCATGTGGAGAATAATCTACAGTGGAACAAGGATGGAAGCTAAGGGCCCAATTGTTTCATTAATATCATTAATTAAATAAATCCACTGAGTTTAAGGAGAAAGGCATTAGAACCATCATCCATAACTTGGGCACGTGGTGTCCAGGTTGGCACCAAAGACCCTTGTTGAGGACCTAGGCCAGGGAAACCCTGGCTGCAAACCCAGCCTTCCCAGCCCCAGAAAGGAGCAGAGAGCCCTGTCATATCCCTACCCCTCCCTCCATGCTGCCCAATCCCCAGAAAGCTTCCACGCAGCCAAAGCATGAAAATTCCCAGTTTAAAGAAGAATCAGCATCAGGCATGACTGTTCGAAGCTGCAGAGTCCTCTCCCCCAAGGGAGATGACAAAATTTTCTTTGCAATTAAAATTCCTTTGAAACTAGGACCAAGGAAAATGCAGAGGAGAAAGCGTTTTAAACTAAGGGAAATACTCTTCTGTAGCAATTACCATGTGTGCATTTCAACAAAAGCTGTTGCCTCCTCTCTCCCTGCTCTTCCCTCCTCCCAGTGGCTGCAGGGAACTGTCCCAGCCCAACTTGGCTTCTGCATTCACACTGGGCCCTGGGGCCTTCCTTGGCCCCTTTCCCTGGCTGGTCCCTGCTTCTCTGCCCACTCCTAGCTCTTGGATTCCTCACACATTCCAGCCTTGAGTTCAGGCCTTTACTACAATGTCCACTTCCTGTGAGTCCTTTCACAACCCGGTGGCTCATCTGCCAAGATGCAGTTCCATCCTTGCACTCACCTATCTGATACCCCCTGCCATTGTCGCTCCCCATTCTACATGGGTCTTTCCCTCCTCTGAGCTCACAGCCCTGCCTCTCCGGACAGCTCACCGAGCTCTGAGCACAGCGCTCTGTTAGCATCTTGGCCTGTGAGTGTGATGTTTGATGCATCAGAAAGAGTAGGGACATTGGACACCTGGGTTTCCTTCATTCATTTAATCAACAAATATTTATTGAGCCATAACGATGTGCCATGCACTGTGCTAAAGTCCTAGGGATTAGCCATTTCTGTGTTTAGAAACAGGAGACTAGGTTTTTGGGGCCAACTCTTCAGCTAAAAAGGGCTAAGAATGCTAAATAAAATATAAAAGGTATCTTATTAAAGCATCACAGAGCTGACAAGTAAGCTCTTTGTAAGGAATTACCAGGAATTATTAGGTCAAAACTGAAGGAAAAACAGAAGCCCAGAGAACTTAGAGAGCATAGAAACTACTTTTGTCCAGAGGGCATTTGCTGATCCTTGAAAATCTGAATTTGTTTTCTGATGATCTCACGGCATAAGGGGAATTGAAATCCAAGTTCATGGCCTGAACAAGGTGGAAAATCAGGTGAGAGATTCTCACCAAAATAAACTGGAACTCCAAAGGATTCACCCTTGGGGTAAGGGTGAACCAGAGATGACCCAGCCTTAAATCATGGATTGGAAGCCTCATCCACACAACTTGGGTATGCCAGGGAACCTCAAACCTTTAATTTTATTTAATCACAGAATGGTAACACCCACAGCCATATGCAGATGCTCACTAGAAAAAAATACCTTTATCCTGGGCTTTAAATTATTCCTTAAAATAAAATTCAAGTACAATGGCCAACATGCAGTCAAAGATAACCAGACACACCAGAAAACAATGCATAATGAGCTAAGCACTGGCAGTACAATGTGAGCAAACAAATGACATCCCTTGTTTCATGGGACTTACAGCCCAGCAGGGAAGACAGACATCAACACTCTTAGCAAGGATACTAACAATCTCTGCTAGTGGAGGCATTTCTGTGTCCTCAGTTTACTTTGCTTCTCAACAGCTTTCCTCATGCTGACCTCTAGTTCTGCTCTTGGTTTCCATGACAGTCTCTTGGATGGCCTCCAACCTCACTGGCAGCTTCTTCTCAGTCATCGTGCTTCCTTCTCCTCCCCTATTTCATCTCTGATGGTGGTGTGCCCCAGGGCTCACTTCTGGACCTGTTCTCTATCTCTCTCCAGGTGATCTCATTCATTTCCTCAGCATTAAATATCATCTACTTGCTGATGAATTACAGATTTATATCTCCAGCCTGGATTTCTCCTTGGAGTTCCAGACTGTTTCATCCACTGTCTGTGACACATCTCAACATGCACGTCTCAGGAACATCTCAAACATAACACATCCAAAAAGGAACTCTTGCTGCCTCCCCAACTCTTCCTCCCCAAATTTGCTCCATCGTAGTAAGTATCACACCACCATCCAGTGTTAAACCAAAAACCTAAGAGTCATCTTAAACTTCTGGACGGAATTAGAATGGAGATGGAAATGATGTGAAGTGGTCAATTTAGAGAGTTATTTAGAAGGTAAAGTGGACCAGACTTAATAGATTGCCCATTGGGGGTGCAGGGATGAGAGATGCCAAGCATGACTTCCAGCCTTCTGGCCTGGAACACTTGACAGATGAGGGTGTCATTCACGAAGATGGAAAACCCCAGAGAAGAGTCAGTTTTAGGGAAGAGGAATATGTTGAGTTTGAAGTTTTTTGGAGGCATCTAAGTGGAGGCATGAGAGAGCAGCTCTATGTTTATCCTTGGGCTTCAGAGGAGAGGTTAGGACTGAGGATACTAAGCTTGGGAGTCATTATAGTATTGATGGTAATGGAAACCATCAGCATGGATGAGATTGCCCAGGGAAAGAGTGAGGAGTCTGCAGGTGGGTTAGAGAAGGACACACCTGCAAAGGATTTACAGAAGGCATTATTAGAGAGGTAGTAGGGAACACAGTTCTTTAGTTTTATATTCTAAATGCTGCTGAGAGCCAAGTAAAATAGAGACTGGAGAACATCCATTTGATTTAGCAACATGGCAGTCAAGGTGACCTTAGTAAGCCATCTCGGTGCATGTTGGGAGTAGAAGCCAGATGGCAGTGGGCTGAGAAGAGTAGGAGGTGAGTAAAGGAGATAGTGAGTATGATCAGGCAGTTTTCTGAGAGGTTTTGCTATTAAGGGAAGGGGTTGGGGAGTATAGGGAGGTATGTGCTTGGTTTTGTTTTTTAAAGATGGAATCTACTTGAGCACGTTTAAATGCTGATGCCTACAAACCTCTTAGAGAGGGCTGAAGGTAATAAGGCAGGAGAAGGGAGAATCCATAGTATAAGCTTTCTCAGATTCCAGGAAGGTGTGCATAGGCTCAGAAAAGAGGAGGGCCATTTCCTCTGTTGCAAAGAGGAAGAATAGAGGATGGACATGGATGTGTTTCCTCATCTATAAAATGGGATAATAACAGTGCCTACCTTGGAGGGCTGTGATGGGGCTTTGATAAATGGATGTTTACAATGGGCTCAGCCCAGGGTGGTCCCAGCAGGTGGTACAGCCTCCACAAACAGCAGCTGCTATTCATTATCTTCCACTCTCATGACTGCTCCACTCTTGCCTGTGGGGAATAATAATCAAACCTCACTTGGTTACAGCACTTGACTCTTTCCAGAGGATTACTTTTATATTCATCAACTATTCAAGCTTCACAACGAACCTGGGATTCCTGTTCCCTGTTTCACAGAACAGGGCACTGAGGCTCAGAGAGATGAGGTGGCCTGCCTGAGGTCACACATTTGGTAGCAACAAAGCTGGAAGTCCAGCCCAGGTTCCACTGCCAAGTCAACCCAGCTCCTGCCTTAAATATCATCAGCATTAAATATCATCTACATGATGAATTGCAGATTTATATCTCCCAGCCTGGACTTCTCCTTGGAGTTCCAGACTGTTCCATCCATGGGGTAAAGATGAACACAGACTTAGGGTCTCACCACCCCTGCACAGAGCCCCTGGAGTATAACCCTGTATGGGAACTCCATTTCCTTCAACACCTGCAGTGCCTCCTGGAGAAAGGATTCCCATGAAGAATCCATGACTAGAATCCATAGCTTTAAACTCAGGAAGAAGAGGATTCAGGCTTGAACAAGGTGCCAGTCTCGCCCCCCTTTCTTGTTCCAGCCCGAGACCGGAGATTAAGGAAGAAGATGCCTTATCTGCCAGCTCTATCGCTTGTCAGGAGAGGGGATAAAGTAAAAGCCCCCTCAGGCCTGGCTCAGTGCTGCCTATCTGTCACCCCAGATGGGGCCCTGCTCACAGTCTGGGGTGAGTGATTTGGCCAAACTGCACTGCAGCCTGCAGCCCCAGCAGGCCCTACCTGGGGATGTAGGACCTGTGAGAAATATTCTCTCCCTCTCTCCTTCCCCATCTGTTCCCAGCACCATCAGGTCAGAATGAGTGCTCCTATCTCCAAGTTAAGACCCAGCCCTGTAGCAAGGTGCTCGGGCTGGCTATGCCTTCCCTTTCTACTTTCTTCCCCTAGGCTCTCTGAATAGCCCTTCCTCCAAGACTTTGCTCAGCTTCTTCCCTCTGCCTGGAATTCCTTTCCCCTTTGCTCTATATGGCGAACCCCTACTTATCCTTCAAGGATCAGTTCAAATGTCTCCTGCTGCAGCAAGCCTACCTGACTCCCTTGGATAAAAACAAGTCTTTTTTGAGCACCTACTACATACTGGTTCCTGGGTGAGGCTCTGGGGTTTGGAGATGAATCAGACCTCAGCCCCTGCCTCCAGAGGTCCAGGGTTGCAGTCCAGTAGGAAGAAGTCACAAGGCTGGAAGTCCCTGAGGAGGTGGATGGGGAAATCCGCAGGGGGTAGGCTTGGGGCAGGGAGAATGCTGACCTCAGGCCCCCAGCCCAAGAATGAAAGCAACAGGCCAGTTTCCCTGGCAGAGCAGGTGCCCTTACTTGTCCCTGGCAGGCTGGCTCCTCTTGGCATCCTCTGTCTGCTCAACCACCCACAACGGGCCACGTGGAATGGAGAGAGGGTGCACGGTGTGGGGAGCCCCTGGTTCGGAGCATGGCTCTGACGTCAGACTGCCTGTGTGATCTTGGACAAGTCACTTCTCTGCACTTTGTCTCCATGGCAACATGGCAATAGAAATAGGATCTGCCTCATAGGGTTATGTGAGAAGTAAATGGATTACATTCGTGAATGCTTAGAATGGTGGTTATCAAGCACTTGACAAAAGTTAGCTATGCTCAGTACTATTTATTATTTTATTGGCGGAAGATTTGGGACCCACACTGTCAATTCACCCTGTGCACTAGAGAAGTGCATCCCCTCTCTGGGCCTCTCTCCATCAGGAAAATGAGGAGTCATGGATTTCCAGCTTTGATATTCTGTGATAGGAATGGAGACAGGGCTGGTAATTGGAGCAGGATGGGAATGAATAAGAAAGACCTGGGGCAGAGCGGGACACTGAGCAGCAAGGAGACCCCAGGCAGCCTGCTGTGGTGGCAAACCATGAAAGATCAGTTTGCAGAAGAGAGTTAGCAGCCAGATCACAGAGGGCAGTCAGTGTCAAAATAACCCTTCTGAGGGGTCACAGGGCCTGATCAATTATTTGGCAACTATGTCTAATCGTTAGAGAGATAACAGGCCTGCCAGAGAGGAGTGATTTCCCCATCACTAGGGGAATGTAAGCAGGGGCTGAGATCTAAGAGAGATTTGAACATCCAAAAGCAGCAGCTGGGGAAAGAAGGAGTATGCCAGAGTGCTTAAACACCTCAGCCCCAGAGTCAACTGCTTCCTTGGTTGTGACCTTGGCAGTGACCTCATGCTCCCTGGCCCCAGTTTGCCCATCTATATAATGGGGGAAATGATGGTTATTGTGAGGGTCAGATGTGGTAGTGTTGAAGTTCTCATGATTGCTGGGGTTACTATGACCTCTCGGCCTTGGCCCCTGAAGCCCATTCCTGCCATCTCTGGCCTCTCCCCTCTCCCATCCTAGGAGAAAGCGGCCGGCCGTGCTGGAGTCTGGGGCTAAGGAGGCTCCAGCCTGAAGCCTCCCTAAGGAGCTTGCCATGGTTACCAGCTGCCTGCAAAGAGAGGCCATAAATCCCGAGCCCGGGGTGGTGGGAGGGAGGGAACCCGTGTGTGGGGTGGGAATGGGGGCAGCTAAGTGGAATTGAATCTTGTTTAAGGAGGAGGCCCACGCCTCCCCAGGCCTGTAATTTACTGCGAGGTTGACAAGATGAAAGCGGAATTTTCAGTGGCATAATCGCTGGGACCTCGGGGAGCTGCGGGAGATGAGCTGCGAGGCAGGCGGTGGCCGCCAGGCTTTAAGCAAGATCTGGGGCACTGATCCTGCTGTGATCACAGCAAGCGACAGACCCTCGGAGCGGGGCCAGGCCCAGCTGGATAAGCCCAGGCTCAGGCCACGTCTTGCCTGCTATTGTTTCCAGGGCTGAGGTCGGCCCGAGTTTTTAGCAGGTTTTATGTGATGGATCATACCACCCAGGACGGTTTTGACCCTGTAGCTGCTGACAGCCCTCAGCCAAAGTCAGCTGCCTCACCCCACGTCATGCCTTTAGGCGGGTGAGGGGACAGAAACCCATGTCCAATATCTGGTAGATACATGGATTCAAAGGCCTGGCCCCTTGCTCGATTTGGAGCATCCCAGCTCCAGAGTTCCCTGTGGGAGCAGCTGAGGCCCCTGCTGAGAGAGCTTCACAGTTCAACTTCTCCCTCCACGTGGTCCTGCTTCCCTCACCCCTGCCACGGTGTTCCTGAGAACTCTCCCCCAGTGAACCTCCCGCAGGCAAAGCTCTGGCTCAAGGCCTGTTTCCAGGGAGCTGGACTTAGGGCCTTCCCTCACCAGGAGTTTTGTTTTAAAGCAGCGTTTATAAGTAGCATTGGAGTAGGATACTGGCAACTTCTTTTACAGATGGAAAGACTGAGGTGCAGGAAGGGAAGAAAATCATGCAAGGTCACACATGGTGTCAGGGGCTCCCAGCCCAATAGTCCAACTCCTCCATTTCACAGATGGAAAGACTGAGGTTGGGAGAGTTGGGAGACGCCATTCAGCTGCAGAGCTGAGTCAGGGAATGGAAGCAGAGTATGCTGGGGCGGAAGCTCACTGCTTTGGAGTTGGCCCCTAGCCATGTGGTTCTCAGCAAGCCACCTCTCTTCTTGACACTTTTCTTTGTTCATTGGTAACTGGAGAGACTAAAGCCCATCTCAGGAGGATGGTGTGACAATTGCCTAAAATAAGAGCAATAAGAGCTCACACTGGTTGTGTGTGGGAATGAGCCCTTCACACATACCTTGTTGAATCACTGTGAAAACATGTAGCAGTTGGCTCGGGGCTGGGCACACAGTTAGTGTACCATGCTTGATCTCTGTTCCACAACTTGTGGACCACCTGCTCCAGAGGCTCTCAGGCCAACATCAGAATCTGCTAGAAGCTATCCCAGACTGAGGACAGGCTCTGGCACCAGACTTTCCTAGTTCAAGTCCTGGCTTCTCCCACTTCCTGGCTGTAATCTTGGACAAGTGACTTCACCTCTCGGTGCTCCAGTTTCTTTATCTGTAATATAACAATTATAATAAAACAGATGTGGCACAGATGAAGCAAGATAACCTATGGAGTGTGCTTAGCAGAGTGGTCAAAAAGTACAGCCTCTTCTTTTTGCTCATCAAAGGCACAGTCTCTGGCACATAGAAAGCACCCTATTAGAACATGTGGAAAAAGGCAAAAAAAAAAAAAAGCACCCTATAGACCTTCCTGTTAGTACTATTATCATCCTTACTGAATCTGGGGCTCCAGAGGCCTGGCAATGAGATTTTGAACAAGCCTCACCTTGCTATACACCGGCATGACCCTGTCCTCTGATGAGCCCTGAGAACTGCAGTTTGACCTTCCATTGTATAGAAGTCCAGGGCAGGGACTTGCCCAAGGTCACCCAGTGTTATGGGATCAAAGCCAAGCTCCAACCTACTCCACTTGCCGTCCAGCCTAGAGAGCTTTCTCCCGTACCACAAAGGGACAGATTCTTTAATGTCATCTGCTCAGGTTACAATAAAAATTAACTATCCCGAATATGTGCATCATCAAAGCAGCTCCAAGACAGAGAAGGGGCTAAGGGAGACTGGAATGAAATGTGTCACACATGCTCCTGGGGTCTCCAAACCTGCTCTGTAATGGCTCCTAGGAGGCCCCAGACACACACCAGCCTGCAGGTCCTTCTCTGCCTTGGTGAGACACAATGCTAGGCACAGGACGGGTGCTCCACAAGACCTTCAATGAGCAGAGCTGAGGCTGAGGCTTGGCCCCTGAATGACCCAGGTCCCAGTCCTCTCTCCCTGCACAGCTGTGCATCCTACGGACAGCCATAAGGCCACCTGGGGCCACCTCAGTTCCCACCCCAGCCCAGAGTAGGTGAGAGTGGGAAGAGAGGCCTTCTCCCCAAGGCTGCTACAGTAGAGACAGGATGTGTGAGGACAAAGGACCCTGCTGTACCATTCCCCCAGTCTCTGCCCCAGGAATCCTCTAAAACAGATAAACTTTAATAGACTCAGGTCCACAGAGAGCCTCCCTCTGGCTGGAGCCACATACCCAAAATCTGGGTAGGGAGAGAGAGAGAGAGAGACCCAGAGGGGGCATCTGGGCCCCCAGTAGTTCAGTAGGATGGAGGAGCTGGGATCAATGTGTGTGTGTGTGTGTGTGTGTGTGTATCTGTGTGAATGTGTGCACAGCTCCCAGATGTAGCAGACAAAACAATAGAACAACAGGGGGCAGGCAACCAGGAGGTGGAACAGGAAGAGAAGTAGGAAGAAGAAGAGAAGAAGGTGGAAGGGAAGGAAAAGTGGGAGAAAAGGGGAAAGAAGAAGAAAAAGGAGAATGGATGAATGGATTTCTAAGTCACGGTATATTCATGCAATGGAGTACTATGCAGCAGTGAAAAGGAACACATGCAAGAACAAAGACGAATCTCACAAACATAATGCTGAGAAAAAGAAGCAAGATGCAAAAGACCATTCAGTATGATATACAAGCTCAAAAACAAGCAAGACTAAACTAAGATGGTCAGAAATGCATAGTTGGGAGACAAACAATAAGGAAATGCAAGGAACTAGTCATAAAAGCCAGGACAGAAGGAACCAATGGGTTATGTTCAAGAATGGGACACACAGTAGGAGCTTCTGAGGAGGGGGCTATTTTCAGTATTTTGCTCAAAGTGTGGATTCATGGGTTCATTTTATGACTTTTCGTTAAACTATGCATGTATGATTTGTGCAGCTTTCATTATCAAGGCTGAATTGTACAATTTTAATTAATTATGAAAAGTAGAGAAAGAGGAGGAGGAAGAGGGGAAAAGAGCAAGGAGGAGGCGGTTTGGAGGGAGAAGGGCCTCCTGGGACTCTGCTTGGCTGGCACCATGGCAGGGCCCTGCCCCCATCCGGACGCGTTTGTAAAATGGAATAAATATTGACACGGCCAGGATGGTATTCAATTTGTCCTGATCACTGGGCTGCAGTGAGTTCTGACAGGGCGCGGTGTAAAACAGCAGCTCGGGATGTAATTTCTACTGTCAACATGATGTACAGCACGGCTCTGCCGGTGGCACCGGCACACGGGCAGGGTGGGGGCAGGGCAGGGAGACAGGTGCAGGCCAGGGGCACCTGAGGTGGAGGGTTCTAACAGGTTGCCCCTGGGCAGGTGAGCAGTGCTAGCCAAGGAGTCTGCATGTGTACACGGTATGTGTGTGTGCGCACGGTGTGTGTGCGCGCACGGTGTGTGTGTGTGCGCACGGTGTGTGTGTGTGCACGGTGTGTGTGTGTGCATGGTGTGTGTGTGTGTGTGCATACTCATACATGTTCATAATTTGCACGGGAGGTCAGGCCTTAAGGAGGGACTCAGGCCTGGGTTAAGTCACGTCAAGTAGCGTGGGGGAAGGACATGGTTCATGCTGAGAGCCAAACGCAGGCCTGTCCTTTCCAGCAGCCACTGAGCACCTCCCGGCCCATCCTCATTTCCCTCCCACTGCCAGAGCCTGTTTGAATTCCAGATCCTCCACTAACTAGCTGTGTGACCTTGGGCAAGTCCCTCAACCTCTCTGAGCCACTGTTCCTGATTCTGTAATAGAAATTTTAAAGACAGCTATTGTGAGGATTCAATCAGATCATTGATATAAAGTGCCCTGCATGGAACTCAGTGTTACCTCTTATTATTAGCTAATTGGATGGCACCATGCCTGGCACATAGTAAAAGCGCTATAAATGTTATCTATCATTATTCTCACTGACTCAGAATCAGCTCAAGGTATGCAACTGGCCTCTCTTTCTTCCTTCCCTGTGCCTGTGATCTGCCAAGGTTGTTCCCCAAAGGAACAAAGCTTGGGACACATTCCACTGTGTCCCTTTGCCTAGCCTTCTCATTGGAGTGAAGTGAGATTGTGAAGGGGATAATGATAACTTACTTTATGGGGTTATTGTGAGGAATAAATAAGCTAATGCACATAAAGTGCTAGAACAGTGCCTGGCTCTTAGTAGGTGATCAAAAAACGTCAGCTAAAACAAAAATAAAATCCGGGGAGTCACTCTTGATGTCTCTCCCTCCCTCGTCCGCTACATCTGATTCATCACCAACTCTGATCCATTTTGCTTCCTAAATATTCCAAATCTGTTACCTTTTCTCCATCCCACGCCAGCCTCCCTGGTCCGAGCCACCACCACCCTCTTCCTCAGATGCTGCCACCACCTTCTCACGGGTCCCCAGTTCCAGCCTTGTACATCCACAGTTGTTCTTCCAGCAACAAGCACAGTGACCTCTTTTAAGACACAACCTTGAACACATCTCCTCCGCCAAAAGCTCTTCAGTGCCTTCTGGTTGAGTCAAAATCTCAACTCCTCCAGGCCCGTCCTCAGCTGTTTCCCTAGCTTCTCCCCTCACACTCTGCTCTTCCCCTGGCCTTTCGGTCCCCTAAATATGGCTCTGCACATTCTGCCACCTGTGCCTCAGTACATCTCACTCATCCTTTGGGTTTCAGCTAAAAAACCCCTTCTCAGGGAACTGTTCCCTAACTTGCCCCACCCATCCCTAATGAGGTAGTGTCCCCTATAAATGTGGGGGCTCCTTGTACTTTCTCTTTGCAGACCTTGGCACAGTTGGTAATTGTGCATTTATTTGTGAGGTTGTTGGATGAGTAAATGTATCTCCCCTGCTTCACACACACACATGCACACACACGCACACACACACACACACACACAGAATGGAAGGCCATGGGGACAGGGACTTTGTCTGACTTTCTAACTGCTGCATACTTAGCCTGGCACATAGTAGGTGCTCAATAAATATTTGATGAATCCATAAGTGGAACAAGCATAGAAGAGCAGTCTGAGGGATGGGGTACAGCAGTAACCAGGCAACCCCATCATGTGTCCTTCCGTTCATCCATTCATCCATCCATCCACATATCCCTTCATGGATTCACTCACACATTCAGTAGTGCAAACTCTGATCACAGCACTGAAGTGTGAGCTGAAGGACAGAGAGCAAGAATGAAGCACCCACAGCCAGTGGGCAGAATGCTGAGGCCAGGACAAAGAAGAGCTTGGTTCTGAGACACAGGCTCAGATAAGTGTGAGCTCTCCAGGGTCAGGGGAGGAGGCTGAGAGACCACATGGAGGAAAGGGCAGTGGGGCTGGGCGCTGAACATTGAGTCAGAGCTGGACGTGGGACAGCAAGGGAGAAGGGCATTGTTGGCAGAGGCAAGAGCAGGAGCAAAGGCCCAGAGGCATGAATGTCATTAACAGCAGGTGGTTCCATCTGCCCAGGAAGAAAAGAGGCAGTGGCAAGATGGAGAGTAGGCAGGTCCCAATCAGGCAGGGCGTTGAGTGGGCCACGTGGGTAGTGGCTAAAGGTGCAGGCTTTGGAGCTGGCAGATCAGAGTTCAAATCCAGACTCCACAACATATCAGTTGTGTGACCTTGGGCCCATCACATAAACTCTTTGTGTCTCAGTTTCCTTATCTGAAAAATGGAGGCAAATAACAGTATTCACCTCAAAAGGCTGTGTGTGGAGTTATTGAGCATGAAAAACCTTTTGTTACTCTAAACAGTAATGAATGAACGCTAGGCCTGAGTCTGGGCTTTATCTTAAAGGGGAAAGGGAGCAAGGAAGGTTTGGAACAGGAAAACCATCCAGACTGAGCCAGGCTTCATGAAGACCTGTGCGGCAGCATGTTCGACATATAGCCTGGGGCGGGGGGCAAGACTGGGGGCCCCAGGTCAGCCTTTGCAGATGAGGTGACTGTGTATATGGGGTACATAAGACCCCAGCTCTGATCATCCCCTCTCCCCTGACCTTCCACCTTTGCCTTCCTGGGTGATGTTCAGCTACCAAGCCCAGAAGCTTTGGCATATCCTGCCCCCACTCCACCACCCCCCACCCCCTCAACACACACACACACAAATACACTCAGAGATGCAAACACCCTCTGTCCCAACACTACACGTGCATCACTCCCAGGCCCCAGAAACAGCCCTTGGGCTCAGCACACGAAGAGTAGACACCCATTTAGTCTCTCGCTCCACACTTATTGAGCACCTAGTATGTGTAGGGAGCTGTCCTTGGTGCCGGGATGTGGTGCGTGTGTATGCCACCCCTGCACACATCAGTGATGCACATGCATGCATGTGTTCAGCCACACACATGCTCATGTGAGTTGCAGGCACGCTAAGGCAGTAACTGGTTGCCTCCTTCATTTGTGGCTCCATCGTGCCTTATACCTAGGGGTAGGAGGCAATGAGAGGTGAGCAGAGACAAAGTGGCTCTTCCCAGCACCCCTCCATGCCTCAATAGCTCCTGCATTACACCGGGAGCTATTCTGGCCCAAAAGGAGAGCACTGAGCTGGTAGAAATAATTTTCCCCCAGGGAGAAGATGGCAGCCAAGCACAGAGAGCTCTGGGCTCAGGATCCAGCAGGCACAGTGCCGCTGGGACTCAGTGGGGGCAGACAGGAGCCAGACTGTCAGGCACCGCTCCCACTGGCAGCCCTGGAAGCCAGGCAAGCATGGAGAGAGGACACATACAAGCCAGGTGTGCCGGGAGAAGTGAGTGAGTAAAGGAATGAACAGATGAATGAGCTGCCTCTTCCTGAACTACCCTTTCCCCTAGCCTGAGTCTGGCGCTGGAGCAGGAGGCAACTCCCATACCCTGTGCAACTCTTCACTCTTCTTGACTCAGGCTGCACTATAGGCCTGATTAGCACAGTTGTTAAATAAATACATGACTGAATAAATAAATGGCTGAGTGGATGAAGATCTCTAAACTCTCCTCGCCTGGCCAGGATACTTTGTGCATAATAGGGTCCAGTAGTATTTGTCCAGGGACCAGAAATAATAATAACAACACTAGTCATTCTGATGACATTCACTAACATTTGTTGCCAAACACCACAGATTCCTTCACATGCCTCATCTCATTTACACCTTATGTTGGCCCTGGGAGGTAAATACTATTATCCCCATTTTTCAGATGAGAAAACTGAGGCTCAGAGAAAGGAAGCAAATTACCAAGGTCATACATACAGTAAAATAATGGAACTGGAACTCAAACTCTGGTCTGACTTTGGATCTCATGGTCTTAGGTCCCCTGAATGTTAAAAGGATTATCAGGAATTTGGGGGAGGAGGCAGGGGTGCAGAAGCCCCAGGCAGCTCCACAAAATCTGTTCTACTTTGTTCTGTCTGGGGGTCGCTCTGTGCAGCCCCACTTCTTGGTCTTGGCAGAGTGAGAGGACAGAAATCCCATGACAGGTAGGATAAGAATACCTTCCCCTGTCCATAGGCGGAAAGCCAGATGACAGGGGAAAGCCAGATGACAAGGGAGAGCCTGGAGCCACCAAGCTGGCAGTCATACAGCCTTGGCAGTGATGTTGCCAGAGCATTGAGAAATCAAGAAAGGACATGCTGGCCATCCAGCCAGACTCCGGAAGTGCAAGCAGCAGCAGTGATGCCCACAGCTGGCAACTCCCCAGTGAGAGGGAAGGTCATATTACCCAACCAGCCTCTGAAGTCTGTCTGGAGCAAGCCTCTCCTGAGTCCCTCCCAGGCCCCAGTTCTGTACTTAGCTCTGCCAGGTATGTGTGTGGGAACGGGGAAAGGGATGGAAGAAGGAGTAGGTGAGGTCTTTGTCCTTCGGAAGTTTGCCATGCAGCTGACAGCAAACCCCAAAGGGAGACCCAGCCAGACAGGCCTGAGGGAGTTCAGAGAAAAGAGAAAGAGAGTCTGGAGGAAGTAGAGGCTGGAAGTGGATTCAAGACCTAGAGTGGCTTAATTCAGTAGTTCCACAACATCTCCAAGGACACAGATTGTTCTGTCTTTTCTTAGTAGGCCTCTTTGGCCTCTTGGTGTTGTTCCCTTCATCAACCAAAAGTGGCTGCTATTGTACCAGCCATCACCTATTTCCACATGCAGAAAACAAAAAGGTCCTCCTTAAGGCATCTCTTTTTTAAGAATAATAAAAATTTCCCAGAAGCTCACAGAAGATATATTTTTATATTTCACTGACCAGAATTGTGTCACATAATACTTTCTAAATCAATTACTGGTAGGGAGAGGAGTCTGGCTCCTATTGGTTTAGACTAGTCACTATTAACAGAGGAGGGGCTGAGCACATGGCCAAGCTGAAGGCAAATGTTGAAATGAAATAGAAACAAGAAAGAAGGATGGGGGATGAATTGGCTGTTTGCAGCCAGCCATGTCCTTTGTATTTCCCATAACTCTTTTTTTTCTCATTTCATTTTTGTTCTTTTTTCTTTTGATAACTTTGGTGCCAACCATCACTCTTTTTATACACCATAAAACCCAGCCAGACTACACTATTCACTGTATCCCATTCATGTCCTAGGTTTCCTCTGCTCATGCTTGTTCTTCCAGTAATTTCCTACTTCATCTCCCTGTGTTCAAATCCTCCTCACCTTTCAAGGATCAGCTCCAATGCCCCCCTCCTCCAGGCAGCCCTCCATGGTTACTCAAGGAGATAGGAGCTCTTCCTCTGAGCCTTCACATCTTGCATGAGTTTCCTACACTTTCCATTTTCCAGGTTTTATTTTTTGTTGTGGGATTTTTTTGTTTGGGTTTAAAAAATATTGGTCTCTCCTGCTCATCTGCGAGCATGTGCATTTAATTTGCAGAGCACTTACAGGTGGTGTGGCACATAGTAGGTCTTCACTAGATTTTGGTTCACTGATAAATGAGCAACTGCCAGGGATTTCTCTCATTAGAATCTGGTAATTTGGCCACAAACCTGTTAAGGCTTATTTGTGAAACTTGCCAGGGACCCAGCACAGAACTTGGTACCTAGTAGTTCAATAAGTGTTCATTGAATGGATAAATGAGAAAATGGTACATGTGAGGTGCACTGTAAATGCTGAATGGCTGTTGCCACCCTCTAGATGGTGAGCTCTTTGGGAGAATTATGTCTTTAGGTTTCCATCATCTCAAGAGTACCTAACGGTCTGTCTGGCTCATTAGGGAATGTTCTGTAAGAGTTTGTGGAATGAATTAAGGAATGGATGTCTCTACCCTAGGCTGTGACTGCCTTAAGAACAGGGACCACATCTGGCCTATTTCCAAGGCAGAGAAGAGTCAAGTACACGTAGTGTGGCTGTAATGTGTATGGAAATGCTTCATCGCTATTGGTAAATAGCCGCTGTCCCAAACCCCCTGAAGACCACCCAACCCTGTCACCCTAGCCCCTACCACAGGGATCTCCTGGACCTCCCCTCTTCTTGGCCCCTGGGACCCTGCAGTCAGTGTGGTTGGTGTCTATGCTGCCTCAAGTTGTGAATATTTCTCACATCGTGCCTGCCTCCTGTGTGTGTCCCACAGAGTGACAGAGCCTCAACAGGACCCAGAGCACAGCAGGTGCTCGGTGACTGCCAGAAACTGGAGCTATGGGACTCTTCCCGAGGCTGCTGGGGAGCTGGGAGGCAGGGGGCACACCCAGGGTTGGGGCTGCTCTCCTCTTCCCATACCCACTAGAGAAACCCAGCCCTAGGCAGGAGCAGCAAGGATCTGCCAGGTCACAGGAGCCTGGGCAAGGACAGAGACTCACCTGTCCTGCTAGGGGGCTTAGGGCCCACAGGGGTCCCAGGCAAATGGTGTTGGCTCCGTCACAGTCTGGGCACATGGGGATGAGTCTGGCCGGGCCCTGCGGCAGGAGAGATGGGAAGAGTAGAGGAGGGGGTGCAGGGAGAAGGAGGCTCTTCTGGCCCTCCCCACACAGCTGAAGCTGCCCTGGTGGCATTGTGTGGATGCTGATTTGTGTCCTGAGCCTCAGTCTTGAGCCATCTCTACTGGGATGCGGTTGGGGGGTGGGGGCAACAGGCAAATGAACCTTCACAAATCCCAAGAGGGACCATCGCCCACCCACACATGTCCCCACCTTCCCTCCTCCCAGTTCTCTTGAACCTGTTCCAGTCATGTGTGTGCACCCACTACTCCACCAAGTCACTGCCAGCAAGGTCACTAATGACCTCCGCCCCACTAACTCCAATGGTCAAGTCAAAGTCCACATCTGACCTATCAGTAGGATCACATGATTTATCATCCAAACTGGGGGAACATTATTAACAGTTATGCCGTGGAGCTGTCCCAGGCAAAGTTGGACAGACACTTACCCCTCAATGGCAGCATTCGGCACAGTTCACCACTCCCTCCCTACAGCACTTTCTTCTGTTGGCTCCCAGGATATCTCCCTTTTCCTCCCCTTCTCTCTGTCAGTCTCTTGCTGTTTCCTCCTCATCTCCTGGATCACTGTAGCTGTGGTCCCCCAGCATTTAGTCCCCAGATCTCTTCTCCATCAACAGTCACTCCCTGGTGCTCTCACCCAGTCTCAGCTTTACATGCCACTCAAATTCCCAAATTGCTACCTGCAGCAGGACCTCACCCCTGAACTCCTAGCCATAGGTACAGGAGCCTGCTCCGTATCTCTGCTTTATGCCTAACAGGCTTTCGGGGTTTAACCTGTCCAAAAACTGATTGTAACACATCAAGGTCAGTTCCTGATCACCCCCCAAATCTGCTCTTCCTGCCGTCTTCAGCTCTGAATGAAAGGAAACGCCATCATTGCCGCTGCCCAGGCTGAGGGCATGGTCACACTCAGTTGCTGTCTTCCCTTGAACCCCATTTCTGACCCATCAACATATTCTGTGGCCCAGCCTCACTTTTCAGCATCTCCGCTGCTCCCCCTTGATCAAAGCCCCTGACTAGTCCTCTGCCGAATTATTGAAATATTGCCATAGGCTCCTCCCAACCCCAGCTTCTGACTATCTTAACACAATAGCCAGCATGATTTTTTTTTTTTTTCTTGAGACAAGGCCTCACTGTCACCCAGGCTGGTGTGATCATGTCTCATTGCAGCCTCGACCTCCCCAAGCTCAGGTGATCCTTTTCCACCTCAGACTCCTGAGTAGCTGGGACTACAGGCACATGCCAGCACACCCAGCTAATTTTTCTATTTTTTTGTAGAGACAGGGTTTTGCCATGTTCCCCAGGCTGGTCTTGAACTCCTGGGCTCAAATGATCCAGCTGCCTCAGCCTCCCAAAGTGCTAGGATTACAGGTATGAGCCACCATGCCTGGCCTTTTTTTTTTTTTCTTTTAGAGACAGGGTCTCACTCTGTCACCTAGACTGGAGTGTTAATGGTGTGATCATAGCTCACTGCAGCCTTGAAGTCCTGGGCTCAAGCAATCCTTCTGCCTCAGTCTCCCAAGTAGCTGGGACTACAGGCACATGCCACCATTCCTGGCTAATTTTTTTAAATAGTTTTTTGTAGAGACAGGATCTTGATATGTTGCCCAGGCTGCTCTTGAACCCCTGGCCTCAAGGAATCTTCCTGCCTCAGCCTCCCAAACTGCTGAGATTACAGGCATGAACCACTGCACCCAGCCCGGAATGATCTTTTAAAACATAAGTCAGATCATGTCACTCTTCTGCTCAAACCCTCTTAGGGGTCTCATCTCACTCACAGAAAAATCCCAAGAGAGCCTGTAGGCTCTGACTCCACCCCCACACTCTCTGACCTCATCTGCTGCTGCTTCCCCTGCACTCACTCCACTTCAGCAACACGAGACCCCCGATGTTCCTCCTTCCCACTAGACACATGCTGCTGACCTCAGGGACTTTGCACCTGCTGTTGCCTCAGCTTGAAACCCTCTTCTCCCAGCTTTGTGCACAACCCCTCTGTCCCTCACTTCAGATCTCTGTTTAAATCTCATCTTAATGACAAGGCCTTCCCTGGCTACCCTGTTTAAATGAGTATTTGTAATAACGATGATAGATGGATAAACAGCAAATCCCGCCATCCCCAGAACTTCCTGCCCCTTACTCTGCTTTGCTCTCTCCACTGCACTTGCCATTGTCTGACACGTTATTTGTTTATTGTCTGTGCCCCCACCTGGCAAGGACTCTACCTGTTTCTTTTTGCTGTGCCTAGAACAACACAGAGTGGAAACTCATAAATATTTGTGAAATGAAGGAATGCATATCAGATCGTCATGCACACTCAGTCACATATGTGACTGCAGACACATGTTCGCACGCACACAGAAGCCATAGGCATATATGTAGGCCCATGGGCAGACGGACAGATTATAGGAGGTGAGGCTGAAGTGTGGACAGGGCAGAGCCAACATTTATTGAGCCAGGCCTGGGCTCAGTTTTTAATCCCATTTGGGATTAAACAGCTCTGTGCAGTAGGCTGAGACCTGAGGACCAGGGAAGGCCACCAACGTGCCCCAGGTCTCATGGGAGGCGGTCCCAGGAGAGCTGAATGCAGCTGCAGGACTCCACAGCTGCCTCCCTGGACCAATTTTGAATGCCAGGACAGGGTTCTGTAGTCACCATCCATTCAGGAAAAGCAGCTGGAGCAGGAAAAGGAAGAAGGGAGGAAGGGAGGGAGGAGGCCGACATGTCTGTGGCAGCCCTAGCAGGGCTGTGCAGAGCAGTGAAGAGTTGGCAGGCTGCCAGGGCACCTAGCCAAGATGCCTGAGGGAGGACCTGTAGGCTGAGGTATGAAGGGCCAGGAAGGGGAGGGAGAGGTGAGGATGGGAGGGCCAGGGCTCCACCCTCAAACAGTAGTACAGATTGTGCCCTCACAAGGCGGGGCAGGCTTGCCCTGCCAGTTGTGACTCCGACACTGGGTTGCATTCACCTAGAGGTGCATTTTTTCCCATTCCCCAAAGATGCCTTATGCCTGAGGAGTCCAAGTCCCACGTTTGAGGCACTGCTTTGTCATGATGTATGCTTGGTAGAGTCCTCCTGGGCTCTACTTTCCCCCTCTGTAAAGTGGGGATCTTGGCCAGGCACGGTGGCTCACATCTGTAATCCCAGCACTTTGGGAGGCCGAGGTGGGTGGATCACCTGAGGTCAGGAGTTCAAGAACAGCCTGTGAAACCCCATCTGTACTAAAAATTAAAAAATTAGCCAGGTGTGGTGACATGCACCTGTAATCCCAGCTACTTTGGAGG
Organism: Homo sapiens; assembly: GCF_000001405.40. Taxonomy (NCBI): domain Eukaryota; kingdom Metazoa; phylum Chordata; class Mammalia; order Primates; family Hominidae; genus Homo; species Homo sapiens. The sequence continues at coordinate 46,255,140 of NC_000020.11, read as the reverse complement.
CTGAGGCAGGAGAACTGCTTGAGCCGGGGAGGCGGAGGTTGCAGGGAGCCGAAATCACGCCACTGCACTCCAGCCTGGGTGACAGAAAGAAATTCCGTCTCAAAAATAAATAAATAAAATTTTAAAAATATATAAAGTTGGGATCTGACTCCAGGCCTTTGCCTTGGACAGCCCTTCTACAACAAGCGTGCCTTCTCCTCCCCAACACCCCAAATTCCACATGTCCAGATGCATCCTGCACTTTAGCTGCAAATGCCATCTCAGCTCATTCCAACCTCTGGACCTTTGCATGCTGTTCCCTCTGTGTGGAACTATTTTGTGCACAGCTCCTTCTCATCCTTCCAGACTCAGCCCAATGCCACCTCCTCTGAGAGGCCCTCCCTCCCTGATACCATATCTTTAACAACGCACTCACTCCATTCCTTCCATCATTCTCCCTCCACTTCGTCCTTCTTTACTTTTCTTCTCAATGTTTACCACTCCCTGAAATTATACTGTAGATTAATTCCTCTATTATCTGTGTCCCCCACCAGAAAGTCAGTTCCATGAGGGCCAGGACTTCAATTTTTTTTTTTTTTTTTTTTTTGAGATGGAATTTCACTTTGTCACCCAGGCTAGAGGGCAGTGGCATGGTCTTGGCTCACTACAACCTCCACCTCCCAGGTTCAAGTGATTTTCCTGTCTGAGCCTCCTGAGTAGCTGGGATTACAGGCACCCACCACCATGCCTGGCTAATTTTTGTATTTTTAGTAGAGATGGGGTTTCACTATGTTTACCTGGCTGGTCTCGAACTCCTGACCTAAAGTGATCCACCTGCCTCGGCCTCCCAAAATGCTGGGATTACAGGCACAAGCCACCTCACTCGGCCAGTACTTCATTTTTTTATTGCTATGTCCCCAGTGCCCAGCACATGGACTGGCATAAGAGAGGTGCTGGTAAACATTTGTGGAAAGAGTGAAGGAATAACAAGAAGAAATGCATCTCTTTGCTGATAGATCGCTGAATAACTGATTGCATCTTGCTGTCTTAAACAGAAAGCGATTGTTAACGTATGTTCAATAAATGAATGAGTGAAAGGATAAAACGCTGTTCTGTCTCCCTGCTTGTAGCAGACCCTCATGTTTGGTGACTGAATGAATGGATCTCTTGCCTCCCATCCTTGTCAAAGGTGTTAGAAACAAAGAAATAAAGGAAAGGAGGGAAGGAGAGCAACAGCTTGGTGCCCGTGAACACTGGCAGATCTCCCCTTGACATGCCACTCCATCGACCTCCACAGCCCTCTCCAGAAGTGACAGCAGCCTCCCTCCAAATTCTCTCTCCCTTCAGCCTCTCCCCTCCTCTGCATCCCTGCAGGGCTGTGATGGGCCCTGGAGCTGCTTGTTGGAGTTGGGGGAACAGTTCCCATGGGGCACGCAGGGAAGCCATACGCTCCAGGAAATGAAGGCTTTGGAGCTGCACCTCCTCCTCACCCATAACTCCAGTCTCATTACGACCAGCCCAGGTCATAATGCAGGGAATCAAAGCCGGATCCCTGGAGGTGGCAGCACAGAGCAGGGCTTGCGGAGCAGGGCTGCCAGGGTTGGGAAGCCTCGTGCCCAGGCCCATAGAAGTCATACCAGGCAGGGTATGTTCACCACAGGATCATGGGTCCTCCTGACCCCATGAGTTCAGGCTTGGACCTATAGGGAAAGAGGGAACAGCGTGTTCCAGACCCCTCCCTCCATCCCTCCCTATGGAGTGTGGACGTTTTCCCACTCTCATTGCCCAGAACTACAGCTTAACCCCTTCACCGTCACCCTCACCTTCCAGCAATGACTCCCCACCCTGAAACTCCTTCCATAAAGATTTTCCGGAGGAGATGCTAGAAAAAAAAGCACTGGGGAATTAGGCATCTGCAAAATAGGCATAAGACAATTTTCAGAGTTGTGATTCCCGTGAGTTAAAGGGAAGGGCATTGCCCACTGTGATGCTGGGTTAAAGAAGGTGGTCTGCGTTTCTTCCTCCCTAGAGTTAGGCCACTTTCTTTGTTCTCAGGAAGATCTGGCTAGGGCCAGGTCAGCCTCCCACCCCAACCCACTACACACCATCTGCCCAAACACACACCCCTGCTCACAATCTAACTCCCCAAACTGGCCAGACCACTCAGCCACCATGCACACTCCTCTGCCTGAAATGCCCATCCCTTTCTTCCCATCTGCTCAGATGCCGCCTCCTCCAAGAAGTAACCCTGATTGTCTCCCGCCTACTTTCCCTTTCCAAACACCCGAGCTCAGTCCCTTCCCTGAGCCCCACAGGTCTCAGGTTGTCCACACAGACACTTTTATAGCCCCGATCATATGCCACCTAGCATTTAGGTTGTTATAAGAAGGGTTTCACCTTCCACCCCACTAAACTGTGAGCTTATTTACCTTGCCCCTGGCAACTGGCCAAACCTGGCACAAAGTTGAAGCTTGGTGGAACTGAGCTGTTGAACTGAGCTGAACTGGGATCAGGAGAAGGAGAAGTGGGGATTGAGCCCCTCACCTCCACACACTCCTCTCTGTGCCTGAAATTCCTCCATTAAGCAGCATCGCTGTCCCCTGTAAACACCCACATTAAGCCATTATTCATCTTATGGCTTGAGTAGGCGTTAGTCCCTCAGATCCTTTCCTGCTGAAAGCAGGATCTGATAGAGAGAAGGGAAGAGAGATGGATGGATCTGGGGACGGCAGGCTGGTCCAAGAGTGGGGAGGAAAGATGTCTCTCGGACTCTGGGAAAGAAATATTTTCTGGGGGAATGTGGAGGCACCAGAGGCAAGCTCAGAGGGGTTGTGACCCTGCCCGGAGTCACTGAGGGTGTCTCCAAGCCAGGCCCTCTGGGACTCAGGTGCTGTATCCCTAGAAGCTGGTGTGGGGGTACGAGCACATCAGAGGGCCTTCCCTTGGTGCCTGTTTCAGATGGAATGACCTGTCTGTGCTGCGATGGATAGGAAGGCAGGCATATTTGGTGGTGGGCTGGGTGCTGGACTTCTGTGCACCAAGGAGGCCTGGGTCTTGGGGGCTCTTGAAGATGCCTTCTAGAAGCACCTAGGGTGGGGGATTTCTGGGGGCTGGGCAGGGCTGGAGAGATTGTCAGCCAGGTCAGGGGCACCGCCTACTAGGGTCTCTCCTTGTGTGGGCATGAGGGCTGAGCGGGGCAGGGGCTGTGAGAAAGGCGTAGGAGATTGGGAGTACAGGGCGTATGATGCCAGGTGAAAGGAGAGGCTGCGATGTGCGGGAGAGGGCGCCTACTAGACTATGGGCTCCAAGAAGAGGGGACCACTGTGAGTTGCTATGATGCCTGTCCCACCCTGCACAGTACCAGGCACACAGCAGGTGTTTAATTAGTACCTACAAGAGGAAAGATAGACTCAACTTGCCCTCCCCCTACACAGAAGCCCCTCTAATGTTTTCTTGTTTCTCTTGCAGGCTCCTGATGGAAAGGGAAGGCCCCTAGTCCTGGCAGGATCTGCCGGCCCCAACCCGCATCCTTTCTGCGCAGGAACCATGGCGCTTCCCCGACTCTGGAGCTGTCCAGGTGCTGCCTGGTGATCCGCACGCGACGCGGCGACGGGGGCGCGGGCGGGCACCCCGGGGGCTGTCCATGCCCCGGATGCGGCCGCGCCCCCTCCCCCTCCAGCCGGGTACCCCCGCGGCTGGGCGGCGTTCAGGGCCGCGGGCCCGTCCGGGTGCCCCGTCGGGGGCGACATCCCGGCGGCCGCGCTGAGGCCACCATGTGACACGGCGCCGCATCGTTGTGCGACCAAGCAGCGGCGCCCTGGTGCCTCTCGTCCATGCTCCTGGGCCCCAGCCCCGCGCAGGCCAAGGATGAGGCCGAGGCCCGAAGGTAGGGGGCTCCGGGCGGGAGTCGCGCTGTCCCCCGCGCTACTGCTGCTGCTGCTGCTGCCGCCGCCGCCGACGCTGCTGGGGCGCCTGTGGGCAGCGGGCACACCCTCGCCGTCGGCGCCCGGAGCTCGGCAGGACGGCGCGCTGGGAGCCGGCCGCGTCAAACGCGGCTGGGTGTGGAACCAGTTCTTCGTGGTAGAGGAGTACACGGGCACGGAGCCCCTGTATGTGGGCAAGGTAAAGTGGGGCCCCACTCCAACTCCAGATCCCAGGACCCTGGGGACACCCACGGGTAGATACAAGAAACCCTTGTTCACCTGCCCTTTTAAATCCATGTTTCATGTGCCTCTTCTGCTCCCTAGCCAAGGACTGATAAGGGGGCCCAGAGCCCCATTCCCACTCCCACTCCGCCCCATGCCCTCCTCTCCTTCCCCTCCCTTTTGCATCTTAGAAAGAGCCCAGCAGGCAATCCCATTCCATCCTGTAGCTAGATGCATGTGGGATTTAGGAACGAGTTTGCAAATCCGATCATCTCACACACATACTCTAGCTGCTCCACTCTGCTTAAAATTCTTCAGCAGCTCCCTATGCACTGGGGTCTAGCCCAGATTCTATCCATTGACTACAAAGATCTGGCTCCTCCAGCCTCATCTCCTGCCACAGTCTCTGAGTTTCAGCCTCACTGCCCTTCCGTTGCTCTTCTGAAAGTCAACGTCCCATGCACACTCCTGCCACTGCCCCTTTGCCTAAGTTGTTTCTCCTGCTGAACTGCCCTTTCCTGCTCCTTCCACTGATGACCTTACACTCACACTACAGCTCCAATGCCACTTTCTCAGAGAAACCCTTCTTGCCCACACCAGGCTAGGACAGATCTGCTGTCACATCCCCCGTGAGGTCCCAGCATCTTTCCTTCATAACACTTTAATTATGCATGTGTTTGTTTCATTGTGCAATTAATGTGTGTCTTTTCTATTAGACCATGTTTGTTTTGCTCGCCGCGAAATCCCCAGTGCCTAGCACAGACATTGCTTGCAAACGGTTTATTAAGTGAATGAATGAATGAATGAATGAAACTACTTTCTCAAACTCTCTGAGTAAATGCTGGTAAATCTGGCTGAAGATCTATAACATAGGCATATAAGGAGCTGAGAAGGACTTTTATTCATCCATTCAATTCCTGAGCCCCTTGTGGGGCCCATGTGTGATGCTGGGGAGAAAAGGTGAGTGAGATCCAGCCTCTGCCACTTTGGGGATCCCCAGAGTGGCAGAGGCACCCTGGTGCATGAAAAGCTTCATGAGTCAGCACCAGGCACTGAGTAGGCAATCATTAAATAGTATATTTTGTCTGGCTTCATGGAGGAGAAAACACCTGAACTGGGTTTTGACATACGTGTAGGAGTTCATCAGGCTGGTGGGAAAGAGGACGTAACCTAATCAAAGACTTGGAAACCTGAAGGTAGCTGGTTTGCTCAGAGCCTTGTCAGCAGTTAAGGTGTTGAAGTGGAGGGTGATTGTAGGGCATGAAAGTGGGGTGGTGCCCCGGGACAGTATCTGGCTTTTGTTAGGGCCAATTAGCTTTCCAGGAAGTCTTGGTCAGCAATGTGGGTGGGGAAAGAAAACTCCAGAGCTTCCTGTGTGCTTAAATGAGTGTGGGAACCGGGAGGCAGTTCTGAGGCTCAGAGATCAGGATCCTTGACAAGGAGAGAAGGAAAATCTAGATGTAAACCTTTGGGTTTGCCTTGCAGGAAGCTCAGATTTTCTCTGGTCTAGACACAGTAATACCTGGCCCAAAGCTCCATACATGTGGCTGAATGAATGAATGAATGAATGATTCCCACAATTAAGCTGAGCAAGGATTTGACAGACAGGGCTCAGATAGGTTCAAGGCCTTGCTCAAGATCATCCAGCAACCTAGTGGCAGGGCCTAGGACTCCTGACTCCCAGACAGGTGTGGGAGATGGTGACGCTGGTAGAATGGGGCAAGGGCTGGGGATGGAGTGACCAAGCCTGCTATATGATAGGTAGTAGCCAATGGTGAAACAGCTAAGAATGAAGGCTTTGGAGGCAGACACACCTGAGTTTGAGGCCTGGTTCTGCCAATCCCTTCACTGAGTGACCTTGAACAAGTTACTTTACTGCCCCAACACTCAGTCTCTTCATCTGTAAAAACAGGGGCTCAGAGAGCCAGCTTCCTAAGGTTGTTGAAGATTAAAGAAGAAAACAGAGCACATAAAGTGTTCAGCCTGTGGCTTGTTTGTTTGTTGTTGCTGTTTTTTATTATTCCCATATAAAGTACTTAACCCTTAAACTGCAAGGTAGAAATCATCATTCCCTTTTGTAGGTAAAGAAACCAAAGTAACAGAGGGCAAAGTCATAGAGTGGGCGAGTGGCATGGCCAAGAGTTGAACCTGTGTGAGTTAAAGTGTTTGTTGTTGTTGTTGTTGGTTTTGTTTTTGTTTTTTGAGACAGAGTCTTGCTCTGTTGCCCACCCAGGCTGGAGTGCGGTGACACGATCTCAGTTCACAGCAACCTCCTCGGCCAGGTTCAAGCGATTCTCCTGCCTCAGCTTCCCAAGTAGCTGGGATTACACCATGCCCAGCTAATTTTTGTATTTTTAGTAGAGATGAGGTTTCACCATGTTGGCCAGTCTGGCTTTGAACTCCTGACCTCAAGTGATCCACCTGCCTCAGCCTCCCAAAGTGCTGGGATTACAGAAGTCAGCCACTACACCTGTTCCCCTGAGCTGAAGTTTTTAAGCCCCCAAAAGAGAAAGAGAAGAGGTCAACCCCAGCCTGATTTTCCAGACCCCTCAGAGATTCCCAGACCTGGGAAAAGACCTTTGGTCCAGGAAAACCCTGGAGACAGGGAAGGACTGATGCATCTGCCTAAATGTCAGAGGAGGTGGTCATCCCAGGCACTTCAGCCTTGCTGTCTGCCCAGCAGCTGGGGCTCTGCAAAAGCCTCGCCAGCCACCCACATCCTGAAAAGATGAGAAAACCGGCTGCTGACTCACGCCTTCATCTGCCCCTACCTAGCCTTTATCACCTCAACAGCATGAGCTGACCCCATCCCCATCTCATGGAACCACAGTCTATAAGCAGGGGAGGGCCCTGTAGCTCCCTTCATTAGAAGGAGGGGAAACTGAGGCCCAGAGGCAGAGAAGATCATGCCAAGTCTACACAGCAACATAGTTGCAGAACCAACCCAAGAAACCAGGTCTCCTAACACAATCTCCGTGCTCACTTCAAGAGCCTCATATTAAGCAGCTGCCAGGAGCCAAGCACTGTGCTGGGCCCAGGGCCCTTTCTGTTTCCCCCAGCAACCAGTCCCCACATTGCCACTGCTGTTGTGACTTGTCACCCTCCTTCTCTATCACCTTCACCCAGAGCCCCTGCCCTGCTCTCTTACTCTCAAGGCCACCTCCAGAAAAACACTCCATCCAGGGAGGGAGAAGAAGTTTCCATCTCTTAGCAAATATTTGCCCAATGTACACTTTCTTAAGAGAGGTGGCATTGTGTGTGGTTAAAGGGCCACCTGGAGCTGTACTGCGTGGGCTCAAATCCCAGCTCGGCTGCTTATGATCTTCCTGACTTTGGGCACATTACAGTTGTCCCTCAGTATCTCTCGATGGGGGATTGGTTCCAGGACCTCCCATGGATACCAAAACCCAATATAAAATAGCATAACATTTGCCGATAACCTATGCACATCCTCCCATATACTTTAAATCATCTCTAGAGTATTGATAATACCTAATACAGTGTAAATACTATGCAAGTAGTTGTTATACTATATTGTTTGGAGAATGACAAGAAAAACGTCTGTACACATTCAGTACAGACCCAATTTTGTTTCTGAATGTTTTTGATCCTGGGTTGGCTGCATTCACTGATGCAGAACCCACGGATACAGAGGGCCAACTTTTTTACCCTCTCTGTGCCTCAGTTTCCTTATCTGTTAAGTGAGGCTATTACTGGGACCTAGCTCAAAGTCTGGCGTTGGGGAGTCAGTGAGTTAGCATTTGTCAAGAACCTAGAATACTCTCTGGGTCCTGGCACGTGCTCAGTAAGTATTCACTTTTATGTTGTTAAGTCTCACCTTGTAAGTCTCACTATTATGGATAGTTCCACCATCTTGAGTGTACCATCTAACTGTGAACTCCCGCCCCAAATCCCAAAAAGTCTTTTTGGCAACCTAACAGTATAGTTTCTTACCACTAAGTGGGGGGGAAGGTTGTCATTAGCCCACCCCACCCCCCAACCCTAGGAATATGAGCTTGGGCTTTTAAAAGCCACCTGTCCCCTTTCCAGCTGAGTCCCTCGTATGTACGAGTGCTTGTGTGGGCACATATGAATGCAAACACACACTCTCATACCACGCTCTCTCACTCTTCAGGAAGAAAGGACTTCACCACGGTTTCAGTTAATTCACTGCTTCCTGGTTCCCCCCACCCCAGGGAGCCGCTCGGAGCATCCGTCCTTGTCGAATTCTAAAGGTAGCTTAGCAACAGCACCATCCGCAGAGTGAACCCCGGGCGCCCGACGGTAACCTATTTTACAACCGCCTCCTCCATCACTCACCGCCAGGCTCCTGTCAGCACCCACAGGAACCGCTGGGCCCCGCGGTTGTCGCCAAGGCCCCACACAAACAGCTCCTTCCGCGGCCCTGCCCCCATTGGCAACCCTGGCCCACCTCTCCCCGAACCTTCTCACGACACCCACCCTCAAAGCAACCTCCCAGCATTTCCATAAAATCTGGGTACTCTGACTAATCCGTTTTCCGAACTATAATTTCCCCCGAGGCCTCTGTCAGCTGGATGTGGATTTTGTAGGATTTTTAATTTTTTAAAAAAAGATAGAATTATGGGGTCAGCACTCATGACCAACTCCTGTAGGTGGTGAGATCTATTTTAGATATACGGCAGGATTAAAGTGGGGAGGAGAGCAGATTTAATTAAGTTGCTAATATTTAAAGAAAATTGATGAACTCCTGGTTTACGAGTAGCACAGTCGTGAACAGACCCCTCATCCCGGGGAGGCTTTTTATTTGATTTGCTTTCCGTTTAAATCCTGGACTCATTTTATTTGCGTAGCCGCACTGTCCGTTTAATTGTCTTTAATAAGGAAAACGTACCTATGCTCACATTTAATTTTGATTTAATTAGGAGGAAGTAATTAATGGCTTCATAAATCCCATTTTTCAGCCCCCTGGGATGAGAAAACATCGCTCTTGTGTTTTTCATGTTGTTTATGATCAAGGGATGGGGCTTGAGGGGGATTTCTCCTCCAGGGCTGGCCACACTTGATGTGGTAGAAAGAATTCTGAATGTGGTGTCAGGCTTTGGGGCCGTCTCTCATTACCTGTGTGACTTTAGGTGGGGTTTAGACTCTCTCTGGGCCTCAGTTTGCCCATCTACACGACGGGGAGAGAGTAAGCTCTGATGCACAAGATGAGACATCAATGAGACAGCAGTAAAAGGTCTAGAACTGTGCCTGGAGTGTTTCAGGTTCCCAGCGACTGTCCATCTGTACCTGGGATTTAAGAGTGGCTGAATCCTCCAGAAATCCTAGAAGACAACTGGGGGAGTCTGATGACTGTTGTATATTTTATTATTCATTTATTCAATATGTTTGGTGCTGTGCCCCGTGCTGGGTGCTGGGGAGATGGAATAAACAGCCAGATGCTTGGCCCTCAAGGAGCTTGCAAGCTCACACTCACGTGCACTCACACACACACACATATTCAACTTTCCCACCCCCTGTATTTTCTCTGCAGGCATTGTCAGGGTACCTAGTGTGTGCCAGGCACAGAGAGTTCTGACAGAGACAAACCTAACTTAGTCCATACCTTGAGGCCCATGACAGCTGGGGACACAGATGTGCAACACTAGAAGTTAGAGGAGGGTGTGGAGTAGAGGGGCATGTGTACGGGGCAGGAACGGAGCAGGTGAGGTCTCTTCAACCAAATGAGAGGGCATCTGAGAGGGCTGCCTGGAGGAGGAAACAAGCTGAGTTTGAAAGACAAGAAGGCATTGATTGGATCATGGCCCCTGGATCTCCAGTGGGTCAGGATTTGAGTCTGTGTGGTTCTTGTATCAGGAGATAGGGGATGAATTAGGTGACCCCTCGACCCCTCCTGAGATTGGGACAGGAAAAGGAGAGGGAACTAATCTATATTGAGCACCTACTAAGCGCAAGGAGCTTCCATATATTATCTTATGAATCTTCAGAATATATGTGGTGAAGCAATATCAGTCCCATTTACAGATGAGAAAACTGAGGCTCAGAGAAGGGTAGCCACTTGCCCAGGGTCATGCACAGGTTGCTGGCAAAGCTGAAGCTGGTACAGAGCTGCTTCTGACTCCAAAGCACATAATCTTTCCTGATTTGTAGTTTGAGGTTCTTTCCCAAGTGGTAAAATGGAGGCTTAGAGAGAAGAGGCCACCGATGACTGTGGCCTGCACGGCACAGGGCAAAAGACTGGTGTCAAGGCCACCACCCAAGCTGTGCAGCCCAGTGGCCACCCAGTAACCCACTCCTTCCCCCCTTCCCCTTTTCTCCCTCACCCTCTGCTATAGGCATTGTAAGCAGACTAGCCAGATTCCCAGAGACTGCAGAGAAACCAAACTGGGCTTTGGAGTCAAACAGACCGGGGGCCATCTCAGTCTCTTCACCTGGAAAATAGGGATACATTTACAAACCCCACAAAGTCAAGTTGGATTTCTGCAGATGGCCTGCAACACATGTCTGACACATAGTAGGTTCTCAATAAATGAGAGCACCATCTTCCAGCCTCCACTCGCAGCTGAGAGTCCTGAGAAATATCTTCCTAGGGCAGAGCCAGAGGCACTCCCTCTTCACTCTGGAGCCGGGACCCAGGCAGGCAGGGCAGGCAACCCCAGCTGGGCCTGAATTCGTAACTCCCAGATCTTAGCTCCCGCCCAGGCAGATTGCCCCTGTCTGACTCTGCAGTCCCCAGAGAGCAGCCAGTAGGCCCCAGCGTGAGCTCTGTGTCATATTCCACAGAAGATGACATCACCACTAGGTTCTACTCGCTCCTCTCCATTCCTCACTCGTAAGTGAGCCCTGCCTGGGGTCTGAGTCAAAACATCAAGGCCTGCAGGGACATGATGGAGACCCAGGAGATGGAAAGGGAAGGAAACAACCATTAACAGAGTGCTTAGGTCAATGTAAACATGCTCTCATCTAATCCTCCCCACACCTGTGCCAAGTAGGGCTTGGTGTGATTTCTCAGGTGGAAACACAGGGGCTCAGAGAGGTAAAATTCACAAATCCATGGTCCCAACATTAGTGAGTGGTAGAGTCAGAAGCGTGCTTTCCACACTTAGCCATGTGACACAGCACATGACTTCCCCTCTCTGTGCCTCAGTTTTCTAACCTGAGAAATGGGAATGATAATGTTTCACAGGGCAATGATGAAGACTAGTAAGATTATAGCTGTTAAGCATCTCTTCAAATGGCATCTATTCTACCACACTGCTCAGAAGTGTTTGCTGATGAAATAAGCAGACAACAGATCAGGCTGGGAAGCAGGTAGAGGCACCCCAAAAGGGAACAGAATCACCCCCTCTCATCCCATCTCCCCTGGGGCAATGGTGGAAAAAACGTATAAACAGCAAACAGGAGAGACAGGTCTCCTCATCCTCAGCACTGCCAATGATTCAGGGCCGATGTCCTGAAATAATTTTATTGGGGGCATTAAACTGAGTTATGAGGTTTTTACAATCCAGCCACTTATGAGAAATCTATTAACAGTAACTGGACAGGAAGAAGGCTTCTCAGTGGAGCCCAGGACGGGCATTAATTGGGGCAATCTATAACAGGATGGGGACCCGGAAAGTTTCCACCAGACGCCTCCATTTAGTCCCCGCAATTTCTGCTGAGAATCAGCAGACTCGCCAAAAAGAGAGAGATGCCCATTAATCGGCTAATGAAATATGAAAATGTTTATGGGCCATTCAATCTTCCAAATGGCACTTCTATAATCCACCTTTCAGACACAAAGTTCTACCAGCAGAATTTATACCCCGGCTCCTCCTGCGTGGCAGGGGATGGGCTTTCGTCCCTCTTCGTGATGACTTCATGGGCACCTGTTCTCCTGCCTAGTGGGCTGGGGTCCCCAGCACCCCAGCCTGAAAGGAACTTTAGGGATTCTCTTGTCCACACTCCATCTCCATGGAAGCTTAGAGAGGAGCAGGGACCTGCCCAAAGCCTCATCGGAATGGATTTTCCTCTGCTTGAAGCTGCCTGGGAGATTTGGGCATTGGAAGATAAGGACTTAGGTGTTTCTGATTGCAAGAAAACAGACGTCTTGCTGGTTCCTCACCCAAGAGATCTCAGGGCAGTGAAAACAGCCTGGAATCTGGAGCCTAATAGTGCCTAGATTAAATCCTGGTTATATATAGCTAACATGCAGTAATAATATAATAATAACGATAGCTACCATCTGTTGGGCACTTATTATGTCTCAGACAGGGCTTATTTCCAGGTAGTACAAACTGGTACAGTTGTACTTGTTGTTAAAATCATGAAAAACCTCCATACCTGCAGTAAATAGTCCCTCTCCTCTCCCTCGCCCCAACTCTCTCAGCCCCCTGGGCCTCTCTGTGATCCAGCAACTGAAGGGTTCCTGCCTGGCCCAGCAGGGATCCTGCTGCAGTACCACTGCCTGGGCAGTGCCCCCACCGTGCTGGCTGCTAAATATTGTAAATGTCACTTGGTGGCACCTGCTAAGGGCCTTGTATGGATTCTCAACTCAGCAAACCCCTCAGTACCTCTGGGAGGAAAATGCTAATATGATTCCCATGTTACAGATGAAGCAACTGAGGGCCAGAGAGGCAAAGTGATGGGTGAGGATGCACAGGGAGGCGATGTCAGAGCCAAGGCTGGGCCAGGCTGCACTGTCTCTCCCTTCCCCTGGGCTCCTCTCCGGAGGCTTTAGATGGAATGGGAAAGCCCAGTGTGGAGTCAGACCAGCTCTTCCAGTGGCCTGACCTTGAAGAACCCATCCCACTTCTCCAATCTTCATTAGGAAGTGGGAAAAAAATCTGTAAAATAAAGATAGAAAAACCTACTCTAGCAGGTTTTTAAAAAAAGCATCTTTAACTAGAAAAGTACATAAATTGCTTAGCCAGTGCCTGGCACATGGAAGGTGCTCTTTCAGTTAACATCCCTTCCTCCTCTCTCCCTTCACTCCCTGTCATGTGCTATGTCTTGAGCCTGGTTCTCCATATACCAAAATGAGGAAGATGCCACCCCAATCTCCTGGGGTGCAGAGTCTAGGGAGCAGTGGACCTGTAATTCACAGTGAGGTCATGGACCAGCAGCCTGGAAGTTTGTTAGAAATGCAAAGTCTGAGGCCTGGCCCCAGACCTACTGAGTCAGAATCTGCATTTTAACAAGATCCCCAGGTGAACTGCATGCATACTAGAGTTTGAGAAGTGCTGGCTACAGCCATCCTACAAGGCTGAACATGATCATGATGGCTTGATGTACCGAGAGATCCTGGGGGCAGGGGGAGACTGAGGATCCAGAAAAGCTTTCTGAAAGAGGTGGCATTTTTGTTGCACTTTGCAGGATGAGAGACTTTCCATGGGCAGAGAAACAAGGACAGGGCTCAAGGCAGAAGCCTCAGAGCTGTGCGTGCTAAAGGGGAGAGAGGTGTGGAGGTGGTGCTGGACTTCTTTGTGAAGGCAATGGGAAGCCACTGGAGGGTTGTAAGCAGGGAGGCCATGTTCAGATCTGCCTCCAAGGCTGATAGCTCTGAATGCAGAGGGGAAAGCAGAGTCCAGGGGCAGGGAGGGCCCCAGCGGGCTGAGGAAAGACTCCAGGCCAGGGATGGAAGTGAGCGTGGCTGCTGGGCCTCAGTGTCCTCACTAAAGATGTGTATGTGCTGGAGAAGAGATGGGCTTAGGAATAGGCAGCCAATGGCATGAGACAGTGAGGCCAAGAGGAGCTTCCTTCTCAGCCTCCACCTTGCCTTCTTCTCTGCCTACCCAGATCCACTCCGACTCAGACGAGGGTGACGGGGCCATCAAGTACACCATCTCAGGCGAGGGTGCTGGGACCATCTTCCTGATCGACGAGCTGACAGGCGACATTCATGCCATGGAGCGCCTGGACCGCGAGCAGAAAACCTTCTACACGCTGCGGGCCCAGGCTCGGGATCGCGCCACCAACCGCCTACTGGAGCCCGAGTCGGAGTTCATCATCAAGGTGCAGGACATCAATGACAGTGAGCCCCGCTTCCTGCACGGCCCCTATATTGGCAGCGTGGCCGAGCTCTCACCTACAGGTGGGCTGTGGGCCCTGGGGGTGGGGGATGGGATCAAGGTGATCCCCAAGTGGAGCCTGCTGGGAAGGGGAGTAGCTGATCCTCTGGGGAGGGACAGAAAAGACAGAGCCTGCTGACCTAGGGTACAGGGTACAGATGTGAGCTCAGGTGCCCCCTGGGGTCAAGCATAGTCCTGGACAAAACCACACACATGACTTCAGCCACATCCATGGACACAGCCCCCCATGAACGTGGACCCGCATGTGGACACAGTGATGCCCTCGGACATGCTCATACAGCCACACCCAGTCACGTATGGAGACACAGCTGCAGATCTGGACATGCCACATGCACAAGCCCAGCCCCGCATACAACTCACCACTACACTGGTACACAACCTCATTCATAGATCCAGTCCCCTACACAGGCACAGCTGGACAGAGTCACACACACAGCACAGCTGGACGCCTTGACAGAGCCCTTCACAAAAGTTCAACTGCACATAGACACAGCGCAGCCCTTGGCAACAACCTCCACACAGACATAGTCCCATCTTCAGGCACACCCACCACTAGGAACAGCTAGATTGGGACACAGCTGAAACAGGGCCCAACCACACACTCAGACCCACGACCTCACACCCTGACCTAGCCACACACAACCCCAGGCAGGAAACAGGCCCTTACGCAGATAGTGCTTCTGCACAGACTCAGCCATGTACAGAGACAGAGGCAAAAGCCACAAGCAGACATGAGCATCCTGGGGTCCAGCTCCCCTGGTGTGCAGCCGCAGACAGGCATGGGCACAGGCAGATGAATGAGACAGGCAGCTCTGTCTACAGCCCAGAGGAAGCCACAGCTCACCGAGATCCAGCCAGCTAGGGACAGAGCCTCACACAGAGATGGCTAAGCCCCCAGACACAGATTCAGTTGCACTTACCTGGGTATGACTGCACACACCCAGGAGCACTGCACACATGATTATGCCCATAGAAAGTGAAGTGCACACACACAGAAATATACATCTCTGTGTAGACATCAGACACAACCATACTCAGAAAGGGCCATGCACACAGCAGCAGGACACTGAGGCTAAAGCTGCATGACTCTGCCTTCTCCCACCAGGAAACCCCCAGACCGTTTCTGACCATCAAGGCCCCACTTAGCTCAGGGCTCCTGGGGCTCTGGTAGAAACGGGAGTCATGGGGTGAGGGGCACAAGCCAATAGCTGCCATCTCCTTCCTACCACGTTACTCCAAGTAATCTGCAAGCCAGGCTAGACAAGAAGCAGCTGCCCTAGGTCCTAAGCCACGCTCCATTGCTGACTCGCTGTGGCCAAAAGTTGGATGCTGTACCTCTCTGGACCTTCCAGCTCTATGGCTGCGTGTCAGAGGCCAGGAGTGCTTGAGCTCCTGGGAGAGGGTGCTGTCAGCCCAGCTTCCCCAAATTGGGCCAAATCTGGCAGCTTGCTGGGATAATGAGCAAGTAGCCAGTAGGGGAAGGGGAGGAGGTGAACCAGAGAGAATGGTGGGCAAGGGATGAGGGGGAAATAGGGAACAGTGGGGCTGTGGATGTGAGTGCAGACTGGTGTACACACACAGGAATGCATGCATGCATGCCTGATGTACATGTGTGTTCCACATATATATGCAGATGTGCACACACAAACACCTAACCAAGAAGCACTTTAAGGCCTGTGTGTGCATGTGACATGCTGTGTCTATATGAGTATATTCATTCATTCAACAAATATTTATTGAGTGCATACTACATGCTAGGCCCTGGGAACACAGCAGTGAAAAGGCAGAAGATTCCCTCCTCTCATGGAGGGCCCATTCTTCCTAAGGAAGACAGACAATAAGCAAGTGAACAACTAGATCATTGGTCCAGTAAGGCTTCTCTGAAGACCTGGAGGAAGTGAGAGCATGGGCCCTGGGGGGAAGAGCATTCCAGGCGGAGGGAATGGCACATGCAAAGGCCCTGCAGTTGAATTCTGCTGAGAAGAAACAAGGTGACCAGATCATGCAGCCATGTAGACCATAGCCAGGGCGTTGCCTTTTATGCTGAACAAGCTGAGAAGTCAATGGAAGGTCTTGCTCAGAAAAATGACATGATCAGGACCCCATGGCTCTTTCATGAAGAATAGATGGGCAGAAAAGAGGGCAAGAGCAGAAGCAGGTGGCCTGTGAACAGGAAGTGATGGTGGCTTGGAACAAGATGGTACCAGTGGAGGTGTTGAAAAGAGGTTGCCTTTTGGATATATCCTAGAAGTAGAGCTGAAAGCATTTGCTAATGGATTGGATATGGAGTGTGAAAGAAAGAAAACTCAAGGATGACTGTTAGGATTGTAACCTGAGCAATTAAATAGATGGATTTCCATTTACTGAGATTGAAGGAACAGATTTGGGGGATGAGAGGAAATTAGGAGTTTGGCGTGAAGTTTGTTAAGTTAGAAAAACGTATTATGCTGCTGAGTGGAGATCTTGAACAAGAGAGTTGAATATCCAGGTTCAGAGGAGGTCTGGGCTGGAGAGATAAATTTGGATATTATCAATGGCAAAGACATATGGAATTTCAGAGCCTGGCAAGAACTTAGCATACAATTTTGCTAATGGGTAAACTGGGGCTCAGAGAGACAGTGACATGTCCAAGGTCACACAGCAAGTCCCTGACTTTCTAGGTCCGGCAGCCCCTACCTACTGACTTAAACTCACAGCCCTGTCTCCCTTCACTTAAAACTGACCTGCACATTTCTGCATTAAAAAGTCCAGAAAGGTGGGGAGAGCTGATGCTAGAGAAGGAAGCAGGAGCCCCATCTGAAGGACTAGAGGAAAGCAGGTAGCCTGGGAAAGGCCTAACTGAGGGAGTGACATGGGAAGACTTGCATTTTGGAAAATTCCCTCTGCTGCACTGTGGAGAAGGGCTGAGGATGGGGAGGTGCCAGGGGAAGAGCAGCCTCATCTCCACCATGGTGGCTCCTCCATGACCACTTCACTCTCACTGTGACTCTGAGAGGTGGCAGGACTAATGGTAGCATCCCCATTGAGCAGATGGGAACACTGAGGCTCAGAGAGAAGAAAGTACCTACATAGCAAGTCAGTGACAGAGCAAGTTGCTGGGCGTGGCTCCCAGGTTGTTGGAATGGCAAGGGTCCTTGTTTCACAGGTGGGGAAACTGAGACCAAGAGAAGGGCAAGGACTCATCCAAGGTCATGCAGAGAGTAGGAGGCAGAGGCAGCCCCCAGTTTATGACCACTGGCCTATGGAGACCCAGCTCTGTCTTGACTCCCTCTCCCAGCCCACTGACTCTCACAGTCCACTCAGGAAAAATGTCGGGAGTGGGGGGGACTCAATTTGAACCAGCTGGGAACCAAGGAGGGGGAAGGGAGAAGCAGAAATTAAATTAGTTTATTTCATTTGAGCAACTATTTGAAGGGGAAGCAAATCTGACACCATGGTGCTTGCAGAGACTCCAGGCAGCTTTGAAAATCAGTCACAATTACTGAGCCTCCTGATCCGGCTGTGGAGGGCGGGGCCGACAAGCAGCACCAGGGTCTGGGCAGCTTCGGAGATCAGAGGGAGCAGGGACGCAGCTTGGGACATGAAAGGCAGCAGCGCTTGCAAATTAAACCACTCACAGCTTAAAAGGGAAGGGAAGTGTGCCGGGGGGCCTCCGATGAGCCACGCTTCTGAGCAGGGGCACACCAGTCATGTTAAGCCTGATGCAGCCAAGTGGGCCCTGAGTTGATAGTCAGGACGCCTGGTTCCCTGCAGGACCTTGGTCGACTTCCTGCCCCCTCTGGACCCCAAGTTCCCTTCTGAGCATTGAGAGGGTTCATTCAAGCATCAGATGTTTATTGAGTGCCTGCTATGTGCCAGGCACTGTTTCAGGCATTGGGGATTCTTAGGAAACCTACATACTATAGCAGGGAGAGTCAGGACAGAGACAAGCAAATGTATAATATCCAAATAAATAATTAAAAATATAAAATAGGCCAGGTGCGGTGGCCCATGCCTGTAATCCTCGCACTTTGGGAGGCCAAGGCCGGTGAATTGCCTGAGCTCAGGAGTTCGAGACCAGCTGGGCAACATGGTGAAACCCCGTCTCTACTAAAATACGAAAAAAATTAGCCAGGTATGGTGGCATACACCTGTAGTCCCAGCTACTCGGGAGGCTGAGGCAGAAGAATTGCTTGAACTGGGGAGGCAGAGATTGCCGTGAGCAGAGATCATGCCACTGCACTCCAGCCTGAGTGACAGTGCAAGACTCTCTTTCTCTCTCTCTCTCTCTCTATGTATATATAGATAGATAGATAGATAGATAGATAGATAGATATTAATATATAAATATATACAAATATAGATATTAATATATATCTATATATAATATATTATATATTATATTTATATATAATATATATTTATTTTTATATTTATATATTTATATATAAATATATTATATATTATATATAATTAAATATATATCTATATATTTATATAGATATATAAAATGAATATTAATATGCCTGATGGTGTGAGTGCTATGCAGAATAAAGGAATTAGGAGCAATTTGCGGGGAGTGTTATTTTAGATAGAGGGGTCAGGGAAGTCCTGTCTTTCTGGAGGAGGACATCTGAATAAAGATCTGAAGGAAGGGAACCAAGGAGCTCTGTGAAACAGTGGTTTTCAAACTCTTTGGTGCATCCACATTACCTGGAGGGCTTGTTAAAACACAAATTGCTGCCCTTGTCCCCCCCAGCGTTTCTGGCTCACGAGGTCTGGGCTGTTAGAAATGTCTGCATTTCTAACAAACTCCCTAATGCTGCTGGCATGGAGACCATACTTGGACAACCACTAAGCTACAAGAAGAATGTTCCAGGCAGAGAGAACAGCAAATGCAAGGGTCCTGAGGCATAGCATGTTTGTCGTGTTTGAGGAATAGCACGGAGGTCTGTGGCTGAAGAGAAGTGAGTGAGTGGGAGAATATCTGGAGTCTGATTACCTCAGACAATGGATCACACAGGACTTGGTAGCCATTGAAAGGTTTTTGGTTGTACTCTGAGTGAGATGGAGAGCAGAGGTTTAATCTAATCCAGCTTATATTTTAAAAGAACGACTTGTTGTCCACCATGTTGAAAATAGACTGTAGGAGGCAAGGTTGGGAGTAGGGAGGCCAATGAGGAAGCAATTGCAATAGTGCAGCAAGAGGTGATGGTGACTTGGACCAGTGTGGATGGTGAGACAAGATGGAATTCTGGATGTGCATTGAAGGTAGAGCCAACAGGGTTTGTGAGGGATTGGTTGTGGGGAGTAAGAGGCAGAGGAGACAAGGACGATGCTGAAGTTTTGGGCCTGAGCAACTGAATGGATGGAGCTACTGCGGCTGAGATGGGGACTGCTCCAGGAAGAGCAAGTTTGCAGAACAAATTAAGAATTAATTCTTGGGCAAGTTAAGATTGAGGTGTCTACTGAACATCCAAGTTCATATGTCAAGGGGACAGTTGGATCTATGAGTCTAGATGTCAGAAGAGAGATGAGGCTAAAGATACAACTTTGGAAGTCAGCAGCAGAGAGAGGGAATTTACAGCTTGATGCTGCATACATCAACAGGGAGTAAGTTTTGATAGAGAAGAATTGGACTAGACATTCTTTCAATGTCAGGGAGCCACACCCCTTCCCTAGGCTGTCACAACCTGAATGGGATGGCAAGAGGATTTCACAGGTCTCCCACACCCAGCTCAACTCCTCCTACTTATTCATGCCAATCTTGTGCAAGACACTATGCCTGGCACTATTGAAGTTACTGAAGACAGAAATGAGAAATTCAATTCAATGTGCATTTATTAACCACTACTTTATTCTGGGCACTGCAGAGGATGCAAAGATAAGTAATTGAATTAAATCCACAAATGTTTATTAGCACCCATTATACACAAGGCCTCCAATGTACTTGGCTCTGTAGGGCTTGCAAAGATGAGTCACCCAACTTAGCAAACATTTATTAGCACCTACTTTATATATAGCCCCACAGAGGACAGAGAAGTAGTTGCTTTTAATTCAATAAACACATATTAGGCCTACTATGTGCATAGCACTTTGCTAGGTATGTAGAGATCACAGATGAGCAAGACACCACCCCTGACCTCAAAGTGGTAGCAGATCAGTTTCGTCTCTTGTGCTAACTCAGATCAATTGGTAGTGACTGTTGGGCTGTATTGAGAAGGAGTCTAAGATCTCATTCAGCCTTGGTAGAAAAAATGCCATGATGGATTAGTAATGTCTGCCATGGGCAAAGGAAGGAGAATGTCATAGCGCACATGCCATAGAATTGACATTGCCAGACCATGGGATTGGGGCTCAACAGAATGTGGAAACGGGCACTTTTCCATGTGTTTCAATTCCTCTGTGAGCAGCATATTTAATAGATGGGAAAAGACTGTCTTGGTAGTACAGCCTGCACTTCTTGGGATATTCACTAAATAAGAGCTATCAGCAAGCACTGCTTTCACAGAGCTATTTCCCTTTATTCTCACAATCCTGAGGAATAAGCAGGATCAGTATTAGTGTCTTCATGTTACTAATGAAAAAATAAATGCAAAGTGATTTTTCTGAGCTTCCACAGTAAGAGCTGAAGCCAGAACTAGACCCAGAAGCGGAAACCAGAACCTGAGTTCCTTGGCTCGGCATCCATAGCTTTCTTTGAGGAAAGAGTCACAATCATTTCTTGCACAAAACTTCACAGCTTGAAAATCACTTTCACATCCCTAATATCATTTCAGCCTCCTGGGGACTCTCTTGGGTTAAGTACTGACATCCCCATTTTACAGCTATGGAAACTGAGGCTCAAGAGGGGAAGGAAAGTAAAACTGGGAGAGCACACTATCTGATTCTTAAATTCGGTGCTTGGGGGAACAGAGAGGAAAGGAGGAAGGCAGGAAGGAGTGTGTTCCCCAAGGATATCATTTGGAGAGGGCAGCAGCAGGCTGGGAGCCTCCAATTGTCCCGTCTGTAGCTGGAGAGAGTGTAGCTCAGCAGCCCGCAGGCCCAAGCCAGGAATCAATCGCTGGTCTCTGCAGAGACAACTTCTAAAGATGTTTTTAATTAAAGTCCAGGAAGATCTATACGTGCAATATCTCCTTGCCTAGCAACGGCACTGGCTCTCACCACCCGTGCTGGGGGGAACGGGACAGGAGGCTTCTGGTGGGGAGAAGCAGCAGACAGGAGCCGAGGCCCTGGTCCTCAGGAGTTGGCCCCATGGCCCGGGTAATCTGGACAGGGAGGAATATATCCCTGTCTCTTTTTGTCTTTTCCATCAACAAATCATCCAACAAATATGAGCACTCTCTGTATGCCAGGCCCTGTGGCCACATGGCATTAGGGTGCAAAGATGATAAAGCTACCATCCTGCCCTCGAGGGTCTAGCACATAGTAGGTGCTCTGTAGATGTTGAGAGAATGAATGGAATTGAATCATAAGCAAAAATGTTTGCTTTCTGCCATGAGTAGAAGGATGCTATCACAGATACTTCAAATGTTGCAGTCCGAAACAAACAAAGTCACTAGATTGCATAACAGAGGGCCTGGTAAATGTTGAGAGGACAGAAGCGCTTGTGGGTCTATTTGGGATATAAGAGAGTGCTCTCTCTCAGGAGGACATAGCAGATCCACACACACACAGTCAGGGGTCGCCTGGATGGGCAAGTCCATGGCCGGGATCCATAAGGAAAGAAAAGGTGAGGAGGGGAGGGTGTTTCACGTTCCCTGGAGACTCTGGAGGAAGGTGCAATGCAGCAGGCCCCTCACCCCACCAGGCCAAACTTCACCTTCCTCTCCTAGTTCCTCCTCCTGCTCTGCCCCCTCTTCCTGCTCCATATGTACCTCTGTCTCTGTTCTATTTGCTCTGTCTCTGTTTCTAGATTCCTCTGGTTTCCTACTTAACCTCTGTGTTTCTACTGCTTTCTGTCTGTCTCTGCCCCACGAACTTCTGTCCCTCTGACCCTTCTTTCTCTGTCTCTTACCCGCTTTCTTGACCCCTCTCTCTGTGCTGCCTTCTCTGTCACTTGTCTCTGGACCTGCCTCCTCCCATGCAGCCACTTTCCTGCATCTCCTGTGTGCCATTCATCTGCATTAGGCTGCCCTGGCTGGGAGGCTAGAAGCAGGGTCGAGGCCAGCCCAGCCAGCTGGCATTCTAAGTGATGATCGAAGAGGGAGTTGGGAGGAGGGCAGCAGGGGTGGATGTTGAGAGGGGGCTTGTTTCCTGTGTAATCTGAGCGTTCCCAGAGACTCGACAAGTGGTTTTTAATTTTTAATAGAAAGCATTCTGCACAGTGCTGGCAGCAGCAGGGGTGGGACTCATTTTTTATAAATGTTTGAGAAGCTAAATGTGAGCCTAGGGTTTCCCCAGACCCAGTGGGGTGGCAAAAGGAGGTAGGGAAGAGGCAGGATGATAATAATTACAAACGTCTTCATAATAATGACATGTGGTCACCTCGGCTGAGAACTCTGTTCTTTTCCAAAGTGCTTCATCTCTTTCTCTCATTAAGGGGTCTCCCACACCCAGGGAGACAGGAATGATAAAGTGTTATCTCCATTTTACAGAAGGGGAACTGAGGCCCAATCAGATTGGGAAGTTTTTCCACAGCCACACAAAGCCAAGGACAGGGCTGGAATGAGAATGTATGTCTGTAATCCCTGAGCTCCACTCCATGCAGCACCACCCACTCCCAGAGCCAGCTGGGGGGCTCCTCCTGGGGGGTCTGGAACTTGAGTCTGGAGACTCAACTGCACTTCACAGATAGCAAGGATTAAGGGATAAGAAAAAAAAAGAATTCTGGCCTGGGATCCAGGACACATATTCCAATTCTTGTTCCACAACAAACCAAGTCAGAACAACACAGAGATGAGGAGTAGGCAAGCCCCCTCCCTCCTGATGCTGGTGTCCAGGGGTCTTCTACTCAGGGAGGCACAGCCCCAGGTGCCTCCTGATGATACGGAGAGAAGGGAAAGGAATGAGCTTCTGTTAGGCACCCACGACACACTGGGTCCTTAAATCCATCATTTCTAATCCTCATAGCAGCTCAGAGGCTCAGAATGGGCACCCCTTAATGTTACAGGTGAGGAAATGGATCAGAAAGGGTAAAAGATCTGACTGAGGGTGCAGAGTGAGGAAGTGGTAGGACCTGAAACCACAGGACTCTGTGATGCCAAAGCCCACCCAGTCTCCATGGAGATGCGAGGGCATCTCCTCTGAAGAGTGTCCGACTTCTCATGCTGACTTCAGCTGGGAAGAGCTCTAATGACTTGGTGGCAACATTATCCTACCTGCTTCCTTCAGGTGTCAGTCTCAGAACAGGCTCAATGAGTCCAGGAGGGCAGCATGCTGGCTAGGCAGACCTGAGTTTGAATCTTTCCCTACTGCTTACTAATGATGTGTCCCTGGGGAAGTCATCGAGCCCCTCTGTGACTCAATTTCCTCATCAGTTCAGTGAGGGATTCAGTCTAGGGCATCAGTTTTTAGACCGAGAGACACTTTAGATGCACTCTGGAGACTGTGAAAATACCTTTGCCTGGGCTCCTCCCCAAGAGTCCTATTTAATTGGTCAGGGATGGGGCTCCACATCAATGTTATTTAAAGCTCCCAAGAGATTCTAACGTGCTGCCAAGTTGAGAAGCTCTGATTTCTGTGCTCTTCAAGGACAAGCCATTCCATATCTAACATTCCACATGGATCCATGGGCCCTGAGATCCTGTTTAGCCAAGAATCAGTTGGGCAACCCTTCCCATTCCAGCCTGGACCTAGGCCCTTAACCACCACTTAGCAGAAGGGCTGGGCAGCAGCACCACGGACAGCAGCCCGCTCCTGTCAACCAGTCCCAGCTCTACTTCTGGAAGTCTGGGCTTGGACCAGCTGTAGGGGAGGGAGAATCTAAACCCAGCTCCTGTCCTTCCCCTCCTCTGCCCCCCTGCTCCTGTGTCTGAGTCCTCCCTCTCTCTGTCTCACCTATCTACTTCTACTCCAAGCAGCCCCTCCTCCTCCCTCTAAGGCAGGATATATGTGGGCTTTGACATCAGATCCACGTGGGTTTGAAACCTGCCTCTCTCCTGCACCAGGTGAGCTTGTCAAGGTACTGTCCTTGGTGCTGAGCATAGAAATCTGAGTTCTCACAGTGATCCACGAGTTTGGTAGTATTCTTACCCATCTCACTAATGAGGAAATGGAAGCACTAAGAGGTTCATTACTTAACTTCACTCAGCCTCCATTTCCTCCTCTTTAAAGTGAAAATATTAAAAGCTTATCTGAAGGCCCTGTTTTGTAAATTCTATCATATACAAAAAGGGCTTATATCATAGTATCTAGTACAAAGTTGTTATTTAATAAATGGAAGCTATCTTTATCAGTTATTGAATAATGTTACATAATTCATAATGGATTTCATTATTAATTCATGTTTTCACCCTTCACTGTGCATAGCAGTCTCCTCAGCTGTGAAATGGGGATGGTGCAGGGGTGTGCTGGAGTCAGCTCGTACCAGCTCACGAGAGCCACATGTTGATTTTCAGGAGTTTTGTGGGCCAGTTGATATCATGTTGGTAGCTTGAAACTGGGCCATGGAGAGAATATTTACACCATGGAAATCAGCAAACATTACAAAGCAGGGCACTCCTCCCGACCCATCCACCCCTCAGAGCTGACTCACCAACAAACCACTGCGTCTATATCACAGAGCTGGTGTGAAGTCTGCAGGAGAGAATGGACATGATGCGGCACTGTGAAATATAAACTGCTGAACCTGTGGGACCACCCCAAGGTGGTCCCACAGTAGCTACAAGCCTGGCACCCTTTTGTCAGCCAATTCTGGGGAGCTGCTGACTTCTGAAGAAGGTGGGAGGGGGTGTGTGGCCCAAGGAAGCCATTCCTCTGGGGCCTGGGAAACCAGTGGTGAATCACTGACCCTTTACCATTCCCACATGTCGGCATTAACTATAATGGCTGCAATAAAGAATCCTGGATTGGGGAAATGGTTCCATCATCCCCTCGGGAGTCCCTGGGATGCAGCCAGGGAGAGAGAGAGCTCAGCCATGTCTCTGGGGAGTCACTCAGCCCTGCATTGTGCTTTGCCCAGGGAGTGGGAGGGACTTGCCAGGGGAGTGACAGGGAGACCCTCTCTCATAACAATTACAACAGCCACTAGATATTGTGCACCCACCATAAGCCTGATGCTTTATGTATCTTCTCCCATTTCAGCACCTCTGTGAGGGAGGCATAATTGTGCCATTGTATACTGGTGTGCTGTGCCTCTTGAGTTGACAACAACAACCTGCACTTATTGGGTTCTTGGCATGGTTCAGGCACTGTCCTTGGTGCTGGACGTGGAAATTGAATTCTCAAAATGATCTCAGGAGATCTGTAATACTACCACCCTCATTTCACAAAATGGGGAGATTGAAGCACAAAGCGGTTCATGACAGATCCAAGGTCAAACTTCTAATAAGTGGCAGTGCCATCGCTGGTTGTGACTCAGTACACCAGACCACTGTCCCCAAAGTCACTGTACTTGTGCTGATACTGCTTCCCAGAAGGGACTTGGCATCCCAGAGTCCCGGGTTCAAATTCCACCACTTCCTCACTCTGTGCCCTCAGTGAAATCTTTTCCCCTGTCTGACTTGATTCCTCAGCTGTAAAATTGGGGGGGGGGGCCACTCTGCATCTCCGAGATGCTATGAGGATTAGAGATGATGGATTTAAGTGGCTGGTGAAGCCAGTGTGTCATGAGTGCTCAATAGGACATAATTCCAGTCCAGCAAGAGGCACCTGGAGCTGTGTCCTCCCTGAGTAGGAGACCCCTGGGCACCAGCATCTGGAGGGAAGGGGCTTGCCCATCCCTCTTCCTCAGCTTCTCTGGTCAACTCTGACATGGTTGACATGGAGCTGGAGTGGCCAAAGAGAGAGGCGCATTGCAGGGACGTTTTAGGAGACTGTGGCTGGGAGGGGGAACCTGGAGAGGGAAATGAGAAATGCAAAAGAGTGAAAAATAAATACATGTGTCTGTCTGGAATGATCGAGGGCCCCAGGCTGGAGGCGGGAGAGGCGGGCGGCGGGCTGGGCTTAGCAGAATTGCTGCAGTAGCACTTCCAGATTCTCACTCATTAGCCAGGCAGTGAACTGGCCTCACCTCCCAGCATGCAGCCCTGCTGGCCCAGGGAGCCCAGCCCAGCCCAGGAGGGGCCTGCCTGGCCCCACCAGCAGGCACCCAGCAGAGGGCATCTCTCTGAGGTGGGGTCTCCATCTCCTTCCCTTTGGGTCGTATCCTGAACCCCCAAGACTCACTCTTGAGTCTTCCAGCTCACCCTCTTCTTTCTGGAAAGGTTTGGGTGGATTCAATGGCTTTGTTGGCCCCTCCACCTGACCCTCCCCCACCCTTACCCCCACCCCCACCTGGTCTAGCCTCACGTCCCAAGCCCTGCTTTCGTCAAATTGAACATGATGTCAAATTAGAGCCATCTCTGGGACAGACCAAAAGAAGCTCCCGGTTTAATGAGGCAGCGTCAAAAATCAATAACTTAATTGCCACTGTTTGATGGACTTTTATCCAATTTATACTCTCCCCAGCAGTCTACGTGCAGAGCATGAGAAGTGTGTGTGTCTGGGGGTGGGCTGTCTGGGCACCCAGGGGGAGGGGCGAGGAGGGCACCAGGGCCCGCAGCCAACAACTTTCCAAAGGGAAGGCTGGGTGCTGCCCTCTCCTGCCGGGGGCCAAGAGACACTGGCCTCTGACCCCCGATGAATTGGTCTGTCCCTCTGGGCTGTCCCCTACCACCATCATGCGGGGAGAGGAGGCAGAAGTCCCTTGAAGAATCAGTAGGAGCTGGAGTGGGTAGAATGGCCCCTGGGTTGAGAGTCAGGTCCTGGTTTCCAGTCCTGGCTCCAACTGACTGTGATGACTGTAATGATTGTCGCCATCATTGAGAAACTTCTGTGAACAGCTCTGTGCTGGGAGTTTAGAATTCATCCCCTCAACCTAGTGAACCAAGCACTAGGATTTGCCTCACTTTGCTGAAGAGGAAACAGACTCAGAGAGGCTGCCTTTCGTTGCCAGAGTCCTACAGCTGGGAACCACCCCAAGGGGACTTGAATCCAGATCTGACTCCATGGTCACACTTGCGCCACCAGAAAGGCCTCAAAACAGGAAGAGGGTTGGGGCTCAGAGTGGGGATGGGGACCGTGAGGGGCTGTATTCGATGGCCTCCCGCAGGTCTCCCGAGGGTCTCCTCTCCCAGCTTCCCTGGGGTGAGGCGAAGTGGGGGAACGAGCTCCGCAGCCCCAGATGACCCCTGTCTCGCTTGGTCCCCCGGGCCCAGGCACGTCGGTGATGCAGGTGATGGCCTCGGATGCGGATGACCCCACGTACGGCAGCAGCGCTCGGCTGGTGTACAGCGTGCTGGACGGCGAGCACCACTTCACCGTGGACCCCAAGACCGGTGAGGGGCAGGGCGGGGCCAGAGGCGGAGCCGTGGGGCGGGGCCAGGGGCGGGGCGGGACGAGGACCACCCCAGACGTCTGCTCTGAGCCTTCTGTCCCAGAAGCTCTGAGGACAGCACAGGGGGCACCTTGTGCACAGCAGGAGAGTCCAGGGTCGCGGAGAGGGAGGGGCAGCCAGGCAGGAAGATGGACGGACTGAGGAACAGAAAAGGAATGGGGTGGGGGGTTCTTCCAAAACTGGAAGAGAAACCGAAAGGCAGGAAGCAGCCGCTGTGGGTGCCCTAAAAGGACCTTAAAGGTCCGAACTAAGCGGCTTGTCCTTGGAGCTAAGTTGAAGCAGGCGTTTGAGCTCTTCCGGGGTCACAAGTGTAGTTTGGGGAAGGGAGGACGGCTGGTTTCAGCAGTTTTGAGAGCTCTGCCCACATGGCAGTTGTTAAGGACCTGATGGAAAAACACAAGCATCTTTAAGGAAAGGTGTCTAAGACACAGAGACCTTTAAGGAAGAGTGGCTTCTTTCTTGCTTATCCCCTCAACACCACCAAACGATGGTGCAGCACGCCCACCCGCTGTCCCCACTTCACTCACGGTGACATTAGAACCTGACTAATCTCTGAGAAGCCTTGGGGGAGTGCGAGGAGGACAGGATGAGAAGACTGAAGACCAGAGAGGTGAAGTGACTCACTTGAGGTCACACAGCTGGGAGTGGCTGCCAATTCCAGCGGGGTGCTCTCACTGCTCCTGGGATAGGAGGGGCCTGGCTTGGGTGAAGGCGGGGAATGAGATGTCAGACAGCACAGAATGTTTATCAAATGCCATTGTGAGGCTCACAGCCCTGTGGGGCAGGAGGATAGGCAGATATGTAGGGATTAGGATGCAAGGCTTCTCGGAGGAAGTAGCAGCAATCTACAAAGGATAAGAAAGTGTCTGCGGGTGCAGTGGCTCACCCCTGTGATCCCAGGACTTTGGGAGGCCAAGGTGGGAGGATTGCTTGAGTTCAGGAGTTTGAGACCAGCCTGGGTAACACAGAGAGAACCCATCTCTACAAAAGAAAAAATTAGCTAGGCATAGTGACAGGTGCCTCTAGTCCCAGCTACTCAGGAGGCTGAGGTGGGATGATTGCTTGAGCCCAGGAGGTCGAGGCTGCAGTGAGCTATGATGGCACCATCACACTCTAGCCTGAGCAACAGAGCAAGACCCTGTCTCAAAAAAAAAAAGAAGAAGAAGAAGAAGAAGAAGAAGAAGAAGAAGAAGAAGAAGAAGAAGAAGAAGAAGAAGGTGTTGCCAGACCAAGATTTCAGAGAAGGGCATTCCAGGTACAGGGTATGGCTCAGGCAAAAGTTGGGAGAAGTGGAACAGCCTGGGGCATGAGGGGAATTGTAAGCAGCTCAGGCTTCGGCAATCAGGTTTGTTGAGAGGTGACGTCGAGAGGGTGGCAGGGGCCTGACTGTGCTGGTGTGAGCCAGGCTAAGGAGCTTGGATTTCATTCTAAGGGCAAAGCTGGGAAGTGGGGTTGGGGGGAGTTGATGGATTTGGGTTTTGGGTTTTTGTTTGTCTGTTTCCTTTGTCTGGGGGAGAAGGGAGAGGATTCCAATCCATGAGCACAGTTGTAATTGTATTTTCTCACACAAAGTATCTTCATTATTTTTTCTCCCCAAAAAAGTAATACATTTTATAAAACATTCAAACATTAAAGAAATGCTAAAAAGAAAAAAAAAAGAAACGCTTCCCACTCCCTATCACCAGTAATTGCAGCCCCAAAGGTAGCCACTTGGTGTATACATCCTATGAGATCTTAGACTCATTCACTCGAAAATATTAACTCACATTTAATAGATAATACATCTCAAGGTTCAAAATTCAAAAAGTCCAAACAGGAATTTAGTAGCAATTCTTCACCCCATCCAGTCCCCCAGCCACCTAGTCTGTATCCCCAAGGCAACCAATGTAATTTTCTCATGCATCTTCCAGAGCTATTCTGTACATGTACAAGAAAATAAGGTACATGTATTTATTTTTTTTACATGAATGGTAGCTATAAACACACTATACACACGGCTTGCCTTTTTCACTTAACAATACATTTTGAAGATTATTCCATATGAGTACATAAAGGGCTTCCTCTTTCTCTTATTTAATGGGTGTTATGGATACACTAAAATTTATTTCACCAGTCCCCTGCCGATGGACACTTATGCTGTTTCCAATCTTTTGCTACAACAAACAATGCTACAGTGAATAACCTCACACATACATCATTTTGTGCTTGTGTGAGTATATCTGCAGGATAATTTTCAGGAAGTGGAGAAGCTTGGTCAAAGAGCACATGCATTCGGAATCTCGATAGATAATGCCGAAATGTACCAGACGACACTCCCGTGAGCCACGTGTGAGAGTATCCATTTCCCCTCCTCCTCACCTACAGTGCAGGTTCACTGATGACTACTAAGCAAGGAAATGACATGCTCTGGTTTTAATTTTAACAAGATCCCTTGGGCTGCTGCTACAGAGCTTGGCTCAGAGGCAGGAATTAGAGGCAGGGAGGCCCTGGAGCCCAGGATGCCCAGCATAGAGTCCCAAATGGCAAAAACCAAAAGCCTGCGCCCTTTCTTGACAGTCACTCAGACTCCTTAACCTACCTGTCTAGCTAGGAGGCCAGGGATGATGAAGAATTCATAGTGAGGATTGATTGAGATGCCGAGAAGAGAGAATAGGGGGTGGCAGTGAGATCCTGCCAAGGACAAACCTTGGGGGCCAACACGAATCTGCAGGACTAGGTTGGGGGAGGAGGCAGAGTTTCTTTCCATGTAGTAGGATTTATTCATCTAGGCAAGGGGTACCATCAACAGAAACAGGAGGAGTGTAAATTAAGAAAGCTACTAGAGCAGAGGAATGAGTGAATGTGCCCTGGAATCTGATGCAGAGCTAAAAAATTCAGCTTTAACCATATTGGCTTTAAGATGAGCGAAAACAGGGAAAGAAACACCTAGAACTTCTAGCAGGCCATGTGAAATACAGGTGTGGAGCTCCAAGAATGGTTGGGTCTCTTAAAGCTTCAGTTTCCCCATGTGCACAGGGGAGAGAATCATACCCATCTCACTTGATGGTCGTGAGGATTCAATGGGACAGTTCACTCATTCATTCAACCACTATTTATTGAGTGCCTATTATGTGCCTGGCTCTGTGCTAGGCACTAGGAATGCTTCAGTAGGCAAATCTAAGGCTCTGCATTCATGGCACTTTTATTGAAGTAGAGAATATAGAAGATGAGCATGTACACATATAACATAACGTCAAGCAGTGACGAGTGTGAGGACGAAACCTAATGCAGAGGAAGGACTTAGATTAAGACTTCACAGCCAGGCATGGTGACTCATGCCTGTAATCCCAACACTTTGGGAGGCCGAAGCGGGTGGATCACTTGAGGCCAGGAGTTTGACACCAGCCTGGCCAACATGGTGAAACCCGATCTCTACTAAAATACAAAAATTAGCCGGGAGTGGTGGCACATGCCTGTAATCCCAGCTACTCGGGAGGTTGAGGCAGGAGAATTGCCTGAACCCAGGAGGCAGAGGTTGCAGTGAGCCAAGATCGCACCACTGCACTCCAGCCTGAGTGACAGAGCAAGACTCCATCTCAAAAAGAAAAGAAAGAAAGAAGGAAGGAAGGAAGGAAGGAAGGAAGGAAGGAAGAAAGGAAGAAAGGAAGAAGAAAGAAAGAAAAAGAAAGAGAGGAAAGAAAGAAAGAAAGAAAAAGAAAGAGGAAAGAGAAAGAAAGAAAGAGAAAGAAAGAAAAAGAAAGAAAGAAAGAAAGAAAGAAAGAAAGAAAGAAAGAAAGAAAGAAGGAAAGAAAAAGAAAGAGAAAGAAAGAAAGAAAGAAAAAAGAAAGAAAGAAAAAGAAAGAAATCACAACAGGCCTTTCTGGGGAAGTGACCTTGGGGCAGAGACCAAGTGCAGTGAAGGTATGAGCCATGCAGATTTCTGGGGACCAACACTGCAGGCCAAGGGAACAGGAAGTATGTAAAGTGCTCAGCCTGAGCCCCAGCACAAAAGGATAGTGATGGTGATGAGGAAGCCTTCATGCATTCAGCCTGAGGAGGTGGGGACCCTAGGGTTGATAAGCCTTGGGGAGATGGGGAGAAGAAAGAACATAGAAATAAGAGAAGGGCCAAGACTGAGTCTTGGGAGGTGGCAGGGCTGGGCAGATGAAGGATCAGAGAGTGGGGAGGACATGAGAGTGGGAAGGACAGCCAGTTTCTAAGAAACAGCATCCCCCGCAGCAGAGGGCCCAGAAGATGGTGACAACTGGGAGGCCACCGGGCCTGGGGGAGCAGAACAGTTCCCAAGAGGTCAGAAAGTGAGGACCAGGCAAGGCAGTTGAAGGAGTTCAAATGGGGTCCCTGCTCCAGAGCCCCTCAACTCTTCAATCTGAAAGGGTCCTTTCTGGCACGTCCCAGGAAGAACCAGGTTTTGCCTCCCCTTGCCCACAGCCCCATGGCAAGAGCTGCCCTGGTGCCATTCCCAGCCCCAGCTCTAGTTCCCCAGCCAGGAATATTCTGCTGATGCGGGTCTATATTTAGCAGCTGCTGCGAGGTACAGTCTGTTCTTGCTGTGCAGATAGCAGGGAGCAGAGCCGGAACGGGGCCTGGGAGGAAGGTGTGAGGGAAGGGAGGAGGCGGGGCGCCGCGAGGCCCCAATGCCAGAGGAGGAATTAACTTGTGTGTTTTAAAGGCCAGGCCTGCCAGCAGGCCCCCCACAGGGGCGACAGGGATGGCATTTGTGTGCTAATGAGGCATCACACGGGCTCCAGGGCCCCTTTTGCAGCATTTGGAGGGGACAGCAGGGGAGGCCAGGACAACAGCTGGAACTGGGGACGATGGGTGAAGACAAGGCTGCGGGAGCTGAGGCCAGGTTATAATTACCAGCCCCCGCCCACCACCACCCCAGCAGGAATAGAAATGTTCTCCGAGATTTCAAGATCTCTGCTGAAAATTGTCAACTGAGCCAGAGTCATCCATTTTACAGGGAGGGAATGAAACTAACATTTGTTGAGCACCTTCTAAGTGCCAGA
Organism: Homo sapiens; assembly: GCF_000001405.40. NCBI lineage: Eukaryota > Metazoa > Chordata > Mammalia > Primates > Hominidae > Homo > Homo sapiens. The sequence goes on along the minus strand of NC_000020.11, from coordinate 46,222,439 downwards.
TCCTGGGGTCAGGATAATGAAGTAGACCTGGTTTCTGCCCTCACGGAGCTTCTGCTCCAGCAGAGAAGCAAATGGATAGCTACACCCAGGCTGTGAGAGGGGCAGTGGAGGGGCACTGGGAGTCAGCCAGTCAAAACGTCATTTGAGCACTTGCTGTGTGCCAGGCCCTATAGACACGGGATGAACAAGACCAGCATGGATTTCTGCCTCTGTGAAACTTGTTTATGGAGGTACTCAATCCAGAACTTGAGGAAAGAGATCAGCAAGGCATCTCCAAAATGTGAGGCCTGCTGCTGGAAGCTTCCTCTCATTCAGTCCTCTCAACAGCCCTACCAGGTGGGTGTCTCCATTTCACATAAGAGGAAACAGAGGCTCAGAGAGGCCCAGGAACTTGCCCATGGTCAGCTAGCATGTAAATGGTGGAAAGAAGACTTGAGCCCATATCTGTCTGGCCCCAGAGTCCTCCTGCAGCCTATCTGAGTCTGTGCAGCCCCAGCACCTGTAGTAGGCCCTCGGCAAGACTGTAATGAATGAATGAGTGAACGGATGAAGTCAAAGAGCCAGAAGCTTTCAAGAACAACTTCATGGACTGTTTTGGAATATTTGTACCCCTAGATCTCTCAGAGGGCAATAGTCTCCACCGTGCTTCTCCCAACATCAGGAGGAAGACAGTGGAGTGGAACATAGTAGATAGGAAAATATGTTATCAATTCCTCCCCGCCCTGCACACGGCTGCTTACTAATGTGACTTTGCCACTGTTCTGGGCAAGAGGTGGAGTCTGTTTCCCTACCCCTTGAACCTGGGTTCGCCTGGGACTACTTTGGCCAATAGAATGTGGCAGAAGTGATGTTATGCAAATTCTGACATTAGGCCTTAAGAGACCTTGCAGCTTTCACGTTTACTGTCCTGGAACACAGTCCTGAGACTGCTATGTAAGGAAGCCAGCCTACTGGAGGATGAAAGAACCAATGTGTCCCCGCCGACAGCCAAGACCAACTGCCAGACATGTAAATGAGCCATCTTGGACCTTCCAGTCAGCTGCTCCTCCGGTTTAGGCTCAGATGCGTGAGTAAGCCCAGACAAAATCAGCAGAGGAATGGCCCAGCCAACTGGATTTCTCTATCAGTCATCTAGAGCTATGTAAAAAAAAAAAAAAAAGAAAAAAAAAAACCCAAAACCTGGTAGCTTAAAGCAACAATAATTTATTATTTGTCACAATTTGGTGTGTCAGCTTGGCAGTTATTTTGCTGGGGTCACTCATGCAGCAACAGTCAGCTGTCGGGTCGCTGGGAGTGACTTCACTGGGACAGCTGGCAGGACTAGGCCTCCCTCTCCATGTGGCCTTTTATCCTGGGCTTCTTCACAGTACAATGGTCTCAGGATTCCAAGAGGACAGGCCGCAGCATACAGGGGCTTATCAAACCTCTGCTTTTGTCACACTTGCTGATGTCCTATTGGCCAAAGCACACTTGCTGATGTCCCATTGGCCAGAGTCAGTGTGGGAGGGAATGACCCAAGGGCGTGGATACCGGAAGGTGTGGTTCACTGGGCACTGTCACCATAGCAACCTACCCTGTTCCCTGGATCCCGAGAACAAGGCCCAGGGGGCCCAACTCACACACACCCAGAGATGGCACCTGAATCCTACACACCACAAGGCTTCAGGACCAGTTTCCAAGTGAGAAGAGTGTCGTGTCCCCAGTTCCTCAGGAGCTGGAAGTGACAGGGACAGCAAAGAAGGCAGCCACGTGGAGCCTCTCTCACTCACAGAGGTGGAGCCAGGCCCCTGCTCCAGCCCCCACTCAGAGCTGGGACACTGAGCCTTTGGTGCCCAAGCCCATAGATACACAGTGACTCCACATCCTACCACGAATCCTGTACATTCACTGAGGTCCTGGATGGCAAGTGACCAGCACAAAGCTTAGCACACAGCAAGTGCTCGGCTAAAGTCACTCCCTCTCCACCTTTCCACCTGGGATCCCCTGCTCCCTGGCCTGGTGGCTGCTGCACTGTAAGCCTACCTGCCCTCCCCTCCCCACCCCCCACCATCTTTCTTCACCCTTCCTGCGTCTCCCTCTCTGTTTTCTGTATGTCTGTTCCCGCTCTCTCAGTTGTTCTTTGCCCATTTTTCTTCCCTCCTTTCTTTCTCTTCCTCTTTGTTTCTCTCTAGGTCTCTGTTTCTCTCTTACTGTCTCTTTCTGGGTATCTCTGGCTTTCTCTCTGGTTTATCTACCTCCCCCCGCAATCTTCCCTTCTCTGTTTTTCTGTCCCTTTCAGTCTCCCTCTCTGTCTGTTCCCCTCCCTTCCCCTCCCCTACCTTCCTTTCTTCCCTTCCTCTCTGTCTCTTTCCTCCTGTCTCTCACTAGGTTTCTCCCTGTCTCTCTTTCCCTGGGACTCCTTTTCTTCTTTCTCTCCTCTTCCCTGTCCATCACCTTCGCTCTCTTCCTCCCCTCTGTCTGCCTTCCATTCTCTCTTTCCAACCCCCCAGGGTGGAGAATATGACACACCCCACCTTCCCTGTACAGCCCCTGCTGTCCAGGGCTGCAAAGCCTCAGCGTCCTGGCTATGCACTTTCTACACGTGTGACCTTCAACAAGGTACTTAGCCTTTCCGTGCCTCTGTCTCCTCATCTATAAAACAGGTATAATCACAGGACCTTCCACATATGAATATTGAGAGGATTAAATGAGGCAATTCACCTAAGGTGATTAGAATAATGCCGGACACAGAGCAAATGCACATAAACATTAGTTGTTTTTATTACATGTAATTCTCATGAGATGAAATCCTATACGAGTGGTTCTCAACCAATCTTGCCCCAGGGTCCATTTGACAATGTCTGGAGACAGTTTTGGAACTAAGGCGACGGTTAGTGCTGCTGGCATTTAGTGCCGGGAGGCCAAGGATGCTACTAAATATCCTACAACATACAGGTCACACACACACACACTACAGAGAATTATCCTGCCCAAAATGACTGACTACAGTGCCAAGTTTGAGAAATCCTGTCATTTAAGTCAGTATGGTGGTTGTCCCATTTTACAGATAAGGAAACTGAGGTTCAAAGAGGTGAAGGGATTAGCTCAAAATCACATGACCAAAGAAATGGCAGATCTGGAATCTATCCCAAGGCAATCCACTGCCAAGACTCCCCTGTTCCTGGGAAGACCAGTGGTGGTAGAGAAGGGGTCAGGAGGGGGCCTACTGAGGCGTTGAGAAGGCCACTGATAGATGGTTTGTGTGACCCTTGATTAGGCAGAACACCCATTCCATATCTGCATGTGATCCCACGAAAGCAGGACCACCCCTTAGGTGCCCCACCTCTGGCTACCTACCACAGGTACACACAGAAATACACACACAAACACCACACATACACACACGCCCTACAGCCTCTCCTTCCATTCTGTTGCCTGTATGGGAGTCTGGGGACTGTTGGGGGACATCAGGTGTCAGAGCTTGGGTTTTATGGGGCGCAGCATGGGGCTGCTGGTGCATGACTCCACCTGGCGCACAGGCCCCGGGCACCACCTGTCACCACCTGGTGCTCGGCAGGTTGGAGTGGGTGGTGGGAGAGGCTCTGAATGCCTCATCGACTCCCCCGCCCTACCCTTGTCTCTTCTACTGGCAGGGAGACAAGAAGCCCAGTCTTCCCCACAGCAGAATTAATCTTGCGGTCACCCCCACGCCTGCTGCCCTCCCTGCTTCCAATAACAGCTTGGAGGACTGTCTGCTCCGTGATTAGCTGGTGCCTGGATAGAGGATCTAGGGCCTGGAGAGGGTTGGGGTGCACCTCTAAGGCTGGGGGATAATTTGGTTGTGGGAGGGGGTGTGAATAAGAATGTGAGGTGGTAGCTATGAGTGTGCATGTGTGTAAGGGACTTTGTATGTGTTCTTATGTCCATACACCACAAATGTGTGAACTACGTTGCATGTGTGTATACAGGTGAGTGTGACAGCATAGTGAGTGTACATGAGTGTGGACGTGAGTCCAGTTCACACCAGCCAAGCTGCTGCTCCATGCCTGGCTCTGGGCTGTGTGTTACTGACACAGGCCTGGTTCATGCATAGAATGTCAAGTGGGAAAACTGAGGCCCCAAAAGTGGGACTGGTTGCCCAGGGGAGTCACACAGTTGCTTTTGTGTTGTGTCTGTGTGTGAGAAAATGCAGGTGCAATGTGTGTGAGCAAGTGTGTTTGAAAGTGTATGTATTTGAGACCAAGTGCAGTGGCTCACACCTGTAATCTCAGCACTTTGGGAGGCTGAGGCAGGTGGATCACTTGAGGCTAGGAGTTTGAGACCTGCTTGGCCAACACGGCAAAACCCTGTCTCTACTAAAAATGCAAAGATTAGCCAGGCATAGTGGTGCATGCCTGTAGTCCCAGCTACTCAGGAGGCTGAGGCAGGAGAGTTGCTTGAACCCGGGAGGAGGTTGCAGTGAGCTGAGATCGCGCCACTGCACTCCAGCCTGGGCAACAAAGTGAGATTCTGTTTCAAAAAAAAAAGAAAGAAAAGAAAAAAGAAAAAGAAAAAAAGTGTATGTATTTCAGTGTGTGTATGTGTTACAGTGTGTATGAGAGTGTGTGTGTATATGTTAGTGTGTCTGTGTGTGTTTGTGTGGGAGGATGTGTATTTGAGAGTATGTGTGAATGTGTGTGGATCATTGAGTGTGTATTTGAGAGTGTATCTGTTTGTGTGTTTGTGTGTATGTGAGTATGAGTTATTTGTGAGAGTGCATCTGTATGGCCAGGTGTGAGTGTGTGTGTTTCTGTATGGATGTGTGAGTGTATCTGAGCCCATGTGCATTTCTGCATGGGCAGGTATGTGTGTGGGTGATCTGTATAGGCCTGTATGTAATTCTGTGTGAGTCTGTGAGTGTATGAGTGGCAGCATGTGACTGGATCTGTAAGGTATATGAGTGTGTGTTTGTGAGTGTATCTATAGGAGTGTGTATGAGTTTGTGAATGTTTCTGTGTGTGTGAATGTATCTGTGTGTATCTGTGTGTGTGTGAATGTATCTGGGAATAAACCTGTGAATAAACCTGTGTGTGTTATTCTGTGTGAGCCTGTGTGAATGTATCTGTAGAAGTGTATGTGAGTATATGAGCATGTGTGTACATCTGTGTGATCATGTGTGTATGTGTGAGTATCTGCATCCATATGAGCAAGTATGTGAGTCTATCTGTGTGACCGTGTGTGTGAGCATGTGTGAGTATATCTGTGTGGGCATGTGTATCTGTATCTGTATGAGCGTGTGTGAGTGTGTGTGGTGTACACTGAGCCCTGTCCCACATGGTGGACACGTGGATGTCCTTGTGTGGCCCACTCTCCTCCTGAGCTTAATTTTCCCAGGAGTCACAGGGTCTGAATCCCGCCTGTACAGGGGTCTCCACATCAGTGGGCAGGTGGTGTGGGGTGCCCTGGCCTCACCCTCACTCACCCACAGGCGTAATCCGGACGGCTGTGCCTGACCTTGACCGCGAGAGCCAGGAGCGCTACGAGGTGGTGATCCAGGCCACAGACATGGCGGGTCAGCTGGGTGGCCTCTCGGGCTCCACTACCGTCACCATCGTAGTCACCGACGTCAATGACAACCCGCCCCGTTTCCCGCAGAGTGAGTGAGGCCTTCCCAGAGGAAGGCGCGTCTGTGTGTCTGTCTGTTACCCCATCCAAGCCACCTGCTGACCCCAGCTTCCCTTTAGACTTCCCACCAAAAGAAGGGCTTCCCCCTCTCTTTCTGTCTGTCTGTCTGTCCTCCCAAGCCACCAGCTATCCCCCAGCCCCCCTCCAACCATGCTTCCTACCAAGGAAGACCCCAGGGCTGTCCGATGCTCCACAGAGCCAAGTAACACACCATCACCTTCCCAGACCTCCTCTTGCTTCCGGCAGAGGGGGAGCCCCACCCATCCACCCTTCCGTCCATCCTCCAACCCCTCACTGGCCCCTGCCCACTCCCCTAGCCACTTGTTGGGCCATCCCATGCCGCTGACCTAGGCTTGCAGAGGGAAGGTACTGGGGAGAAAGGGGGCACCCAGGGATCTAGGCAGAGGCAGCTCAGCCCCCAGACAGATAGAGGTTGTGCAGAGAAAAACTAAGTCTGAGTGACAGGCATTTCCCTCCTCCTCTGAGCCTGGGTAGCGCGACTCTGTGCTTCTGAATTAGGAGGCCTTTCCACCCTCTGCCTCTGCTGGCACAGCGGGGGTTGGGGGATGTCTCCGGCCCAGCCTCCCAGCTCCCTATCAGCCCAGCCAACCCCTCTGTCCCAGGCTCAGGCCGAGAGCCACTACAGGGAAGCCACCAAAGCTGGCAGGGACTAAATGCCGCAGGAGCTGGGCTGATTCCTATCGGGTGAGTCATTACTTGAGGTCTGCTGCTCTCACATTAGGCCCCGCCACAGGGGACTGACCCCCGAGAGATAAGGGAATCCAATCCCTTAGCTGAGAGCGCAGCATCATTGTGGCCTACAGCCTCAGCTCAGACACAGAGCGGAGTGAGCTGAGCTCACCAACCGGCTTCCCGGTGCCAGGGAGCCTGGCACAGAAGCCATCCCACTGCCCAATCTCCCAGCCCAGCCCCAGCCCCTGAAGGCAGCCCCATGCAGACGGGTGGCATGGGTGGGACGCACCCCCACCCAGTCTTCTGCCCACTTGTGCCAGGCTCTGAATGAGCTCTGAACTGGAAGGGGTGGGGCAGAGCAGAGAGGAGGCCAGGGCCCCCAGAAGGTTTGCTTTCCTGCTCGTCATTCCTTTCCTCCTTCCTTTCTTTTTCTTTCCGTCTTTCTTATCATGAACTATGGCACACAAAAACAACAGTTCAACAAATAATTATAAAGCAAACAATCCTATGACCACCAGCCAGGACCCCAGAAGCCCTAATATGCCCTTTCCTGATCATAGCCTCTTCCCCAACTCCTCCCTCCAGTTAGCCACTACCTGCTTTTGTGATGGTCATCTTTTGAGTCTGTTCATCTACGCAGGCATCACCAGTCACAAGTCTAATTTCATCCATTTTTGAACCTTATATAAATGGGATGAATCATACAATACAAATTGTTTTTGTCTTGCTTTTTACCTCTCAAAATTGTGTTTATGAACTTATGTTGCTGGTAGCTGTAATTTATTCATTTTCTTTGCTGTATAGTATTCCATAATTATCTATTCTGGGGGTGGTGGACACTGGCATTATTTCCAGTTTGGGGCCATTGGGAAGGAGACTGCTTTGAACCTTATTGCCCCAGGTCTCCAGGTGCCCATTTGCACTTGTTCTCTATGGATACAGAGGAGTGAAATTGCTGGGTCATGGGATGTACTCATCTTTAGCTTTACCAAATAAAGCCAAACTGTTTTCCCCCATGAGGAAACGCACATGTCCATTGTACCACATCCTCACTGACTCCTGGTACTGTCACGTTCTTTGATTTGTGTTAATCTGGTGAGTGTCTACTGGTAACTCATGCTGGTTTTCATTCATACACTCACTAGTCCCTCACACATTTCATTTATGCGACAGCCTGGCATTCTGCCAGGCACTGGGAATGCCTGATGAATAAGAGATGTGGTCCCTTTCTTCCAGCAGCTCATACCCAAGAGAGAGAATAAACAGAAAATGAGAGTAAAAACGCAGTAATTCTAACAATGGGATAAGCTTGGGGGCCAAGGGAGCACAGGAGCAGAGCCTGGAGGTCTGGGAAGGTTCCCTGGAGGAGGTAACATTCAGTGAGACTAGAAGGCAGAGCGGGAATTGGGAAGGCAAAGGCAGAGAGGAGGACAGGGAGAGGGGATGCCTGGAGGTGAGAGAGAGTGAGTCAGTTGCAGAATCACAAGAACTTCAGCAAGGCTGAAGCTAGAGATGGAGTGGGGATTGGAGGATGAGGCTGGAGAAGCCAGAAGGGGCCAGGCAGTGTTTTGTAGGGCAGGCCAAGGGACTTGCACAACTCCATCCCAAGGGCAATGGGGAGCTATAAAAGGGATTAAAGCAGGGGAGTGGCATGTTCATCTCGTGTTTCAGAAAGTGCCCCACCCCGGCTGCTGTATGAGGATGAATCAGAGGCAGCCACTCCACGCAAGGGTTACCAAGACCTGTGGAGCCCCCAAGAGACACATCCCCACAGACCCTGCTTCAGCTAGGCTGGCCCATCACTTAGCAAGTCATCCTCACCTCGACCTCAGCTCTGGTTGGAGAGCAAGCTGCAGCCTCCATCCCATCTGATCTCATTCCTTCTGGTTTCCCCTCTGCTCCTCCCCTCCAGCCACACAGCCATCTTGCCATTCTTCCAACATGCCAGGCACAGCACCCACCTCAGGGCCTTTGCACCTGCTGCTCCCTCTGTCTAGAATACTCTTTCCCAAATATCTGCTTGGCTCGCTCCCTCCCCACCTTCTGACTTTTGCAGAAATGTCATCTTCTCTGCAAGGCCTTTCTAGATCAGCCTATTTAAAACTGCGCAACACCCTCATCAGCACTCCCACACCTTCCCTGCTTTATCTCTCTCCTAAGTACCTATCACCATTGGACATACCATATGTTTCACTGATGTGATTGTTTAGTGTCTTTCCCTTTCTATTAAGAGGAAAGCAACATGAGAGCTGAGATTTTGGTCCATTTTATTTGTTGCTGTAACCGCAGTGTCTAGAACCGCATGATGTCTGGGGGCATCATAGGTGCTCAATGTATACATTGAAATGAAGGAATAACTACCGTTAACATCAACAGCAAAATCACTATGAAGCCCCACCATTTTAACACAATTTATTCTATTTCTTGAGTAGCTACCAAGTGCCAGGCACTGTACTAAGCATGTTACAGGCGTCATCATCTAAGTTAGTTGCCATAAACACACAGCTGTTAGGAAGGCACCATCGTTATTTATTTCCATTTTACAGAGGAGGAAACTGAGGCTCAGGGTTACACAGCTAGGACTGACTCCGGAGTCTTAGCCTTTATCACTGTGCTCCTCTGTCCCTGTCACTGGCTAGGTAGGGAAACTGAGGCCCAAAGAACTGCAGGCATTTTACCAAATCAACCAGTGAATAAACCCAAAGGTCAGAATTTAAACCCTCCTTTTGCACTGCCACCCAAACTTCTGCAGGGGACATTCCTCTCCCAGCCCCCATTCTGGCCAAGCTGAGAGCCCCTTTCAGGCACTGTCCTCCATAGAGGCTCACCTGGGCCCCCTTGTCCCCTCCCCCACTGCTGGCAGAGGCTGGGGAAGGGGCTGCCTTCATCCCTGCTCATGGCCGTGTCCCCCACAGAGATGTACCAGTTCAGCATCCAGGAGTCAGCCCCCATTGGAACGGCTGTGGGACGTGTGAAGGCTGAGGACTCAGACGTGGGAGAGAACACAGACATGACTTACCACCTTAAGGACGAGAGCAGCAGCGGCGGCGATGTGTTCAAGGTCACCACAGACAGCGACACTCAGGAGGCCATCATCGTAGTGCAGAAGGTGCAGCTGCCTCAGGAGGAATGGGGGAGGCAGGCCTCAGGGGTGGGAGGATCAGGGAGGCCTCTGGGCAGCCGAATACCCCCACCTCACTCCACTCAATGGATTAGTTCTCTCTAGAGGTCCAGGACCAACCTGGAAAAACACTGATGGTATCATTCCCCTTTTGCAAACCAGGCATAGAGAGGTGAAGTGACCTGTCTGAGGTTGCACAGCTGGTTCTCAGAGCCAGGGTTCAATCCAGATGGGAATCCACACCCTCAAACACTCTGACGTGTGCTTCACATCCTTGCCAGCCTCTTCACACTCCTCATTGCCTTTAATCCTCATATTTCCCTCTGAAGCTGAGGTTACTATCCTCATTTTTATAACTGAGAAAATAGATGCTGAGAGAGGTAAAGGGGCTTACCCAAGGTCACACCTGTAAGGCACATGGTAGAGATTTGAACCCAGGTCTAGTGACTCCAAAGCTCTTTCCTTCCTGAGTCTAACAGCCTTCCTTGCCCACTGGCTGGCCCAGGAACCAGAAACTCAAACTGCAAACTCAGCGATCCCTAGGGAGGTCAAATAAAGAGGCAAAAATCCATCTTCCAGGATTTGGTCAGGGGCTTGGCAACTCAGGGCTGCAAAGGCCATTAAGACCACCCACTCCGACCCCACTCTCCCATGGGAGGTCTAAGTCCCCTGCACTGGCCCACAAGTGGTCATAGGCCTTTGTTTGTATATCTCCAGCGACAGAATGCTCACTTTCTGCCACTGTCCAGCTCTTCTTCCTCCCATTCAGCCGGCATCTGTCTCCTTAAATCTGTGCCTATCAGCCTGAGCTCTGCCTTCCAACATCTGCCCTCAACAGTCCTTCTTTTGCTCAGCAAGCACATAATGACCCGCTCTTTACCTGGCATTGAGGGCTTGAGGATAGACAAAATGCCCAGTTCCTTCAGCTCCTTTCCAGAGGATAATAATATAATAGCTACTACTTGTGATAAAGTGCTTGCCACATGCCAGGCACCCTTCAACTACTTTCTGCGTATTAACTCATTTGATCCCTTCATCAACCCTCTGAGATGCTGTAATCGTTCATTTTATAGATGAGAAACTGAGGCCCCAAGAAGTTCGGTAACTTTCCCAAGGCCATGCATCTAGTATCGTTCAGTAGGGATACGGGCTCAGGGGGTCCAGCTCTAGAATCTCCCTTTTTTAAGCACTAGTGATTTTCAGTCTTTTGATCTCCGTTCATCCTTAACTGTTAGATGAGCCCATTTTACAGATGGAGAATTGGAGGCCCAGAGAAACCCAGCTTCACAGAGCAGCAGAATCAGGCTTCAAACTCAGCCCGGGGACTCCAGCACAGCATTTGCTCTCATCCCCTGGGCTGCTTAATCTCCCCCACCCCCAGCTCTCAGGCCCCCTCCTGCCGCCCACTCCAGCAGTGGCGCCTAGGGTGTCTCTGCGGAGTCGGTGATGGCTCAGGGAGCAGACTGATGGCCTGGCTCCAGAGTCCACCACTCACTCCTAGGCCAGGCCACCGCCTGCCTCCCTGCATCCTGATTTCCCAGGCAACAGGCTGGAGGCAGGACACGGCTGTTTTTGCTGCTGGAGAAGTCGGGGGTGGGGGATTCTGAGAGCAATGGGGGGACCCCATACACAGGGTAGGCACCTGCCTGTGAGTCTCCTGGAAGGTCACTCTTGCCAATCAGATCGCTCCCCCACCATGTAGCTGAGGTCCCTGCAGCTCCACGACATGGCTTTTTCGTTGCTATAGGCAGTGTCTTTAGACGGTCAGAGCTAACACACAGCCATGGAGCTCATTCATCAGAGGGTCACCCATTAGCACCCCCCGATAAGAAGCACAGGCTCAGCATGGATTTAGCCAGATCTCAGAGGAAAGCTCTAAGGCAGCCCGGCTTATCGGGCTCAACTCACATTAGTTGCTAACTCCTGCATACCAGGGAATCCTGGCTCTGCTAGGGACTCACTCACTGCCCGGTGACTTGGGCAAGTTACTGAGCCTTTCTGGGCCTCGTTTTCCTCATGTGTAAGATCAGATCATAAGAATACAAGCCTCTTAGGGTTGATGTCAAGTTGAGTTAATATACTTAAAGCACTGGCACACAGTAGGTGCTTTGTGTTCGTGAACTAAACTAATGAAATATGCCGCCAACACTGCGCTGGGAAGCAGGAAGTTTGGGTGCTCAGCGCGTTAGCCTGGAGTGGCTGTGTCCTTAGGCAAGACTGTCCTCGAGGATCCTCAGTTTCTCCACCCGTAACCCACCGGGTTGGTCTGGGTCAGTTCTGCAATGCAGCCCAAACATCCCTGCCGCCCCTGCTGAGACAACGTGTGACCTTGGGCCAACCCCGCCTGCCTTGGCCTCCCTCGTGAAGGCCTCAGTGTCCACCAGACCCCACCCACTAACCGGCCCTCTGCTCCCTCCCGCAGCGCCTGGACTTCGAATCCCAGCCCGTGCACACCGTGATCCTGGAGGCCCTCAACAAGTTCGTGGACCCCCGCTTCGCCGACCTGGGCACGTTCCGCGACCAGGCGATCGTGCGCGTGGCCGTGACCGACGTGGACGAGCCCCCCGAGTTCCGGCCGCCCTCCGGCCTCCTGGAGGTGCAGGAGGACGCGCAGGTGGGCTCCCTGGTCGGCGTGGTGACGGCGCGGGACCCCGACGCCGCCAACCGGCCCGTCCGGTGAGACCCCCGCCCGGGGCCGACGCCTGCTGCCTGCTATCCCGCCATCACCCCCGCGGACAGACTGCGGGCAGAGGGGAGGAGGGCTGGGGCGGGCAGGGCCGAAGGAAGGGGCTGCGTGGGGGAGGGAGGCGCGGAGAGAGGCGCACGGGTGGAGAGAAACAGGCACGGAGCCAAAGAGCCAAGGAAGCAGATGTGAGAACAGTCAATGAGACAGGCAGGCGAGCCAGGCCAATAAGGGAGAGAACCAGGAGGGACAGACACAGAGGCGGGCACTGCACTGGCGGGGTCTCCGCGCTGCTGGCTGCAGCCACACTGGCTCCCTGATCTCTCGACTGGGCCATCCCTGTGCCCAGGACTCCCCCAGTCTTCTCCCTGCACCCCCTTCCCTCTCATCATCTCCCTTGGTGTTCCGCTAGACACCTCAAACTTAAGTTCAGAACTGGGTTCCTGGTCTCTCCATCAAAAGAAAAAAAAAACCCACCAGTTTGCCTGCCGTTATCTCCATCTTGGGAATGACAGCTCTATCCTTCCAGTTGTTTAGGTTAAAAACGTTGGAGGCATCCTTGCCTCCTCTCATTCTCTCATGCCTCCCTTCAATCCATTAGCGAATTCTGCTGTCTCTACCTTAAAAATGGATCCAGAATCTGACCACTTCTCACCACCTCTGCTGCTACCACCTTGGTCCCGACCACCGTTTTCTCTTGCCTGGAGTATTGCAGTTGCCTCCTTGCTGGTGTCCCTGATTCTGTCCTCACCCCTCTTTAACCTAGAATTGTTGCAGGAGCCAGCCTGATCCTGCTCAAATGTGAACTAGAGCCTGGCCCTGCTCTGCCCAAGCCCTCCAAAGACACCTACTAGGCTCAGAATAAAAGCCCAAGCCCTTACAATGACAGCTCTGGCCTCCCTGAACCTCTCAGACCACACCTCCCTCTCCTTTCCAGTCCACTCTGCTGCAACCACACTGGCCCCCTCACAGCCTTGCAAACACACCACGCTCATCTGCACTCTGGGCCTGTGCTACAGCGGATCCCTCGGCCTAGAACGTTCTCGCCCTAATAGCCCCCATAGTTCGCTCTCTCACTTCCTCCAGGTCTTTGCTCAAAAGTCATCTTCTCAGTGAGACCTTCTCTGGCCACTCTTCCTAAAATTTCAACTCCACCCCAACCCTTAGCCCTGACTCTTCCTATCCCCTGTCTTCCTCTGCTGCTTCCTTATTACCTTTCATCACCATCTGACATGCTACCTGCTTTTCTGATTACCTTTTTTGTCTCTCCTACTGAAAGGTAAGCTGTCTGAGGGTAGGGATTTACGTCTATTTGTTCACCACTATACCCATAGGGCCTAGCCCAGGCCTCAGCACTCAGTGGACACGTGCTGAATATGTGGTGAATTAATGATATGTAAAAATAGAGGCCGGGTGTGGTGGCTCATGCCTGTAATCCCAGCACTTTGGGAGGCCGAGGCGGGCAGATCACCCGAGGTCAGGAGTTTGAGACCAGCCTGACCAACATGGTGAAACCCCGTCTCTACTAAAAATACAAAATTAGCCGGGTGTGGTAGCGCACACCTGTAGTCACAGCTACTCTGGAGGCTGAGGCAGGAGAATCGCTTGAACCCGGAGGCAGGGGTTGCAGTGAGCCGAGATTGCACCATTGCACTCTAGCCTGGGCAACGAGAGCAAAACTGTCTCAAAATAAATAAATTAATTAATTAATTAAAATAAACTAAAAAATAAAAATAAAGACTGAAAAAAGAGGCAGAAAAACAGACTCACAGAGATGTAGAGAGACCAACAATGAGAGGAAGAGACTGGAGAGAAAGAAAAGCCCATAAAAAGAGGACAGGAGGGACTGACCTGGCAATGTGGAAACAGAAGGGCACCTTGGAGAGGAAACCAGAAAAGGGAAGAAATAGACACAGACACAGGCAAGCCAGAGGCAGAGCAGGGATGGGGCAGCTGGGGTCCCTGGAAGGGTCTGGGAGCTGTAAGTATTGGGGAGTCTCTGACAGTAGCCTAGGCTGGAAGATGTTCAGATAGAAGAGGGAAGAAAGGCTGTAGAAGAAACTGATCCAGAGGAGGAGGTTAGGGGCTGGGGGGATGGCCAGTGTTAGAGGGATGGGAAGGAGGCACTGGGGCTCCCTGATTCATTCCCAAAACCCCTGTACCTATTCAATGAGTAACCCCTGAGCTGACTATGAGCCTAGCCCTGTGCTGGGCATTGAGGAGAGGGGGAGGGAAAGTTTATTTGAGGACCTCTGCATTGTGCAACTCCAGAGGGCAACGTTCCGTCATTGTCTGTCTGAATGGCTCTATCAGGATTGTGCAGTGCACAGCCTGTTCAACCTTACATGGCAGCCCTAAGTGAGACACACAGATGCTATCCTGCTTAACTGTTCATGGATTCTCAGACTGGGAGATAGCCCCAGGAGTCTGGGAAGACTTCTGAAGGAGGCAGGAATTGACCTGACCTAGGTATCTGGGTATGGTGTAAATATCAGGAGAGGCACATTCCAGACAGACGAACAGCTTGTGCAGAGGTATACAGGCAGAGGAGTGGTTGGTGTGCCTGAAGAAGAGCAGACTGTGATCGCTACAGGGGGCCGGGAAAGATGAGGCACAAAAGTGAAGTCTAACAGGGCCTCAGAGGCAGGCTGAGGAGCTCAGACTCTGTCCTGAAGCCGAGAATGCCCACGCTACTTTCACTACACTCGCTGCCAATGCCATCCTGTCACTGCCTCTGAACTCCTCCACTCCCTTCCACCCGGGCTGGTGGCATAGTCTCTGAACAACCCCCTTGGCCTCTGGCCTGGGCCCAGACCTCTCCAGGAAGGGCACTGTCACCTCTGTTTGTCTGGGAGTTGAGGCCCAGGGAGGGGAGGAGGATTCTGCAGGCTCTCCCAGGGAGGTAAGAACACGGAGCGGGAGGCGAGTCCTTGGCCCCAGGTCAGTCCTCCCATCTGCCAGCTCCCCTCCTCTCCAATTCCACTCTCCACACCCCCTCTCAGTCCTCTTCCTCCTCCCCGCTTTGGCTCCCTTCCCTCCTGCTTTTATCTGCACTGAAAGGGCCAACTTTGAAACCTGCTTCTCACCTTCTTTCATCTCTCTTTGCCGGCCCCTTCCCTGGGGCTCCTCAGATGTGGAGGCAGTGAGGAGCTGGAGACTGGTCCAATTTAACACCACAAACATTTACCCAGCTCCTCCTCCATGCCAGGCCCTGAGCCAGGCCTGGGGACACCAAGATGACTCAGCCAAGGACAGAACTGGGGTGGAGCTCCCAGACTGTGGGGTACAAAAATGGAAATGGGAGGCCATTGAGGGTCTGTGGGAGACAGAGAAGGGGTCCTCACAGGCCATGTGTGCTGCCAGAGTCCAGCTCGCTCTAAGGGTTCCATTCTGGCAGCACCTGCGTTCTCAGGGTCACAGGCTTAGGCAGCAACTCCGCATTGAGTTGTGCCCGGCACTGTTCTGTGCAGTGAGGAAGCAGAGATGATAAAACAGGATCCCTGCCCACGTGGAGTTTGCCTTCTCCTGCAGAGAGACAGACAGCAAATGGTTAAATGGAATAACTGCTGAAAGCACTATGAAGAAAATAGAGTGATAGGATAAGGAGGGATTGGGGCCACAGAGGGCCACTTTGAATTGAGTGGTCAGGGATGTGACACATGAGCTGAGATCAGAATGATGGGGAGCCATCCATGCAAAAATGTGAGGAAAAGCATTCCAGGTAGAGGGAACAGCAAGCAGAATGGCCCTGAGGCAGGAACAAGCTTGGCGTGTCCCTGGAAATGAAGACATGAGGTGGCATCCTGGGAGACTTTGCCTAGCATGGTTTGCAGGGCACAGTGAGTGCCTGGAAATTATAGGAAAGCAGACAGTACAGAGAGATTTTTTCTTAGCATCTGCACTGGAGATAGTAGAAGGTGCCTCATGTTACTACATTTACCCTTCAGAGGGTATTGTACTCATTTGACAGACGAAGAAACTGAGAGTCAGAGAGGGGAAATGACTTCCCAAAGCCACCCAGCTCAAAAGGGGAAGCACCGGGGTTTGACCCATGACTCACCACTTCCTGAATCCAGCCTTTGGCCATTTCACTCCTGCTTCTTACTCTCCTTGTGGTTAGTGCAGTTCCTAAACTGGTGCAGCGTCCTCCCCTGTGCACTGGCCACAGAGATGATGGCCTCAGACATGGGCCAGTGGGAAAGCTTGGCCCGTGTGAACGAATCCAGTGACAGGTCCAGGTCCAAGTGGGCTTGGGCTGAGGCAGGGGCTTGAGGAGCTCCAGGGAGGGGTGAGTAGTTTATGCACCAGGAAGGGGAGTGACAGAGGTTTGCCCCAAAAGGCCCCTGCAAGGGGACGAAGAGGACAAGGCTTGGAATGGGGAGAGTGTGCCCCAGGTTGGAGTGATGGGGAGGAGAGATGGCAGGGACAGAATCATGGAGCCAGGAGGTTAAGTTCAGGAGCAGCGAGACCAGCTGGACAAGCTCACGACAAGGGACAAGGGAGCACTTGGAGACAGGCTGCGAAGGACATTGAATGCCACATGAAGAAGTGGGACTTTATCCTCTAGGCAGTGGGAAGCCTTAGAAGGCTTGAGAAGGAGGCAGGAAAGTGCTCAGATGGGCCCACCTCTCAGTTAGGCAGGTTTGCAGATAGACTGGCCATTTATCAGCCCAGCCACGTTCCTACCTAGCCCCATTGTGAGTCTCCTTTGATCATCAAAAACAGCTAGTCCACACTGCAGCAGAGGAAGCGAACACTTCCTTTCTCCACCCAGCACTCCACAGTGTGGTGCAGCAGAAACTGCAAGGGCTTTGAAATCAGAGGAGACCTGGGTTCAAATCCCAGCTCAGTTGTGGAGTCTTGGGCAAGTCAATGCACCCCCTCTGAGCCTCGGTTTCCCCATCTCTAAAATAGACATCATAATAGTATGTGCCTCATTCATAGGTATTAAATGTCTACCACATACCAAGTTCTGTGCCTGGTGCTCTCAGGGTTGGAAGAAGGATTAAGTGCTTAGCATATAGCAGGCCCTCGAGAAATGGTCATTACCATTTTTCTTGGTGGTCTGCACACCCATTTTTTCCCTTTCATTCTGCAACTAGTGTTAACCACATACAATTTTCCAGGCATCATGTGTGGGCTTTTCTGTATATGCCTAAAGGGAGTGGGGGAAAAGAGTCACAGATAGGGTGGAGTGAGCAGAAAGGAATCCCTTGGTTGGGACAGTGGAGCAGGAGGCAGGCTGCTTTGTTTTGGAAGAGGCTCCCGAACTACACCCCGACACACACACACGAGCAGCTTGGGCGGCAGCTGCATCATTCAGTCAGCTGCTCGTATGTTCATGCACTCACACACAGGCACACCAGAAAGCCTGTATGTGCATAAGCCTGCAGCCTTCCCTATTTATTATGCCTGCATGCATTATATATGCACATATTTATGTAGAGGAAAACCACACGTGCACCCCAGCCAGGAAGCAGCACCCTCCCCATTTTCTCCACCCTAACCTTGACAACAGCAGCATTTTGTGCTGTTGCTAACACAGAAATGCTAGCAGGTGTACCTGGCTGGCTCCTTAAGAGGATGCTGTTAGACCTCCGGCTCTGAACAGACATGGGAGCTTGGCTCTGCCACTAACTAGCCCTGTGTGACCCAGGGCAAGATACCTGGCTTCTCCGAGCCTCAGTTTCCTCCTCTGTAAAATGAGAGTGATGACAGTATCTGAGGATTCGAAGAGCTCATGATACAAAGTCTTGCTCAACAAAGAAAAGTAAGAGCTAGTCTGTACACCAAGAACCATCTTAAGGATTTCTTGGTAGTCACTTGTCCGAACCTCACAACCAGCCTGTGAGGTAGGTATTACTATCTCTGTCTCTCTCTCTTTTTTTTTTTTTTTTTTTTTTTTTGAGACAGAGTCTCACACTATCTCCCCAGCCAGAGTGCAATGGCGCGATCTTGGCTCACTGCAATCTCTGCCTCCCGGGTTCATGCAATTCTCCTGCCTCAGCCTCATGAGTAGCTGGGATTACAGGCACATGCCACCACACCCAGCTAATTTTTTGTATTTTTAGTAGAGACGGAGTTTCACCACGTTGGCCAGGCTGGTCTCAAACTCCTGACCTCGTGATCCTCCCGCCTCAGCCTCCCAAAGTGCTGGGATTATAGGTGTGAGCCACCCTGCCCGGCCTACTATCTCCATTTTTAAGAGAAGGAAACTGAAGAACAGAGAGATTAGGTGACTTGCCCAAGGTCACACATCTAGGTTTCAAACCTAGGCAGATGGGCATCAGATCTGCACCCCTAAGCACCATTCCCAGGCCTCCCTTGCATGTGTGGGTGCACACACACACGAGCTGCCACAAACTCATATTCTCTCCCTATTCCCCCAGCCTCACCTGTTCTAGTTCCCCTTGCTGCCCTTCAGGTTGTTGTCACCAAATGAGAAGTAGGACTGCAAAATTTAAGCAGAACCTTCTAGACCCACAGCTTCCTCCTGTCCTTCTCAGACTACTGTGTCCCTACATCTTACCTCCCCGCCCCCAGGCATGCAAGCCACACACTGGGTTGGGGGGACTCCTGTGTACTCCCTGCCAGACATCTCTGAATAATAATTACAGTGACAATAGTTCCCATTCATGGAGTAATTTTCCTGGAACTCAGCTAGGCACCTTACATGCGTTTCATTCTCCCGACAACTTACAAAGTAGGATTATCATCTCTATTTTGCTGGGAATTAAAGATGGAAGTGACTTGCCTGGGGGCAATGCAGACCTGGATCCAGACCCAGGGCTGAGCTGCTGCCTCTTGAGCCACTGCTCAACTATAATGCACAATCTCACACACACAGGAACACCACTCACATATTCACGCCACACAAAACACACACTGTCCACCCACAACACAGACCAAATACACAACCCATGCGAGCACTACACGTGAGCTGCACAAGCTTCGCCCCCACCCCACCCCTCCACCCCTAAGTTTGCCAGGCCACAGTCCCTGCCACACACTGCTTCCTCCCACCCCTCCCTGCTTCCCTCCCTCCCACTCACTCTCTGGCTCCCTGAGCTGGAATAAAAACACCTGGGCTCAGCCAGCCAAACTGACCCCCAGCCCCAGGTCTTTAGCTAGTTAATGGCGGGTCCCCGCTGCCCCCGCCCTATGGCCTTAGGAACAGCTGCCTCCATTTAGATTCCAGCCCCTCCCTTCCCCTCGAGGAAAGAACAAAAGAGAAAAACAGGGCAAAGGAGAAGGAGGAAGAGGAGGAGGAGGAGCAGCAGCAGCATGGAGGGAGGAGAGAGGAGACAGCTCTGAGCCAAGAAGGGAGGAGAAACAACAAGAAGGCAGTTGGCATCCTCCCATCAGCCCGGCCTCTCGCCCAGCCCTGACGAGGGATCAGAAGCCCAGGCTATGTCATGTCTCTGGTCCTCTCCTGGCCTCTATCCTCCAACCTGTAGAATGGGAGGAGGTCTCCAAAGTTCTTTCCAGCTGAGCTGATGATGCTCAAGAGCCTCCTTCAACCTCCTTTGGACTCAGATATCTGATGGGGCCAGGCTGGGGCAAAGGGGACCCTGAAGCTTCATGCATCGAGGATTTGGCTGGTTCAACTTTGGATGGGCTGTCGGTCAGGCTAAAAAGAACTCTGGCGGCCGGGCATGGTGGCTCACACCTGTAATCCCAGCACTTTGGGAGGCCGAGGCGGGCGGATCACAAGGTCAGGAGATTGAGACCATCCTGGCTAACAAGGTGAAACCCCGTCTCTACTAAAAATACAAAAAATTAGCCGGGCGTGGTGGCGGGCGCCTGTAGTCCCAGCTACTCAGGAGTCTGAGGCAGGAGAATGGCATGAACCCAGGAGGCGGAGCTTGCAGTGAGCCGAGATCGCACCACTGCACTCCAGCCTGGGTGACAGAGCAAGACTCCGTCTCAAAAAAAAAAAAAAAATTAAACTCTGGGAGAGAATCCCCAATTTGGTTTCAAATTTCAGTTCTGTGACAGAGTCGCTGTACACCCTTGAGCAGGGCATCGGCATCACTAGCTCATTGTCACCTTTGTATAAATAAGAAACAGGCCCCCCTTTGATACTTCCTGGTCTAGGACACGTGGCTGGGCAAGCAGAAGGCTCGCTGGAATTCACCCCTGCTTCCCCACTTCGGCCTGGTATCTTTGTGCATGACACAACCTGCACAACCATACTTGGCAGCTCTAAGCTTGGCAAGTTTCCTCTCTGGACCTCAGTGTCTTCATCTGTAAAATGGGGGAGATCACATCAGCCTCATAAGATGCCTGACCGAGACCTCTTCTATCTCACTTGCCACTTTATCCCCAGAGTCTAGCACAGACCAGCACAGAGAAGGCACTCAATTAGTGTTTAGGGCATAAAGGAATGAATGGAGGGATGGTTGGGGGAGAAGCAGGCTCCAAACTGTTAGGTGCATGCTAGGGAGGAATTATAATCGTGGGTCTGAACCTCCCCACGTACTTTCGCCCAGGCTAGCGGGACTCAAGGTGGCCAGGGGCAAGAAGAATATGGGTTTAGCAGTTTAGGAACAGTATGGAGCATTAAACTGGGGGTTCAGGGGATCGGCTTATAATGCCCACTACACCCATAGGCACATCCCTTTATAGTTTGCCATAGGCATTCACCTCCAGGACAGTAAACATGAAAAGCATAAGGACTGTCCTGTATGCCCGCCCCTCCTCTAACACCACAATGTGGGGTGAGTAGGAGTCATCCTCTTTTTCAGGTGAGCAAACAGAAGCCAAGGAGTGACTTGCCCAAGGTCACACAGGTAGAATCAGTGGCAGAGGATTCAAACCCAGCTCTGACTGCTTTCAGACCCACGAAGTCCCAGTGGGTGTCAATATCCCCATTTCAGAGATGGGGGAGTTGAGGCCCAGAGAGGTTTGGCAATGCAGCCAAGGCCTCACAGACGGGTCATCTCAGGGCTCTGGGCCCCAGCAGGCAATGCTTCTGGGGTCCTCCCCTCCCCACTCTGGGAGACTACAAAAAGGCCCCTTTCCTCCTGCCTGTGGGAGGGGCCGGGTGGCTGCGCAGGGGCCCCTCCTTACCAGGCTGCTTTGTCCTGGCGCACAATGAGCGCTTGCTTGGCATTCGAGGCCTTTGTCCGCGCGCAGCCTCGCGGCGCCCCCACCAGCGTTATCAGCATGGGGAAGCGGAGGCCGGAGCTGGCGAGGCCTCTCTGGGCCGCCGCCGCCCGAGACATGTGTTGGACACGGGCCTTTAAGGCCTGGAGCCGCCACACAAAGGCCCGGGAAGAAGGCGGAACAAAGGGCTTTTTCACGCGGCAACGGAAAAGCTGCAGATTAGCTCGCGCGTGCTGCGCAGGCGGGAGGAGCCGGCGGCCGTGTCCCCAGGCCCCCTCCCACGGCACTCGCCCAGCGCGTGTCCCTGGGCGTGTCCACGCCGCGGCCCCCAGAGAAGCCTCCTAATGCCACAACTGCCCCCCTCTCCCCTGCTCAAAATTCCCCGTTGGCTCCCCAGTACACGCCAACTGTGCTGTGCCGGTGTGTTCTGGTGCCGAATTCTCCCCACTTCCCGGTTCGAACCATTTTGCAGTGTTTGCCATTTCTGGGATAATTCTCAGCCGCCGCGCCTTTGCACCTTCTGTTTCCCCTGCCCAGAACGCCACCCACACTCCCGGTCTCTGCCTTCAAGCTCAGTTCCAGGGGCACCTCTTAGGGAAAGATAAGAATCGGCAGGGTGCAGTGGTTCATGCCTGTAACCTCAACACTTTGGGAGGCCAAGGCGAGCGGATCGCTTGAGCTCAGTAGTTCGAGACCAGTGTGGGCAACATAGCGAAACCCTGTCTCTGAAAAAAAAAAAAAAAAAATTAGCTGGGCGTGGTGGCACGCACCTGCAGTCCCAGCTACTCGGGAGGCTCAGTGAGTCAGGAGGATGGCTTGAGCCCAGGAGATGGAGGCTGCAGTGAGCCGTGATGGCACCATTGCACTCTACCCAGGGTAACAGAGTGAGACCCTGGCTAAAGAAAGAAAGAAAAGAGGGCCGGGCGCGGTCGCTCACGCCTGTAATCCCAGGCACTTTGGGAGGCCAAGGCGGGCAGATCACGAGGTCAGGAGATCAAGACCATCCTGGCTAACACGGTGAAACCCCGTCTCTACTGAAAAATACAAAAAATTAGCCGGGCGTGGTGGCGGGCACCTGTAGTCCCAGCTACTCGGGAGACTGAGGCAGGAGAATGGCGTGAACCCGGGAGGCGGAGCTTGCAGTGAGCCAAGATGGTGCCATTGCACTCCAGCCTGGGCGAAAGTGCGAGACTCCATCTCCAAAAAATAAGTAAATAAAATAAAATAAATAAACAAAAAAGAAAAAGAAGGAAGGAAGGAAAGAGAGAGAAAGAAAGAAAGAAGAAAAGAAAAGAAAAGAAAGAAGAGAGTATCAGTGAGTCTAACTGTGCCAAGCATTTTGCCAGCTTCCAACCCTCACGACAACTGCAGGTACAAATTATTAGCTCCATTCCAACTGAGGAAACTGAGGCTCAGAAAGGTTGAGGGCTGCCCATGGTCACAGCAGCTACCCGTGCAAGTGAAATGCACACCCAGTTGCTTCCCGCTCCTCCTCGGTCGCAAGGGGTTTCTCTGCCCCTTGTGTGTGTCCAAGGCAGGCGGTCCCTCTCTTGGAGTGGGGTTGGGAGAAAAGGACATGGGCTCCATTTGGCACTGGGGCACCTTCAATCAGCCCTGCCCTGCCCCCCGCAGGTACGCCATTGACCGCGAATCAGATTTGGACCAGATCTTCGATATCGATGCGGACACA
This sequence comes from Homo sapiens, assembly GCF_000001405.40. Taxonomy (NCBI): domain Eukaryota; kingdom Metazoa; phylum Chordata; class Mammalia; order Primates; family Hominidae; genus Homo; species Homo sapiens. The sequence goes on along the minus strand of NC_000020.11, from coordinate 46,199,501 downwards.
GGCGCCATCGTGACTGGCAAGGGGCTGGACCGCGAGACGGCCGGCTGGCACAACATCACAGTGCTGGCCATGGAGGCGGGTGAGCTGGGCGCCACGCCCCCTCCAAGGGCAAATATGGGGCCCAGGAGCAAAAGCTGAAGGGAGGGGCCAAGGGCTGGGGGCAGGGCCAAGGCAGCCCTGTCAGTCAAAGCCCACGGGGGAGGGGCCAAAGGTTGGGGATGGTGCGAAGAGAAAGAAACTAGACAAAGATCTCACAGCGGTGAAGGCGAGGGCAAAAGCTGATGGGTGCGAGCAAAGATCCAGCAGGGTTGCAAGTCAAGGGAGTAGGGCTGGTTCCAAGTCAAGGGGGTAGGGCTGGTCTCAAACTAGGCTTTCTTCTCTCATCATTAATTGAGCATCTGCTACGTGCAAGCCCTGTTTTAGGGGTTGGGGATCCAGCCTTGAACATGACAGAAAAGCTTCTGTCCTCATAGGGAGAACAAGACTATCAACAGAGAGAAAGCACGGACATAATATGTCAGGTGATGCTAAGTGCTAAGAAGAAACAAGGAGAGAAGGAGGCTGGGAAAGGGAACTGGGAGGAGGAGGTGCGTTGCTTCTCTTAGGGGAACATCTAAGAGATGAGGAAAAGACATTTCAACAAAGACCTCAAAAGGGGAGGGAGTCATGCTGACATCTGCAGGAAGAGCATTCCAAGCAGGGGGAACAGCCAGTGCAAAGAGGCCCTGCGGTGTAATTTGCCAAGCACGTTGGAGGAACAGCAAAGAGGCCAGTGTGGTTGATGAGGGGCAGCGTGGTCAGCCAGAGCCACTGGAGAGTCTTTGGACTTTACTCCAAATGAAGTTAGAGTCATTGGAGGCATTTGGGGAGAGGAGGGATGTTCTCCATCAGGGTACCTCTGGCAGCTGCATTGAGAAGAGCCTGGAGCCTGAGAGGGAAACGGGGCCTTAGCTAGAAGCTGAAAGCAATAGTGCTTGGGAGATAGGACCATGGCCTGGCCCAGGGCAGTAGCTACAGAGGAGGGGAGGAGGAGGTGAGAAGTGGCTGGCTTTGGGATACAGGCTGAAGATAGAGCCAGTGGAATCTGCTCATGGGCTGATGTCCCGGGGAGAGATGGAGAAGGGTCAAGGATGACTCCAGGGTGTTTGGCCTGAGTTTCTGGAAGAATATGTGTGTGTGTGTGTGTGTGTGTGTGTGTGTGTGTGTGTGTGTGTCTTTTTGGTGCAGCTAGGGAGAAATGTGAGCTGGGAGAGAAAGAGAGAGAGCCTGAGACATGGCATCCAGGTAAGTAAGGCTGTGGAGGTGAGGAGCTGAGAGCACTGGGAGAGAGGCCAGGGGGAGTGCCCTTGGGCTTCCTCCATGCCCAGAGCAACACTGCCACTGTCATGGCCTCCACCTGCTTTCCCAGCTTCTCTACCCCATCAGCCCTCAAGGTCTCAGGCATCAACAGAGCCACCAATAAGCAATCATGACAACAGGAATATGGTTGAGTCTCTGAGCTGCAGGCGGGTAGGCAACATTCAAACTCGCCTCTGCCCATCAGGATCCCAGGCCCCTCTGCCCCAGGCCCCTCCTGACCCAAGCTCCTCCTGCCAGCCCTCTTCCTCCTCCCCTAGCTGCCATCCCCCCATTTCCCAGGCCCCACTGGCCCATTCTGGGGTCAAGGAAGTCCCTAGGCTGAAGTTCCCTTCGTCTCTTTCAACTGCAGTTTAAAAGGAAATACAAAGCTGGCTCAGACCTCAGTGACTGCTGCTCTGGAGCCTTTGAATCCACTCCTCTACCGCATGAAAGGGAGATAACAAAGGTGGCTGGAGAGGAAGTGGTGGCTGGACTTGGGGGAAGAGAGCTCCCCCTCCTTGCCTCCTCAAACCTGTTCCCTGGGTAGCAACTGAGGCTCTGGGCTGTAGATGGAGTGAGGGAGGACTGGCCTGGCTGCTGGGCAGGGATGCCTCCTCTCCCTACTCACAGATACACGCCCCTCCGCCACCAGCCTATCACCGGCCCAGTGTCCCACCACCAGCAACAATCTCCTCTTGGGTTAAGCATTGTGCTTCTACCCAGTGGGTCTCTTTCAGAAAGCAGCTAGAATAGCATATGAAGCCTGTAAGGCTGCCATTTCATAGGAGACAGAATCGGGGGAGGGGTACTCCTCCACAAACATTTTACAATTTTTGCTTCATATGTATATATATATATATATATATATCCTGGCCTAGATGCTTTCCAGCACATACTTTATTGAATTATCATCAGTAGCATGATTAGCACCCATTTTCCTGATGGGAAAATTGAGGCTTGGAGAGTTTGGAAACTTGCTTGCCAAAGATGTGCACTGGCAAAGCTGGGATTTGGACCAGGCATGCTTGGTCCCCACGGCATTGCTGCATGGCCTCCCTTTTCTGGGCACTCTCTGCTGTCTGAGCCCCACCCCCATCCCATCCATCAACCCCAGTAACTGACTGTGGGGAAGGAGATGTATCTCTGAAAGGAGAAGACTAGCCACTGGGCTCGAGACCCCCCTTCTCTGAGCTGTGATCCCCAGCCCCTGCCCACTCCTCACCCAGGATATTAATTAATGGGAAAAGGAATGGTTTTGCTTCAGAGAGCTGGTGGGAGGATCAAACAGCATAGCTCATGGGAAGAACTTAGCCTAGTGGTTGGTGCTTAGTAAGTGCTCAGTTGATGGTATCTGTAGGTCTTGACTCTGTTCCGGGCCCTTTCTTGTGATGAGCTCATGAAATCTTCACCCCTAAGGGGTGTCCATTCTACTGCCATCTTCACTGTGGGGATGAGGAACCTGACTCAGCAAGGCGAAGTCATTTGTCCAGGTTCCCAACCCCAGCCTGCCTGACTCCAGAGCCCGGCTCTCCTCAGCTGCCCCTCCAGTCCTGTTTCCCTGGTGCTGGCACAAAATCAAGAGCTCTCACAGGCCAGGCACAGTGGCTCACGCCTGTAATCCCAGTACTTTGGGAGGCCAAAGGGGTCAGATCACTTGAGTTCAAGAGTTCGAGACCAGCCTGGCCAACATGGCGAAACCCCATGTCTACTAAAAATACAAAAATTAACTGGGCATGGTGGCGTGTGCATATACTCCCAGCTGCTGGGGAGGCTAAGGCACGAGAATCGCTTGAACCCAAAGGCAGAGGTTGCAATGAGCCAAGATCATGCCCCTGCGCTCCAGCCTGGGCAACAGGCAAGACTCTGTCTCAAAAAAAAAAAGCTGCCACAAATAACTGACCCACTCTTCCTTTTCACCATCTCCATGAGATGGGAACAAACTTATTATCCCCATTTTACAGATGAGGAAACAGAGGCTCAGGGAAGAACAGGGATGGCCCCAAGATCACAGAGCAAGTCCTGGCAGGGGCAGGCTTGACCCAAGACCTCCGGCTTCCCAGGAGCCAGCCAGAGCCCCAGGTGCATGGCCATCGGGTCTGCCCACCCAGCCCCATGCCCTCCTGCCAAAGCGTCCATTTGGCTTCCTCAAAAACAGAAGGGAAACTCAGAGGGTCATGGTGGCCCCACCTGCTCCTGGTCATAATAAACATGAGGTGACAAGAATCAGAGGGGAAATATTTATACACAGCGGCGGCGCTTGGTGAGCACCTCGGAGAATGTTGCACTCAGCCAGGAGCCACCGCCTGTCATACTGGATTACCTCAAAGACTCCCGAGCCACTTAGTATGCCGGCTCCCCTCTCCCCGAACTTCTGAGTCATCCATTCTGCCCATGCAGACGCTCCTTCCACTGACATTATCTTTAACGTTTTGTAATCATGAAATATTAATGACTGATATTGAATTTAAAGTACAATTTGTGTCTGAATCCTTCGGTGGAAAGGGCAGTTGTAAAGGGACAGTCTTCAAAGAGACTGGGTGGGGGGGGGGTCTAGGGGAGACTTGGAAAACCAACACTGGGAGGCGGGAGTGCCAAGGGGGGCACCCAGCCACACTCTCAAGAGTCATCCAGCCCTAAGCTGATCTGGAGGGGTAATAGCTAGATGTCCAGGACAGCAAAGGGTTAACCAGACTCGCCAGAAGCTTCCCCATCTGGGTCACCCCAGGCCAAGTCACGTCTCACAGCACCCTGCTTTTCCCTTCATGCCACAGAGCACGTGTTATGATTTTTAGATGGGTCTGTGTGAGTATTCAGTGAAGATCGCTCTTCCCTGGGAAACTGTACCTTCCATGAGGGCAGGGCCCAGTCTATACCTGCAGCACACACAGGCCAGGCACACAGTAGGCATGTGTGTTTACCGAATGGATGAATGAATGGGCTTGCATGCCCAGTTGGAAAAACAGGAATGCATGATGGAGAAGAAATGCTTCTAGTCGCATGGTTCCCAGTTGGGTGGGCCTGGACAGGTCACTCCCATCTTGTTACCTTGGTTTTGTCATCTACAAAATGGTGACAATCATACTTAGTTTACCAGATAGCTGTGACAATGGTAACTATTAATAATAGCAGCTCCTGGCTGGGCACGGTGGTTCACGCCTGTAATCCTAGCACTTTGGGAGGCCGAGGCAGGCGGATCACCTGAGGTCAGGAGTTCAAGAGCAGCCTGGCCAACATGGTGAAACCCCATCTCTACTAAAAGTACGAAAATTAGCCGGGTGTGGTGGTGGGCACCTGTAATTCCAACTACTTGGGAGGCTGAGGCAGGAGAATTGCTTGAACCCAGGAGGTGGAGGTTGCAGTGGGCCGAGATTGCACCACTGCACTCCAGCCTGGGAGACAGACCGAGACTCCATCTCAAAAAATAATTAATAATAATAGCAGCTTCTATTTACTTAAAGCTTACAATATGCCAGGCATTGTGCTGAGTGCTTTCTATAAAACATAAATCCCCCAAGGATTAGAAATAATGTGCCTCAAGTGCCTAGCGCAGGTGCCTACTGTGTGCCTGACACACAGTAGGTGCTCTTAATAGTCAGGGAGAGAATCTGAGAGGAGAGGGAATGTCAGAGATGATGGGCTCCAGCCCTATACCCATCCTCCAGCCCCATACCCAACCTGGGGAGACAGACGCCAAGGAAGGGAGTTCCCCCATGAGGCTTTCTGACTCCCAGTCTATGCCTCTCAGAAGGACCATAGAGGAGGCCTAAGGAGGCTGGAGAAAGGGACAGGGATGAGGAGTGAAGGTCACAGTGGGGTCTGAGCAGCAGAGAGTGCTCAGTTTCTCCTGCAGGGACCCACACACACACCAACAAGCCATGTACCCGCAGCCAGTGTTTTCTGGGGCCTCTTGTCACCCACCCCAGCCAGGGCTGGGCTCTGAGACCCAGTGATGAACGAGGCTTGGCCACTGACCTGAGAGTTCACGGGTGGGCGGGGAGAGACCCATTGACAGTCAGTGACAACACACAGTGAAAGTCATGGGGTCGCGGCGATTCCTGAGGAGCAGGGAGAGACTGGCCTACCCAGCGAGGGCCAGAAAACCCTTCCCAGAGGAGGGGACATCTATTTTTTTGTTTTTGTGTGTGTGGTTTTTGTTTGTTTGTTTGTTTTTGGTAAAGAGGGGGCTCTCACTCTGTTACCCAGGCTTGTGTCCAACTCCTGGGCTCAAGCAATCCTCCCACCTTGGCCTCCCAAAGCACTGGGATTACAGGCATGAGCACCAGCACCTGGCCAAGAGGACATCTGAGTTGGGTTTCAAAGGCCAAGGAAGTTTTTCCATGGGCAGAAAGGGGATTCAGGTGTTCCAGGCAGAAAGGGGATTCAGGTGTTCCCAGCAGAAAGCCCCCTGTGTGCAAAGGCCTGGGAGCTTGGATGTCTGAGGCCATTCTGAGAACAGAGAGGCTGGGTGTGGCCAGGCTCTGGAGCTGAAGGGTGTCCAGAGCAGGTGAGGCAAGGGGTGAGTGAAGAAGCTCACTGGGCCTGTACAGAAAGGGCCTTGGTGTCCCATGAGGAACCAGACATCTCCTGGAGGTGACAGGGAGCCAGCACAGGTCTTTGAGCAGAAGAGTGGCGTGATCAGATGTTTGGTCCCCAGTGTTCCCTCGGGTTCATGGGGAGGATGGCTTGGAGGGGGCAAACATGGAGTCGGGGGAACATATGGGAGGCTGTCAGGCTCAGCTTTGGGCTGGAGGGTCCAGGGCAGGACCAGGGCAGGTGGTTGGGAGCTCCAGGGAGGCTGCCCGGGAAAGAGACATGTCACAGCTCTGCATGGAAGGGGCTGCTTCAAGAGACAGTGAGCTCCCTGTCACCAGAGGTGTGCAAATCAGGCCCAGGGTCCTCTTGGACTGGATGACTCCTGGGATCCTGTGCCACCTTGAGTCCCTAACGGACCCCAAGGGGAACAAAGATTTTGTGATATACATGGAGTAGGACAGCCCAGAACATTAGGGACCAGCTCAGCCACTGGGGAAGGAAAGTTCCCACATCTCCCCTTTGAATTTCAGGGATGTTATGATTTCAGGGTCCCTGCTTCACCCAGAAGTCCTCCCCCACCCCTTCCTTGGAGGAATAAACGTCCCCCCAATAAGGTCAAAGCTTCCAGTCTCCATGTGGAAACCAAATAGATCACTGAAGTCCCTTCAAGGGACAGAGAAGGGCACCTGAGCCTCCTGCTCCCACTGGGGGGGGGCATGGGGACAGGGCAGGGAGTGCAAGGAGTTCGCTTCTGTCTACCCTGACACCCCCTTCCCTGGAGCACCCCCATCTGCTCGTCCCGTGCGCCTCACTGTCCTGCCTGCTTGTCTTGGCGGGCTTGTAATTGGGATGATAAATCTTCCTGCCCAGCTGGCCAGCTCTAATCAGAGCCTGGTGTTTGGATGCAATTTAACTCCCTCGGGGAGGAGGGAGGGGCTGGGGGGATAGTGGAGAAGAGGGTCCAAGCTCTGCTCTATCCCTGCCACTGCAAGTGAGAGGGAAGGCACTTTCTTTGAGCTGACCTCTCTCCTCTCTCTCTCTCCCCCTCCCACTCCACCCCCCACTCTCCTTCCCACTCCCACTCTTGCAGCTTCACTTCTCTCTTTCTCTCCAGGCTTCTGTCTTTCTCTGTGACAGCCAAGGAGAGCCACAGAATCCAACTCCATTTGTTTTACTGATGAGAAAACCTTGGTCAAGAGACAGAGAAAGAGAGAGGCAGGAAGAGGGTCCCAGCACTAGACTGTTTCTGAAATGGAGGGGACCCAATCCCTGATACAACAGAGTCAGTTCATCCAAGAAGGTCTCAGTTTCTCCCCCTGCACCTCCCCAGCATCCCTCCTGGAGCGTGGCCATGGTCAGAAATGCCACAGACAGTGGAATCCATTCATTTGACACATCTTTATTAAGCATCTACTATGTAGTGTGCACACAGTTGCTGGGGATACAGCAGTAAAGAAAATATACAAAAATTCTGCTTACATACTAGGGGAGGAGATAGAGGATGAGAAAGTTAAATAAAAACAGAGGGTGCTGGGTAAATGCTACAAAGAGGAATAAGGCAGGGAAGTGGCATTTGGTAGGATGGCAAAGGGCACATGGAAATAAGGTCTTTAGGGGAGGCCTCTCCTAGAAGAAATCTGGGCCAAGACCTGAAGGAGGTAAAGGAGCAAACTTGGAGCAGAGTGAAAGAAGGAGGGAGGGGTAGCAACGAGGCCAGAGAGACCACAGCAGGATGATCATGGGGGGCCTTGTGGGCATGGGGGACTTGGGCTTATCCTTGGATTGCCCAGAACTGAGAGCAATCAAGGAAAGCTTCCTGGAGGAAGCAGGGAAATTTGTTCAGGGCCTTGAAGGCAAGATGGATTCTGACAGCTAAAGACAAGAAAGGCAACATCATGTGGTGGTTAAAAACTCCCCTTTAAAACCAGACCCAGGTTCGAGTCCCAGCTCCTATGAGACTTTGGGCAAGTTTTCTCACCCCTCTGAGCCCGTTTCCTCATCAGTAAAACAGCAACAACAGCACTCCCTGCCTCCCACCGTGGTTGACAGGACGAAATGGGGCAGCCCAGACCCTGGTCCTTGGCATGTACTTAATGTGTGTTTGTTGCCATTCTTCCAGGGAGGAGCACATTCATAGGAGCGCCCTAACAGGGGCACCAGGCCAGGCCCCGTCTCCTCTTGCCTTCCCATTGGCCCCCATCCCCATCCCCACGCCCACTCAGGTTGGTCCAGATGTCAAATGAGTAACTCTAGTAGGGGCTGGGATCCTCCTTGGAAGAGATCCAGAGTCTCATTATCCACATCCTCCCCTCCCACCCCAGGGCCTTTGCACGTGCTGATCCCACTGCCTGAGACAGTCTTTCCTTTCCCATCCCCCTCATACAATTACTTCCCAGTCAGGACTCAGCAGGACTCAGCAGAAATATCATGTTTTTCCAGGAAAAACATCCTGCATCCCACCAGGCAAGACCCCCTGCTCCAAGCTCTCACAGCTCCTTAACTTTTTTCCCTCAGCTCTTATCACAGTCTGGAGTAATGTCTGTACCTGCCACTAGAACGAGACCATGCTGTCTTGTTCACTGCTGAGTCCTTGGTACAAAGGAGATGCTTGATCCACAACTGTCAGCAAAAACCACAGGTTTCAGTTCCAGATTGTCCAGTCCAATCCCCTGTCCATTATACAGAAGAAACTCTGAGGCCCAGTGAAGGTGAGAGACCTGCCCCACTGCACAGCAGTTCTCCTGCCCCGAGTTTGGTCTCTACCCTAGGCACCCTGAGCTGCCCAGCCTCCTCAGGTCCCTCAGACCCCCGGGGCTTCACCTGCCACCCCCCCGGATTAATGGTGAGGCAGTTCAAGGAGGAAGCACCGGGCCAAAGCACGTTTAATTTTAATTTAGGAATCGGTTAAGGCTGCAGGCCTGCTCAGCCCCGGGCTGTCAATCAGCCTTCCTCAAGGCTGCATCAATTAGTTTAAAAATATTGAATGTAATTTTGCCTGACACAACATATTGCAGCTACTGCAAAATATAATTTATTTTAGAAGAAGAAATAATTAAACTAATTTGCATGTCAGTCAGCTGAACTGAAAAGCCAAGAGGGGAGGGCTGTGGGGCACCCAGTCCTTGGAGGGGGCACCTGCAGCCGGCCATTGGGTGAGATCCACTTGGGCCTGGGTCTAAGCCATAGCTGCCACTGAATGGACAAATGACCAGGCAGCAGGAGGGCCCCTGACATTGTATCAGGACCAAGCGCTGAACTTGGAGTCAGGAGGGTTCGGACCCAACCCCAGCTCTGCTGCTGACTCCGCTAGGGCTGTGGGGAAACTCCTGCCCCTCCGTGGGCCTCAGTTTCCTCATCCAGAAAGTGGGTTTAACAAGGCCTTCTTCAAGGGTTATTTCAAGGATGACACGAGGTCATAATAAGAGAGAGTGTTATGAATTGGAAAATCCTGCACAGAGATCAAGATTAATCAACAGATGGATTCCTTGTTTTATCCCAGAAACATTTAAGGTGGCAAAATACGATTATTTTCCATTCTTATAAATGATACTAATTGTGATAGGAGGGGTTTGGAGGAAGCCAATCAGGCTGGATTCCCCCCGCCTCCCAGTCACCCTAGCATAGTGGTTTGCAAACCTTGCTACAGGCTGATCCTCTGGAGCTGTTTAAAAAAAAAAAAAAAATCACTGACCAAGCTTTGGGCATCGGTGTTTTTAAAGGCTCTCCAGGTGATTGTGATGTACAGCTGTGCTGGAGACCCACTGCCACAAGGGCAATGGCAGTGGCAATGGGTACTGACCTGGGGCCAGCCAATGAGCTCTGGGATTCCATGCCAGCCCTAAATTCAGGAATTCCTAGAATAAGATATGCAGATGGCAATTTAGGGGTCACTCAGCTGCCCCACCTCTTAGGTCTGAGACTCTCACTCATGCCAAGGACATTAGGGCTTTCTCACAAGGTGACCTGTGACATTTTAAAAGAAGAGGTAAGAGAGGCCGAGCATAGCCCAAAGCAAAGGTGCTATAATGGGGGTCTCATCTGCAGTGAGCATCCAGGAGCGGATCACTCACTCAGCAGTCCATCCTGCTGTACCTTCGACATGGCCCATAGGACCCTGTCTCTCCCTCCAGCCCACACACCCCCACCACCCTCCACTGCAGGGGAAAGGGCCCTGTAAGGGCACTCAGGCCCTGGCCGCCCCCTCTACTCTCCCTCTGCCTCTGCTGGGAAAGAGGCGCCTGTTCCTGGCTGTGGGCCTCACCCCCCTCTTCCCAAAAGCACCGACCGTCTGTCTGTTGAAATTCTCCGGCAACGCACTCTTAAAAATAACGGTTCACCCGGCATTCCCAGTCACGACTCCCATCTCTCGCCCTGGAAAAGCCCCCTCTAATCACTGGAGTGGCAGATCTGGTGAGCTTAGAAGATAATGTGCCCCTGGCTAAGGGGAACTCCAGAGAGAAGCTGGGGTCTGAATTAATTAAGAACTCAGCCCCCTCCTTTTCCTGACCGCCGCCCGCCCCCCCAGGAGGTGGCTGCACCTGCCTTCCTATCTCTGTTTCTCTCTTTATCAACACGTGAGCAGCTGCCGTCAGCACACAGTGGATCCTGAGTTTACAGCAGGAGGCAGCCGACCAGTCCCACTCCCCGTGAAACTCTTGGGGAGCCTGGATGCCTGGAAGCTTTCAGGCTGCCCCTCAGAGAGCTCCCTGCCAGCCCAGCCAGAGAGCCCCATCTTCTAAGTCACTGCTTGGAAGTGAGGTGTGGTTTCCTCCTCCAGGAGATGTTCCTGAGGTCACTGGCAGGTGGAACATGTCAGTAATGAACATGTAGCCAAGATAGCAGAGGATGGAGCACCAGTGAGCACTCAGAGGTCTGGGCTGGTGAGGGGTTAGAAAGCACCAACATTCAGGGCACTGCTTAGAGAGGACAGGCTGGGATGAAGTATTCCACATCCTAGAATTATTTAATGTTATTGCTAATAGGACCCTTCGAGAATGTCTGGTTATTTACAAATGCTTATATAGCACTTGCTACGTGTTGTACACACAGTTTCAAATGCCCTGCAGATATTAACTCAATCTGTCTCTTCACCGACCTATTAACCCATTTATGCCTGAGGTTGCAATTTTTTGAATTTTTGCAATCAGACCTTGGCGAAGTCCTTGAGCAGTAGGATATAAATAACTCTCACATGCTTAGCGTTCCAATAATGGAACGCTAGGCATAATTGGGTCAATATTAGACCGATTTTGCAGGTGAGAAAATTGAGGCACAGGGAGGTCAAATGACCTGGCTTGGATTATACAGACATAAAACAGCAGAGCTGGAATCAGAACTACCCAGCACTGCTCATAATCACTATGCTCTGTTCATTTTCCAGGTGTGGAAACTGACATCAGAGAAGGCAGGGTCTTACCCAAGACCAAACACTGGGTCAGGGACACAGCCACGCCTGGAATTCAAGCCTCCTGCAGTCTCAATTTTTCCAGGCTTCATTCATTCATTCAGCAAATATTAATATATTAGAATTTACATGTACCATATCCCACAATGCTGGTAGCCCAGAGATAAATAAGACAGGGACCATGATCTTAAAGACGTCCCAACTTGGAGAGGTGGGGACATCATGGTTTTGCTGGCGAAGATCTACCTCCTTGGACTTGTCTGGCCCTTTTAGGATCAGGTCTTGAGAAAGCAGAAGTCTTGGAGTTTAGTTGCCCCGACCCATGTCTAGAAAGCATCCCACGTTTTAGTTTCTCCTTTGCAATATGGGGATAGAAATTGTACCAAACCACAGGATTTCTGCAAGGATACTTAAAATAATGAATGTAGATGCTCCACGTGCATGCTGTGTGCTCTGTGGTGAGGGGGTGGGGATGGCAGTGGTGATGACAGTGTTGTTGGGGGCCAGGGATGTGATGGTAATATTGGTGATTATGATGGGGGTAATAGTAGTAATAGGTGGGCTGGTGATTGTGGTTGTGGTGACTATGGAAGAGATGGTGGTGGTATTGGTGATGGTGATATTGGTGATGGTGATGGGGTTGGTGGTGGTGGTGAGGGTAGTGATGGTGATGGCTTTAGTATTATTTATGGTAGAGATGATGGGTGTAGTACTAGAGGATGTGGTTCTGGTGGTGGTGGTGCTAATTCTAATGGTGATGGTAGTGATGGTGATGACCTGATGGTGATGGTGGTGATGGCAGTGGTGATGGTAACAGTATAAGGATGGTGATGGTGGTACTCATAGTTATGTTGATAGACGCACTGATGATAATGCAAATAGTGGTATTGGTAATGGCTTAATGATGACAGTGGTAATAGTAATAGTGGTAGTGATGGCAAAGGTGGCCATGGTGGAGATGGGATGGTGATGGTGGTGTTGATGCTGACAGTGGTGATGGTGTTGGTGATGGCAGTGGGTGCTACTGGTGATTGTGGTGGCAAGCGTTGTAGTGATAATGCCAATGGTGCCAAGGTTGATGGTAATGGTGGTGGTGATTACAGTGATGATTACTTAACTTATGCCCAAATGTTCCCAGTTCTGGTCCTTGTACCAGCTTGGTTAACCCACAAATTTCTCAGCATGACCCCACTGCCTACTATTGTCCTCATAGTAGAGAGGAGGCTATCTAGATCTCCCACTTGATGCCTCTCCCCTTGCTCCTGTGCTCTCATTACAGACAATCATGCACAGCTATCCCGGGCATCCCTAAGGATCCGAATCCTGGATGTGAACGACAATCCCCCAGAACTGGCCACACCCTACGAGGCAGCTGTATGCGAGGATGCCAAGCCAGGCCAGGTACCCCTGAGGGGGTGGGGACTGGGCGTTGCTTCCAGGACTGGCCAGCAGCATCCTCTACCTCGACCCAGAGTGGTCTCAGCCTCACCACTAGCCCTCTATCCCCTCCTCACCCTTCAGCTCATCCAGACCATCAGCGTGGTGGACAGAGACGAGCCCCAAGGCGGGCACCGCTTCTATTTCCGCCTGGTGCCTGAAGCTCCCAGCAACCCTCATTTCTCTCTGCTTGACATCCAAGGTGAGCCTCCAAACCCTAGGATGCAAGAAGGGAGGGGCACAGTCTCCCTGCCCTGTTCCCATATTATAGACAGAGGGACGGAGGCGCCCACAGGGCCTATGTTGGATCTAAGATCACATGGAAAGTCTGGGCCAAGCTGGAGCTGTTACCCAGCCCACTGGCCAAACACAAGCAGGGTGTGGGTTGGTGGAGTGGAGGAGGGCGTCCCAAGGATAAGAAATGGCAGATGGGAAGATATAGACAGGGAATAAATGAGGAATGATTGTGCCAGAGTCCAGGGTGGAAAGAGCCCCCGTTCTGAGTGGAGACTGAAGTAAGCCACGTGCACACACTCCCCACCCTGCAGGTTTCTGGCTTTTTATTTGATTTTTTTTTTTTTTTTTTTGAGACAGGGTCTCGCTCTGTCAGCCAGGCTGGAGTGCAGTGGCTCGTTGCAACCTCCACCTCCCAGACACAAGCAATCCTCCTACCTCAGCCTCCCAAGTAGCTCGGAGCATAGATGTGTGCCACCATGCCCAGCTACTTTTCGTATTTTTTGTAGAGACGGGATTTTTGCCGTATTGCCCAGACTAGTCTTGAACTCCCAGGCTCAAGCTATCGGCCTGCCTCGGCCTCCCAAAGTGCTGGGATTATAGGCATGAGCCACTGTGCCCAGCCCACCCTGCAGTTTAAAAACTGCTTTATTCCACTCACATTCCTTTTTTGGTTTTTGGAATTGTTCTTGAAACAAGGTCTTGCTCTGTCACCCAGGCAGCAGTGCAGTGGTGCAATCATAGCTCACTACAGCCTTGATCTCCTAGGCTCAAGCAGTCCTGCGTCAGCCTCCTGAGTAGCTGGCACTACAGATGCACACCATCAGATCTGGCTAATTGTTTTATTTTTTGTAGAAATGGGGTCTTGCTGTGTTGCCCAGGCTGGTATCGAGCTCCTGGGCTCAAACAATCCTCCTACCTCGGCCTCCCAAAGAGCTGAGATTATAGGCATGAGACACCACGCCAGGCCCACTCACATTTCTTTCTGCAACCTCACAGCCATCCTGTGAGGTAGTTTTCTGACTCCTCTCCCCATTTTACAGGTGATGAAACTGAGACTCTAAGAGAGAAAGAGTCCTGCCCAGGGTCATATAGGGAGTCAGTGGTGTGGGTAGGATTCAACCCAACCCCATCCCAAGTCCAGTGTGCTTCCTGCCTCAGCACACCACCTGGAAAGCAAACTGCCCTGCCCTGCCTGAGTCCACTGTGAGATTCCTCCCCTCTGGCTCTCACAAGTTTCTCATGATGTTGATGTTTGAACCTTTAAGGAATAGACTGAGGGAAGGGGGCAGTCACCAGACTGGAAATAAGGGACCAGGCTCAGCGAAGGGTGCTCTATACCACCCTGGCAAGCTCCTGTTCCTCTCTGGTTTTTTTGTGTTTGTTGTTGTTTGTGTGTGTGTGTGTGTGTGTGTGTGTGTGTGTATGCGTGTGGGGTTTTTTTGTTGTTTTTTGTTTGTTTGTTTGTTTGAGACAGCATCTCATTCTGTTGCCCAGGCTGGAGTGCAGTGGTGCGATCTCAGCTCACTGCAACCTCTGCCTCCCAGGGTCAAGAGATTCTCTTGCCTCAGCCTTCAGAGTAGCTGGGGTTACAGGCACGCACCACCACGCCAGGCTAATTTTTGTATTTTTAGTAGAGACGAGGTTTCGCCATGTTGGCCAGGCTGGTCTCGAACTCCTGACCTCAGGTGATCTGCCCGCCTCGGCCTACCAAAGTGCTGGGGCGCCTGTTCCTCTCTAAGCCTCAGTTTCATCATCTAAAATGGGAGTAACACCTACTGCCTCGGGTGGCTAGGTAGCCCCAGTAAGATAAGGGCCACCAAGATATAGTGTTAATACCTAGAAATGTCAATTCCTACATCCAGCAATTATTTAGTGAGTGTTTATTGAGACACAAAGCCTCTGTGTCGGGGTCTGCTCCGGGTCCTGGAAATGCAACAGCAAACACAACAAAACCTAGTTTATATTCTAGTGAGGTGAGACAGAAATGACACAAATAAAAAAGTATGTTGGGGATGATAAGTGGCTGGGGTGGAGGAATAATGCAATCTCCACAAGGGTCTGGACTTGACTTTGTTCAACCCTAGGTGCCTGGAGCAGTGCTTGGCATATCGTAGGTGTTTGATAAAATGTGTTCAATGAAACAGTGAAAAATAAAGCAGGGCACAGTGGCTCAGCCCTGTAATCTCAACACTTTGGGAGGCTGAAGTGGGCGGATTAGTTGAGGTCAGAAGTTCGAGACCAGCCTGGCCAACATGGTGAAACTCAGTCTCTACTAAAAATACAAAAATTAGTCCAGCAGGGTGGCGCATGCCTGTAATCCCAGCTACTCCAGAGGCTGAGGCAGGAGAATTGCTTGAACCCAGGAGGCGGAGGTTGCAGTGAGGTGAGATCTCACCATTGCCCTCCAGCCCGGGCAACAAGAGCGAAACTCCATCTAAAAAAAAAAAAAGAGAGAGAGAAAGCAGGGTAAGAGGAGAAGCTATCTTCTTAAATAGGGTGGCCTGGGAAGGACTCTCCAAGGGTATCCATAGTGAGAAGGGACCTAAAGGATATGAGAGAAAACGACCACCCCAGTGGAAGAAATAGCAAGTGCAAAGGCCCTGTGGTGAGCAGGACTGGGGTGGATTAGGAATGGAGGAGACCTGTGTGATTAGAGTGAGTAAGAGACAGGACTGGGAGGAGATGTGGTCAGCGAGGGGGCCAGATCATGTGGGTTCCTTCTGGCCTTGGAACAGGTCTGGGATCCTTCTCAAGGCCTTTACACACTCACACCCAATGCGGAGCCTTAGTGGCCTCTGAAGCCAGACCCATCTGTACCCCTGGGAGTCCTGTTAAAAATATGTAAGGCTCATGTTTATAACTCCAGCACAAGGCAGGAGGATCCCTTGAGGCAAGGAGTTTGAGAATAGCCTGGACAACACAGTGAAAACCCATCTCTTTAAAAATAATAATAATAATTAGCTGGGCATGGTGGCGCACACCTGTAGTCCCAGCTACTCAGGAAGCTGAGGCAGGAGAATCACTTGAGCCTAGGAGTTTGAGGCTCCATTGAGCCACGATCGCACCACTGCACTCCAGCCTGGAAGACAGAGTGAGACCTTGTCTCAGTCAATCAATAATTAAAAATAAATAATGAAAAATAATAAACAGATTTAACAACCAGTGCAGCTCAGATGGCCAATCAGAAAGGACGCTGACCAAAACCTGGAGCAGGACCCTGGAAACTTTACTACACCAGGCATTAACTCCTTCGTGGCTTGATTGTGTCAAAGTTGGGAGGCTGCCTGGGGAAAAGGCTGAGGCAGCAGGGAGAGATTTGGGGGGCTTAGTGTCAACAGCTATTTAAGCCTTTTTTGGAAGTATTTCAATATTTTAACAACCAGTACAGCCCTGCCTATTCATTAGTCCAGTAGTATCCTGAGCAGGTCACAGGAAACACAGCTAGCCTTGGCTCAACTCTGCCAAGTTCACCAGGCTTTCCAACCCAAGGGGCCCGAGATTCTGCCTCAGTTGCTTTTGTTTAGCTGGGGGAGAGGGGGGGGCACCAGAGCTGCCATCCAGAGTGCCACCTGGTGTAAGCTCCGGGGACAGGGTGGCAGCAGCACGCTGAGGTCACAGCAGCCGTGGAAGGCCTCCTCCTCCTCCAGTCCCTCAGCCCCTTCCCACTACTTGCCAAGCCCCCTCCTCCTCACTGTATAAATATCCTAGGTGACAAACGGCTACCCCAACCCATCTGTTTCTTTGTACAAATGTGTAGCCAGTTTGGAAACGTGATTTATAAATATTGCCTTTGCAGCCAGGGATTGACACTGATGTATGTCAGGCCAGATGGATGGATGCAGCGCTGGGCACAGATCCCACCTAGAAGGGTGGGGTAGGGGACCGGGGTGGCCAGAGGCTTCCCCAACTGAAGCCAGCTGCTGCCCAGGAGGGCAGCTTGATGCATTCAGGGTTGATGCCTGGGGATTCCCCTTCATGGGGTGGAGGAGTGGTGGGGACCAGAGTTCCCAGAACATATGGTCCCATGGCCCAAGACAGCAACCCTGAGAGACAAACATCCCTCTTCTTGCTTGGCAATCTGAAGCTGAGCCGGAGCCAGCCGCTCATTTCTCAAATCTGCCTACTTCTCTGTGCCTCCACTACTACTATTATCTCACACCTAAAACACACGAGAGCTTCCTGGCTGTTCTTCCACATCGACTCCTGCATTTTAGATGATAAGCTGCCTCAACTAGAACACAGGCCCAGCAAGGACAGGGACCGCATCCATTCTGTCCATTGCAGTATCCCCCGGGGCTAGAATAGTCCTGACAGAGAGATGATGCTCAATTCCTACTTGCTGTTGAATGAATGGGTTTGTCACTAGGTCACTTCTTTGCTTAAAGCCCACCAATCAATGGCCTCCTGT
The DNA here is from genome assembly GCF_000001405.40 of Homo sapiens. Lineage (NCBI taxonomy): Eukaryota > Metazoa > Chordata > Mammalia > Primates > Hominidae > Homo > Homo sapiens. The sequence goes on along the minus strand of NC_000020.11, from coordinate 46,182,144 downwards.
TGCTTTTAAGAAAATTATCCAAATTCTGGCCAGTAGTGGTGGCTCATGCCTGTAATCATGGCACTTTGGGAGGCTGAGGCAGGCACATCAGTTGAGGCCAGGAGTTTGAGACCAGCCTGGCCAACATCATGAAACCCCGTCTCTACTAAAAAGTACAAAAATTAGCCAGGCGTGGTGGCAGACGCCTGTAATCCCAGCTCCTTAGGAGGCTGAGGCAGGAGAATTGCTTGAACCCAGGAGACGGAGGTTGTAGTGAGCCAAGATTGCACCACTGCACTCCAATTTGGGTGACAGAGCAAGATTCTGTGAAAGGAAGAAAGGAAGAAAGAAAGGAAAGAGAAAGAGAGAGAAAAGAAAGAAAGAAAGAAAGAAAGAAAGAAAGAAAGAAAGAAGGAAGGAAGGAAGGAAGGAAGGAAGGAAGGAAGGAAAAAAAGAAAGAAAAGAAAAGAAAAGAAAGAGGGAAAGGAAAGGAAAAAGAAAAGAGAGAAAGGAGGGAGGGAGGAAGAAGGAAGGAAGGGAGGGAGGGAGGGAGGGAAGGAAGGAAGGGAAGGAAGGGAAGGAAGGGAAAATGACCCAAATTCCTTACCACAGCCTCCCAGGCTTTCCACAATGACCGCCTGCCTCCTCCTCCAGCCTCGTCTTGACTCATTGTAGCTATTACCCTCATTCCTCCAGCCACAAAGGACTGAGTGTCCTCTGAGTGTCCCGGGTCCCTGAGTGTGTTATGCTTCTTCCAACCTCAGGACCTTTGCATACGCTGTTCCCTCTCCCTAAACTCACTGTTCAGGCTCAGGAATCATATCACTTCTTCCAAGAAGCTCTCCCCGACCTCCTAGACTGGCTCAGGTGCTCTGTTATGTGCTCTTCCTATATTCTTCCTTCACAGCACTCACCATGGTTTGTAATTGTAGACTAAATTGTGGGTTTATTTGATTAGCATTGTTTCTTACATGAAAATATGAGCTCTGATCCAGGACCAGCAGCGAGCTGGTGTAGCTCTCTATTGTTTTCTCATGGCGACTAGCATGGTGCCTAGCACATAGTAGTTAATAAAGATTTGTTGGATGGAGGCCAGTCATGGTGGCTTATGCCTGTAATGCCACCACTTTGGGAGGCTGAGGCAGGAGGAGCCCCAGGAGTTCGAGACCAGCCTAGACAATACAATGAGACCTCATCTGTACACACACACACACACACACACACACACACACACACACAAAACAAACTTTAAAAATTAAAAAAAATTAGCTGAGCATGGTGGTGCATACCTGTAGTCCTAGGTACTCAGGAAGCTAAGGTGGGAGGATTGCTTGAGCCTGGGAGACCGAGGTCACAGTGAGCTGAGGTCACACCACTGCACTCCAGCCTGGGTGACAGAGTGAGACCTTGTCTCAAGAAAAAAAAAGATTTGTTGGATGGTTGGAAGGAAGGAAGAATGCTTTCACTGGAAAAATTCAGACAAGTCACTTGTCTCTGAGCCACAATTTCCATATATACAAAATGGGAATAATGCCACAACTCTTAACAGGTTATGAGGATTAAACATTACTATGTATTTAAAATATGCAGAGAGTCCTTGATGCATAAAAAAAATCCATTCAGTACAAATGGGTCCCATGCCATTCCCTCTTTCTCCCATCTTGCCCTCCAGCCCCCTTTCTTCCCCTGCAGAAGGCAGATTTTTCCCAGCTGGGGTTGACGCATCCTTTGGGGGGAGAGCTAGAGTTCAAGCCTGAATGTAGCCAGTTTGAACTGTCGAACTTGACTCAACCTTGCCAAGTTCACAAGGCTTTCCAACCCAAGGGGCCTGAGATTCTGCCTTAATTGCTTCTGTTTGGCTGAGGTGGCCACCAGAGCTGCCATCCAGTGTGACCACCCCATGTAAGCTCCGGGGACAGGGTGGCAGCAGTGACCTGAGGGGCTGACCCAAGACCACCAGTTCTCCCAAAAGCTGTGGTTCATTCAAGGATTGCTCTTCAAGACTGGCTCCATGCCAGCCCTGGCTGGCCATGCAGTGGAGAAACAGGCACACACTAACTTAACACAACGTGACAAGTGCTGTAACAGAACTGTGCATGGCACCTGCGTAGTCAGAGCAGGGAGCGGGGAGCCATAAATCCTTCCTTCCCAGGGAAGCGGAGAAAGGAGGCCACAAGAAAGGAGGTGACATTTAGCTGGAGCATGACGGATGAGGAATTTGCCCAGGCAAGAAGGTGAAGAGGGTGTTCCAGAGAGCAGGAACTTTATGAGGAAAGGCAGGGCGGCCTAGACAGGGAGCCGGCAGCGGGTGCAGCACAGGGAAGATGGGGGCGGGGTCTGAAAAAATATTAATCAGCATTATTGAGCATTTCTATGGGCTGGGAACTTTTCTAAGGGTTATGTGTGAATTACACCATTTAATCCTCACACCTGCATGATACCCTTTCTGAGTTTACAGATGGGTAAACTGAAGCTTAGAGAAGCTCAGTGGGTTTCCCCAGCTAGTAAATGATAGACTTGCATTATTTTTCAACATTTTAATGGAAATTCTCAAATGTGTGTAAAAGGAGATAGGCTAATGGAATGAACCCTCATGTTCCCGGCACCTCGTGGGCAGCCTCCAACTCACAGCCAGTCGTGCTGCATCTGGACCTGCAGTCCACTTCTGAGATGTGCCAAAGGCCACAAGTCAGACCTTCGTAGGGCTCCTTTTCCTGCATAGCATCCATGATGAGAAAGGCCAGATCTGGGACACTGAATTGGGGTCGTCTGGGGAAGGAGCTGGGTTAACTGGGGCCACGAAGCAGGGTAAGGAACCCAGGCTGCCAACAGATCTCCCAGATCTGGCTCTCAGATTAGAAACAGCAGACTGAAGACCGCGGGGAGAAGGAGGACTGAAGGCCCCCAGCAGGAATGCAGGGCCCCCTTTGGCAGAGTTGGCTGTGAAGGGAGGGGCAGCAGCCTTCGGAGCTCTGGGCACTTCGTACCCCTGCATGTGCAGAACTGAGAGAGGCCATCAAAATGACAGAGGGTCAGGTGGCCTGACTCCTACAGAACAGGTGTGAAGGAGGCAGAAAGGGCGGAGAAGGGGGTGCCACCTGTCACCTCAGCCTGTGCTCCAAGGCCAGCCACCATCCCCCTGCGTCCTGCCTGGCTTCCCCGGTGACAGGCTGAACCAGTGCCATGAGTTCCATTTGTGTTTGTTCACTGTCCTCTCTGGCCGCCTATGTGAAAAGGAAAGATGTGGAGAAGGCCTCAATGCTCCAGGGCCCCTCATCAGGCCCCTCACCACGCCCCCAGCCCTCTAGGCTCAGCCTCTTAGGCAGAGACTCCTTGTCAGGCTCCAGGACTCTCAACTGGCCTTGGGGTATGAAGGACAGAAAGATCCCACAGCCAAAGGCAGATGCCAGCCAGAGTTCCCAGTCCCTTCTGAGGACCCAGGACTTGTCAGGGCCCAACAAACCACAACCCAAGGACCCTATAGGATTCCTAGGGTCAGAATACGCTGGGAAGCTGGGGTGGAATCTAGAGCAAAAACAAGCTGTTGAGACAAATGGCAAAAAAAAAAAAAAAAAAAAAGACAACGCCAGGGACAGGACCTTGGCCTAGCTGGGGACGGAATCTGGGAATAGCTGGGGACCTTGGCACAGCTGAGGACAAAATCTTAGAATAGCTGAAAACAGAATCTTGGGATGGTTTGAGGACAGAATTGTGGGCTACATGGGGACAGGATTTTGGGCAGCTGAGGGTAGACTTTGGGGGACAGAATCTTTGGGCAGCATGGGGCAGAATTTGGAGGCATCTGGTAATAGAATTTTGGGAGATCAGAGAAGAGACCCATGAGTCCATTGGGAGGCTGTAGTTTGGGGCATAGGGAGGCAAATCTCACGATGCAATCAGGAGGTGGCTAGGACAAGGATGCTGACCCCCGGCCCCAAGTCACACCGCTCCCCCTTCTTCCGGAACAGACAACACCGCTGCAGTGCACACGCAGCACGTGGGCTTCAACCGGCAGGAGCAGGACGTGTTCTTCCTGCCCATCCTGGTGGTAGACAGTGGGCCGCCCACACTGAGCAGCACAGGCACGCTCACCATCCGCATCTGTGGCTGCGACAGCTCCGGCACCATCCAGTCCTGCAACACCACGGCCTTTGTCATGGCCGCCTCCCTCAGCCCCGGCGCCCTCATCGCCCTCTTGGTCTGCGTTCTCATCCTGGTTGGTGAGTCCATCGAGAGCCACCCAGCCCTGCCTGATTGGCCCCATCCTGGCGTCCTGGGTTTCCTTCCTAACCAGCCCCCATGGGGCCTCAGCTTCCCTCTCCACATGAGGATGGGCTGGCCAAACCATCTCCAAGCTCTAACAAGCAGCCCCCATGAGGAGTCTTCTAAGTGCAGAGCGGCCCCGCCACCAACTCCAGGGATGAGCTCACTGTGGCCCACCCCATTCACGTGTAGCCCAAACCTCACCCTAGCATATTTTTAAAAAATTTTCTCATGTGAATGGTCCTTTTTTAGTCTCTATGTAGGACTTTTAGTAAAAAGGGCTCTTGTGAACCTCACAAGCACATGGCCAGGCATATCATCCCATTTTTCAGATGAAAGCGCTGGGGGTCAGAGAGGTTAGGTGGCTGGTGTAAGGGTACTGGATAATCTTTGGATTTGATATTAGGTCTTCTCACCCTGTGTCCTCTGCTCCTCTAACTACACCACCTGCTATGAATCTAAACTGAGAGCAAAATCTCAAGTCATTGGTGGTGGGGGAGGGGGGCAAAATCTACACTGGTACCAGGCCACTAGCAGCCATTTGCACCCCAAAGTCTCCCCAATGAAGAGGTCAAGTTTCAGAAGCTAACCTGGATTTGAATGGCCATATGCCACCTGTTACAGCTGTAACCACCCAAGTAAAGAAGGGCACTGAGGCCAAAGCTAGAGGAGCTCAAGGGAGGTCCAAGTGCAGATTCCAGCCTTGCTCTGCTCCCTGGGAGATGTCAGCTGCCTCCCCCCGCCCTCACTGGCTGGCACTGGCACGGCCTCTGTCCACCCTCTGAGGACCTGCCTATGGCCAGGCTGTACCTCCTCAGGTCCCAGCAGAGGCCCTGGGCAGGCTCCTCATAGTTGGGAGGTCCCCCTTCTCCCCCCACCCTAGCCCATGGCTCAGAAACCCTTTTTCCAGAGGGTGCACTTTACAGCGGTTTCATTTTCCGAGGCAGTGCAAACAAAGTTCTGCCTAATTGCCCACAAACGAAGAAAGTGCACATCAGTGCTCTAAAGGTGACGGGTGGAATCGCTGATCAGGCCTGGCACATCTGTCGCCCGCCACCCGCAAACCTCACCATCTGCTCCCGCGGGCATCCCCCTCCAGAGCTCCCAGCCTCGGCTCCAGAAGCCATCCATCCATCTTTCCCACTTCTCTCCTGACACCTTCCTTCCCTGTGCCCTCCCTCCGGGCCTGTCCCCAGCTCTCGTGCTCTTCCCTGTCACAAGCCACCTTGTTAGGTGGTGAGCAGGTGCCCTGCCCCATGGCCCTCACAGCCAGCTCTGGCCACTGGAGCTGTTTGGAGGAGCAAGAAGAGTCCAGTGCCCAGCACAGTACCTCGTACATGTCTGTCCATCTGTCAGTCCATCCACCCATCATCATTTACCTATACATCCATCCAGTGAGTTCCTCCCATGTACTAGACACTGAGATTTAGCACTCAACAAAAGAGACTTAGAAGCCCTGAGTAATTGAAAAGTCGGGGTTCCTAACACTGAGGTGGGGGAGACTCGGGGTGGGGAAGGGGGAAAGATTAGTATTTCACCTTTGAACCTGTTAAGTTTGAGATTCGCTTGGTCAACAAGAGGGCGTGTTGAGTAGGAAATTGAATGTACAATCTAGATTTCAGGGGAGAGGTCCAGGCTGGAGGCTGAGATATGGGGATTGTCAGTTTCTAAATGGAACTTTTAAAGCTGTTGAGACCAAAGGAGAGCTCCAAGAGAGGGAGCATGGACACAGAACCGAGGTCTGAATCCTAGGACATCTGAGTTAAGAGAGGCGAGGAGAAACCTGCTTAGAAGATTGAGAATGAGTGATCAGTGAGGTGGGAGGAGGAGGAGAATGTGGAGTCCTGGAAATCAAGTGAAGAAAGCCAAGAGGGGACAAGCATTCATTCACTTACCCAAGTCTCCATCCAACTCTTCCTTTAGTCATTCATTCATTCAACAAGCATGCTTCAAGTGCTTACTGCATGCCAGGCACCAAGATAGAGGAACATTTCCCAGGTCCTAGCTTAGGGTGTGTGTTTTGGGGTGGAGACAGACCTGGTAACACAGCAGGGTCTGGTCTATGACAGAGCTGTGGCTTTCAAACTTGAGCTGCCTCTTCAGGTCTGCAGGTCTTGTTAAAACACAGATTCCCCTCCACTGCCACAAGATCCGTGCCAGGATCCAAGGGTCTGCATTTCTAACAAGCTCCCAGGAGGATGTTGCTGTTGCCCAGGGGCCGCACTTTGAGAACCAGTATGATAGAGGAAGGAGCCCCGTCCTGGGGAATCTTGCAGGGGAAGGCATGGAACCTGGCCTGCAGCTCTCAGGGAAGGGTTCCTGCAGGCCTTGACCTGAGAACCAAAGGATTGAGTAGGAGCTCAAGACTTCTGGTGTGGCAGAGGAGGGTGAGGGTGAAAGAGAGGTCAGGGTGAAGGACATCTTTCACTCCTCCAGCTCCTTCTGTTTCTCAGCTGCCTGCTACAGACCCCCAGCACCTAGAGTCCTCAGAGAGTGTATCTCTTCATAGGGCTGAGAAGGGAGACCTCAGGCCTCAACACCCAGGAAAACCTTTAACACTGCTCTCCCATTGGCCACCTCCACCCCAGAGTAATCTAGCCTCGATTTGCATACCTCCCGAGATGGGTAGCTCACTACCTCTCCAGACACTCAGCTCAGTTCTGATTGCAAGAATGGCTTTTTGAACAGAAATCCAGGAAATCTGTAGGAATGTTGAGGCTGGGCCCGCTCTGCTGGGTGGGAGGCGGGAGGAGATGGGGTAGAGGGTCCTTCTAATGCCCTGGGAGGGGCTTGGCCCTCAGTTGCCCCCTCTGTCCCCCTCGCAGTGCTGGTGCTGCTGATCCTCACCCTCAGGCGCCACCACAAGAGCCACCTGAGCTCGGACGAGGATGAAGACATGCGGGACAACGTCATCAAATACAACGACGAAGGCGGCGGCGAGCAGGACACCGAAGCCTACGACATGTCGGCGCTGCGGAGCCTCTACGACTTCGGCGAGCTCAAGGGCGGCGACGGGGGCGGCAGCGCGGGCGGGGGAGCGGGCGGGGGCTCGGGCGGGGGCGCGGGCAGCCCCCCGCAGGCCCACCTGCCCTCCGAGCGCCACTCGCTGCCGCAGGGGCCGCCGAGCCCCGAGCCAGACTTCTCAGTGTTCAGGGACTTCATCAGCCGCAAGGTGGCACTGGCGGACGGGGACCTGTCGGTGCCGCCCTACGACGCCTTCCAGACCTACGCCTTCGAGGGCGCGGACTCGCCGGCCGCCTCGCTCAGCTCCCTGCACAGCGGCTCGTCGGGCTCCGAGCAGGACTTCGCCTATCTCAGCAGCTGGGGTCCGCGCTTCCGGCCCCTGGCCGCGCTCTACGCCGGCCACCGCGGGGACGACGAGGCCCAGGCCTCCTAGCCCCTCGCCCTGCCGTCGGGGCGCGGCTGCTCACCCGCCCAGCACACGCCGGGGCCCCAGGACAACGCGTTTCCCCCGCGGACCCCCTTTCCTGCCCTCCCCCAACCCTCCCTTGGCGGCTGGACGGAGGGGGGACTTGCTAGGAGCGGACTCTTCCATTCCTCCTCCTCTAGGGGTGCAGCTTTGGAGCCCAGAGGTGCGGGATTCTGACCAACGGCATTAAAACTGAGGCGAGACCGGGCACGGTGTGGCTCTGGGGTTAGAATGGGAGATGGGGGTGGCGTTGCAGAGTCGGGAAGGGGCGGGTCACTCAATCCTGGCCTGGGGGAGAATGCTGGAGGGAGCACGCCGCTGAGATGCCCCCACCCCAGGTTTCCCCCATCAGAGTTAAGAGGAAAGAAGGCTGTTCACTTACTAAGCACCTACTGTGTGCTGGGACGCTGTACAGAGACCAGCTCAGTCGTCAGAGAAACCATGAGGTGGTGTCCTGCACGGAATAGAAGGGGAAAGGACCCCAGAGAAGTGGCTGTGACCCGTCCAAGGGCACCTGGCCAGTGAATGGCAGAGCCTCTGGCACTGACCAGCTGCCTGGCCTCGGGCAAGTCACTTCACTTCTCTGGTCCTCAGTTTCCTCATCTGTCAAATGGGGTTAATAACAGAACCTACCTCGAAGAGTTGTGAGGCTAAAAAGGGTTCATATGTGTCAAGTGGTTAGGACAGTGCCTGGCACATAGTAGGTGTTCAATAAATGCTAGCCTTTGTTACTATTCTTATCTTTGTGGTTCTTAGAAGCCCAGTGTGTCTGCCTCCAAGGTCTGAGCTCTCTCCCTTGCTCCAGATGCCCTTCCCCTTTTCCCTACATCTCCCAGGGGAGGGGAAAAGGTTGCAGTTGTCGGCTCCTGATCCTGCCCTGCATGGGGGATAAGGACACTCCCGGCAACTGCGGAGCCTTCAGGAGTCTCAGACCACACTGAAATACCAGCGGAGCCAAGCAAGAACAAGCTGGGTGACTCCAGGACTTGAGTGGATGCAAGGATTGGCAGGAGACAGAGGGGTCAGAAACCACTGGGCAAGATGGGGGGACCTTATCTGTCTGGCTTTGGAACCCATCAGTCTTCCCACTCATGGATCCCAAATTAAGAACCCCTGGACTAAGTCACCTGAAGAGTTTCCAGCTCTAAAACCATATGATTATAAGATACGGTTATTTGTCCTCCCACCTCCCCCCACGCCCAAGTGATTCATTCATTCCACATTGATCCAACATGAATTCCAGCTCCTGCTAGCTGGGCATCCTTCATCAAGGTCCTCCACTGCTGAAGCCTCAGTTGCCTTATCTGTAAAATGGGGATAATGATAGTCTCTTCCTTAAAGGATTATTAAAAGTCTTAAAGGAGATAGTGGATGTTAAGCTCTGAACTCAGTGCCTTCCTGACATGTGGAAAGTTCCCAATAAATGCTTATTAGCCTTATTTTTCTTACCCTCCCAGGGAGCTCTCATTCATTCCCTCCACATTTGCCAAGGTCCACTGTGATAGATCCAGAGATGGCTAGTATGTCCCAGTGCCTTACCTGCATTATTTTTTCTCATTTAGGTACTGTCAGCCCCAGTTCACAGATGAGGAAACTGAGGCTAAGAGAGTAGTAAACTGCCAAGGGTTACATAGATGATAGGTAATTCCTCCCTTCCGGTAGCCCAAGACGTAAGTTGGAGGAAGGAAGTGGATCAGGGAGCTGAAGCAGCCAAAAATAATGTGTTTGGTAAGAATTGTAGCAGAATTAACAGAATAAGATCCTGGAAGCACTAAAGAAAGACTGAGTAATCCTGGAGGGCTTCCCAGAGGAAGTAACTTCAACTGGGTCTCGAAGAATGAGTATGGGATGTGAGGTGGCCATGCGAGCAAGAGTATTCCAAGCAGAGAGAAGAGCATCTGCAAAGGCTGGGGGTGGGGAGAAGGTAAGAAGTGTGTGGCAGCTTCGGGAAGGGTTTTTGGCCCTGGGGGCTGGATCGCAGGGTGGAGGAGTGGTGGGAGGTGAGGCAGGGAAGGCTGGTTGGAGGTAGTTGTGAAAAGAACTTGAAGGCCAGGTTAAGGAGCTTGATAACTTGCTCAACTTGAATATGCCTTCTAAAGTCCATTGAGAGTGGCCAGTGGCAGGGATGTGGGGTTAGCATGGTAAGCCCAAGTGGAGGGATATTTGGGAACCCCCAAATCATCCTATGTGGGACCTTTAACCCATGGTTCCTATAGCTCATGCTACAAATGGGCATGGTAACTTGGAGACCCGTGGGGAGATGTGCAGCCACCTCTCTCAGCCCCGTGTGCCCAGCTCTCACATACAGAAGCCCAACAGCATTTCTGAGGTTGGTTGCCAGCTCCATTGTAGAAAGGGGAAACTGAAACTCAGGGGAATAAAGTGGCTGGTTCAAGGTCTCCCAGCTAGTATGGGACAGAGCAAAGGCGGCACAGGTTCCCCCGACTCCAAGCCTGTCCCTTCCACATGCACTGGTTGCCTTAGCAGATACTGACCCTGCCAAGAAGGAGGTCACAGGCAGATTATATGTCCAGAGGGACACACGGACATGAAGTCATAGGTCCCTTGAACATCCTGTCTAAACCTCACACATGGAGAATTACTTACCCAAGGTCACACAGAGTCAAAGATCTTGCCAGAAATAAAGAACATTATTTATCCAGATTTGCCTTCTGAGCCTTTGGCTCTACGATTTACCCACCATATGATTTCTCTTTTTTCTTTCTTTCTTTATTTTTCTTTCTCTCTTTCTTTCTCTCTCTTTCTCTTTCTTTTTCTTTCTCCTTCCTTCCTTTCTTTCCTTCTTTCTTTCTCTTTCTTTCTCTTTCTTTCTCTCCCTCCCTCTCTCTCTTCTTTCTTTCCTTCCTTCCTTCTTTCTTTCTTTCTTTCCTTTTCTTTCTTTCTTTCTTTTTCTTTCTTTCTTTCTCTCTTTCCAGGGTCTTGCTCTGTCGCCCAGCTGGAGTGCAATGGCACAATCATGGCTCACTGCAGCCTCAATATACCAGGCTCAACCAATCCTCTCACCTCAGCCCCCCAGGTAGTTGGGACTGCAGACATGCACCATCACACCTAGCTAATTTTTTGTAGAGATGGCGTCTTGCTATGCTGCCGAGGCTGGTCTCAAACTCCTGGGCTCAAGTGATCCTCCCGCTTTGGCCTCCCAAAGTGCTGGGATTACAAGCATGAGGCACCACGCCCGGCCATTGTGTGACTTCAGACAAGTTATTTACCCTCTGTGTGCCTCAGTTTTCTTATCCATAAAGTGCATATGCTCAGACCACCTACTTCATAGGGTTGCAATAAGGATAAAACGCAATAGCAACAGCTGACACTTACTGAGCATTTTACATAAATTAACGCATTTAATCCCACAACAACGCAATGAGGCAGCCCTCGTTTTACAGGTGAGAAAACTGAGGCACAAGGAGGTTAAGTAACTTGTGCAAGATCAAATGACAAATAACTGGAGATGCTGAGATTTAAACCCGGGTGCTCTGACCCCCAGAACCTACCCCGTCAGCAGTACATACAGTGTCCAGCACACAGGAAGCCCCAAACATATGCTTGGGTGTATCCAAAAGTCCCTGTCTGTGCTCTGGGAGAGCTCATTCCTCTACCCGCCACTGCATTCCACAGCCTGTAGAAGTCCTCAAGCGCCCCGTGATTTCTGCTAGTTCCAGAGTGGGGTGTGGAGGAAAAGGTAATGATCCCTCGATCCCCTTTGCTTCCAGCTCCTGCATCCACACTTGCTGTCTCCACTGGGTGCTGAGCCATCCCAGAGTGAAATCCAGTGAGTCCTGCCCTTTCACTGGGTTGCACAAGGTGTCTACTCATGCCAAGCATTTGTGAGTTTTTCTGATGACTTGGGGTCACAGAGCAGGGTTTTATGGGACGCACAGCCTTTGGTCATCTGTCTCATTGATTCCCACCAGGTTCCCCAAGAGTTCCACATGCTGTGTTAGGCAGAAAATACAACCATGCCAGCTCCAAGCTCCAAATGAGCAAACCCAGCTCTATCAAGGAGCTTAGAAAATAAAGAGCCTCCCATTTACTATTCCTGACCTTCTTACAAGGCATCTAGGAAGATGAAAAGAAAAATATTCCCCTTTTGTTGTCATCATCATCATCATTATCATGGGATAAAAGAGTATTCAGGGTCTTGAGCAAGAATTGATGTGCAATTGGCCAAGGATTTCAGAACCAGGGATATTAATAACAACGACGATGATAGTAGTGATGACGGTGACAGCACACTTATATAGCATTGCAGCATGCCAGGCCCTGTTCTCAGCACCATACATAATTAATACTAAGATAGGTAAATCTCATGGAGAATGGACGCTGTGTTTACTGTGTTTAGTGCTTTTACATAATTTGCCTTGTTTAATTTTAAGCAGGTGCTTTCATTAGGCCTGTTTTATGAGGATGAGATGAGGAACCCAGGGCTCACAGATGAACCATGCTTTGCCCAAGGGCATGAAGCCTTTAAAGGCCTGAAATGATTTCACACTCCCACACGCCACGGCTCTGCACAGGGCCTAGATGACTCTGATTGTGAGTGAAGTTTCTGGGAGAACAGAGAAGCATGTTGGTGAGAAGGGGAGGCACTTCAGGGGATGGCAGAGCTGGGAGCAAGATGGACAGAGGGGCCTAGCTGGCTAGCCACTGTCCAAGCCTGGGTCTGTGTCTCTGGTGTGTGTGTGTGTGTCCTCATGTGGCTGTGGACAAGCACCAGGGAGGTGGGAAGCCAGCATTGAGCAGCACAGGTCAAGAACTAAACTCCCACCTCCTGATTCAGGCAGCTCAGAGAGCTGGCTGCTGTCATACAGGGTGTCTAAGCGCCTGCATCCATCAGCCAGCCGTCATCACAGCCCACCCCCAGGTCACAAATCAGCAGCTCCACTCACCTCCTGCCAGCAAGCACTCCCAGGCCAGCTCTGTCACTGGTCGCTGAGCTTTTGGAAAATGCAACCCTGTCAGCCCTCACTCTGAGGCGAGACGGCTCACGTTCCAGCGTGTGCATGAGCATGCCAGCACATGATGCATGCACAGGTTGTACCCACAGACATGTTCGCACCTGTGGGCACAATGCAGACATGTTCACAGCGATACACACAGAGCATATCCCTGCAGGTCTGCAAATGTGGACACATGCCAGCATGCTATGCGTGCATGGGAGGCAAGCTCTCATGTGTGCACTCATGTTTGTATTCAGAGCATGCACATGCCTGCCATAGATAAGTTCTCTTACATGCATGTACATGTGTGTCCACTGGTACTCTTCAATAAGCAAACATATTTTCCCATTCAGGCATATATTCATACCCATTCACTAACATATGTGTGTCCCCAGAAACTCCCACTCAAATACATAGCACATATGTGTGCATACCCTCAAATGTACTTCTGTGCATGAACATACAACCCCATGCTCTCATTCTCAGTCATATGCCCATTTGTATGCACGCACAGGAAAGCAAATGTAACCTCAGGAACAGTCCATTACAAACTCCAAATTCAAACGCATGCTCCCATAGATGCATTTGTACATGTGAGGACATAGGTCTGTGTGTATGAACATAATATACACGATCAAGTACAAGCACCTAAACAAACAGCCATCCTCCAACAAATGCTCAGATCTGCACCAAGCACTCACACACATGCAATGGTATATGTGCATCTGCCTGTCTCCATGTAGGTTCCTCAACTTCCAGACAACGTGTCCTCAGGCATTAACCACCTCTGTCCACGTGCACCTTTAGGCAGGCCCAGCACAGTTCACTCATACCCATGCCCCATGTGCCTAACTCAACCCCACAGACAAGCACGCACATAGACACGTGCCTCCAAAGCCCATCTCCCACACGTGTGTGGAGTCAGATCCCTATCATGTGGATGCACACACACCCTCTCTGGGGCACAGCCTGCCCAACCCCAGATAGTCAGGTGTGCTGGGGACAGCAAGAATGATGCCCACACGCAGAAATCGCCAGTCACGCAGAATTGCATCTGCTGCAAACTTCTCATCTGCTGTGCAAATGATGATTAAATGTTATTGTGCAAGAGAAAACAGCAAGGAGGGATTCATTAGCTTTATTGTCAGGAAGGACTCCATGGGCTCCAGCTCCCAACTCCAAGGCTGGCTTAACCCCTTGTGTGCTGGGGGGGTGCCATGCCCAGACGTGGGATTGTGGAAAATGAAGGCCCCAGGGACAGAGATCCCAGTGCTGGGCCCACATGAGCCAACCTGGGTGCAGAGAGCACTGTACAGGGAGTCATAATGTGAGGGAGCCACTCCAACCTTGCCTCTCATTTGCGCGTGTCCCTGGACCCATCATTTCATTCATTCAGCAAATAATCACTCGTCCCTGCCATGTCCCCAGGAATCTAGAGCCACAGGGGCCATGTTCCCTCTGGGTGCATGGGCCTTCTCAGATAGAGAAGGACAGTCTCCCAGGAAAAGAGCTTAAGCAAAGGTTCGGGGGGCTTGGAGACAGCGGAAGCAGTGCAGGGCTTGTTCAGGGAACAAGGACCTAGACAGGTCAGTTGGGGGACAGATTGCAAAGGGCCCAGCAAAGCCTTCCAGAGAGCTCGGGTCTTTTTCTGACAACAGTGGGGAACCATGAAAAGTATATGGATAGGCTGGACAGATAAATTGCAGGGTGCCCAGTTAAATGCAAATTTCAGATAAATAAAAAATAATTTTTCTAGTATTAGTATTCTAAGTATTGCACAGGACATACTTATGCAAAATTACTTATATATTACTTATCTGGAATTTACATTTAACTGGGAATTTTGTATTTTTATTTGCTAAATCTGGCAACCCTATGTATAGATTTGCATTTTAGAAAGATTATCCTGGCTACTTGCCCAAGCTGGATTAGAGGATGAAAGAAATGAGAGGGAGACCAGTGAGGAAGGGAGGAGGTCACAGTCTCACTTTCTTCCTTAATCAGAGAAGCCCCAAATTTTAACCAAGCACATGGCCTTCTATTACAAGGGCCACATTTTCCAGCTTCCTTCACAGCTGTGTATGAACTGTGCATGAACTGAGTCCCAGCCAATACAACCTTAGAAGAATTGTCATGTAGCAGCTTCTGGGACACCTCTTTAAAAGGCTGCTGACTCATGCCCTTTGCCTCTTTTTTACTGTCCCTTTCTTCTTTCTGCTGGCTGAACACAGCTGAGATGGCTGGAGCTCAAGCAGCCACCTTGAGCCATGAGGACAAAGGTCATACCCTATGGATGGACTTGGTTCTTATCAACCTCATAGAGCTACCATACCAGCCCTGAACCTCTCCCATCTCCAGACTTGGCTCACATAAGAGACAAATAAACTTCCAACTTGTCAAAGTCTCTGTCACTTTGGTCTTTTGTCTCAAGCAGCCAAACCTCATTCTAGCTGATATGAAAGGCTGACACAGGACCCTCAGAGAGAGACATTGAGGCTTAAACTGGGTCAGTGGATCTGAGAAATAGTTTAGAAGAAAGAGCCAGCAGGAGTTGGCAATTGACCGCGTGTGGGGATGGTGGGTAGAGGAGGTCAAAGGCTTCAGCCTTTGAGTGACAAGGGCGGCAAAGCTGGTAATGAGCCAGAGAATCCAGGAGAAGCCTTGGTTCTGAGGTCAGGAGAGATCAGTTTGATTTTAGACATGCTGAGTTTGAGGGGCCTGCAGGCCACATGCACAAGATGTGGAAATGCAGGGCTGGAGCTCAGGAGGAGGAGCGGAGACTAAAGTGGTCTTTCTACTCACTGGTGTCTTCAGGAAAGCTGAAGCTGCAAGAGTAGGAGGCACAGGGACAGTGTGTAAAACGATGGGATCCGACAGTCAGGGGTGAGCCCTGTGGAGCACCAGAGGCAGGTGGAGGGAGAAGAGCCACTTGGACCTCCGTTTCTCCAGCTGTGAAATAGGGGCAGCTGAGAGGGGTAACCTAACAGATTCCTAAAGCTCCTTCCTGATCTGGCATTTGTGAATTTTAAGGTGTGATCTTAGACCATTTATTTATCCTCCCTGTGATTCCATTTCCCCTTTGGAAAATGAAGCCAAAATAGCAGCTACCCCATAGAGTTGTTCAGAGGAGGAAGTGGTCCCCCACTAAAGCACCTAGCTTAGCCCTGGCATACAGTAAGAACAAAATAAACAGCAGCTGTTAGGACATGGAAGAGGTGGCATGGTGTAGGGGGAAGGAGGGGTGAGGACAAATCCTCTTTCCCATCCCAAGCCCAGGAAGAGGTTGGAAACCTGGGAATCCTCACTGAGACCTTTAGTGGGCACCTCCTGTATGCAAGGACACAGAGCTATGCAGAGAGAAGAGAAAAATGGGGAGAAAATGTACTTACTTTTGAGAAGGTGATAAAGCCTGGCCTTGCCAGGACAGCTTGAAGGAAGGTGAGATCCGGGGACAGGGAAGGGCTGGGAGAGGGACAGGGGTGGGGTTATCTGAAAGGTCTCCCAAAGGAGGCTACTAAACTGAGGCCTCTAGGGAGGAGTGCTTCAGAGCAGACGGAGCGAAGAGGAGGCCACCGCTGATCACAACACACACATCTGTGAAATGGGTCCATAGGGAGCAGAAGGGCAGTGGGAGGAGAAGCCCTTGAGCACTTCACATCCCCTGGATTCATGTCCTAGGGCTGCTGTAATAAAGCACCATCAACTGAGTGGCTTAAACAACAGCACCAAATGATCTCCCAGGCCTGGAGGCTTGGAAGTCTGATATCCAGGTGCCAGCAGGGCGGTGAGAAAGAATCTGTTCCAGGCCTCTCTCCTAGGCTTACAAATGGCCATCTTCTCTCTGTGTCTCTTAACATCGTCTTCCCTCAACACATCTGTGTCTGGGTCCAAATTTCTCCTTTTTATTTATTTTTATTTATTTATTTATTTATTTATTTATTTATTGAGATGGAGTTTCACTCTTGTTGCCCAGGCTGGAGTGCACTGGCGCGACCTCGGCTCACTGCAACCT
The DNA here is from genome assembly GCF_000001405.40 of Homo sapiens. Classification (NCBI taxonomy): domain Eukaryota; kingdom Metazoa; phylum Chordata; class Mammalia; order Primates; family Hominidae; genus Homo; species Homo sapiens. Next base: position 46,165,502 of record NC_000020.11, on the reverse strand, counting down.
CCGCCTCCCAGGTTCAAGCGATCCTGCTGCCTCAGCCTCCCGAGTAGCTGGGATTACAAGTACCTGCCACCACGCCTGGCTAATTTTTGTGTTTTTAGTAGAGACAGGGTTTCGCTATTGGCTAGGCTTGTCTCAAACTCCTGACCTCAGGTGATCCACCTGCCTCGGCCTCCCAAAGTGCTGGGATTACAGGCGTGAGCCACCGTGCCTGGCCCAAATTTTCCCTTTTATAAGGACACAAGTCATATTGGATTAGCAGCCTATCCGACCCTAGGATAACCTCATCTTAGCCATGTACATCTGCAACGATCCTATTTCCAAACAAGGTCACGTTCTCATGTACAACTACTTCAGGAATTCAACATATGAATTTTAGGGGGACACAACTCAACCCATGGCATTCCCCATTCCAGGCTCAGCACCAGCTCACAGACCCCTCATCAGGCTCCCTAATGGGGAGTCTTCCCATTTTTTGTGGAAGCTTGTACTCAGGTGTGGTCAGAGGGAGGAGGCCTTGGAATTCTGATCACCAGCTGGGATGGGGATGGGATGGAGAACAGTTTTCTCCCTACCTCTTCCCTCCTAACCACTGATTCACTGAGACCCTCACATTTAACCACACACACACACACACACACACACACACACTACTCAGAGAAAACCAGAGACCCACGTATATATGTGAAGTCTCACACAAGGACACACACACTCAAAGCAGAACCCTCACACACAAAGACACATGCAGAGTCATATACATAGACACACATGCTCACAGACATGGAGATATGCATTGACGCAGACCACAACTCACACACATTCCCAGACACACAGATGCATGCTAGCACACCCACGCAGGCACAATGACAGCCACATAGAAGGATGCACAGGGACACATCTGCGTTCTCATAATCACACACACAACACAGACATGCTTGTTTGCATTCTCATGGGCAAATACACCCGCCCACAAAGATGCAAAACACACAGTCACAGGCATTCACGAGCACGCAGCCTCACACAGATACATGAGGCCGCTTGCATACACAGGGCTTCTTAATCCCGTTGTGGTTGTCAGATCCTGGCATCCATGCACCATCCCCCTGGCCTCACAGCTCACTGCTTACTCTCTGGTAATTGGAGGCAATTTAATCCCCATCCCACCCAGCCAATCACAGGCCCCACAGAGCAGGCAACCATCAAAATGCCCCACCACAAGGGCAATGAGGCAGAGAGCCTTCTCCCAACTCCAGTTTCCCCTTCCACCTTTGCTGTTGAGATGGAATTTATAAACCTAGACAACCACACACACACACACACACACACACACATACAATCAAATACTATTCACAGAACCATACACAATTGTCCACACACACAACTACACATATGGGCACAGGAAGATCATGTACACACATGTACGCCATAGAAAAGACTGCAAGAGATAGATGGTGTCTATCTATACAGGTACACGCAGTCTCACGGTCAGTTAGTGAAAATGTGTGTACACCATGCAAGCAGTTCTACTAATGAGTGTAGACTCACGGAGAACATGATGGAGATGGAGATGAAGAACACACATACAACAGCCACACACAGATCTCCAGCTGTGCTTAGTGAACTCCCTCCCAGGGTGTCTGAGCCTTTGTGCACACCGAAGAGGAAGTGTACAGGCACAGAGACATTGCCACATGTGCACACATGCATGCACACATCACACGCACAGGACCCCTCAAAGCCCACTCCGTGTCCCCACAGAGGCCCATGGTCCTCACCTGCTGAACCCAGAGATGGCCCAGTTCCCCAGGCTGATTTCCCAGGGGAAGGGGGGGGGGCCACAGCCCCACCTGTCAACCTGCTATTTGTCACTCCATCACGGCCAGTGCGCTGACATTCAGAGCCCAGCACTGAGATGATCACATTTAGCTGTAATGTACCACAGACTGCACTGACATTTGGAAAATATTCCACCTCGGGACCCATTTGACTTCAAACTTTTTCCTGGAAGAGGAGAGAAGCAGCAGCAAGGACCTGCAATATTCTCAGCTTCCCAGGAGCTGAGAATCTGGGCCTCACCTGCCAAAGACCCGGGTATCCTGGCTGCTCCTTCTGCAGCTACCTGGAGACAGGGGGATGAGGAAGAGGAGTAGAGGCTCCCAAGGATGAAGTTCCGTATCATACATCAAGTCTTTACAGAAGATTCATTGGGAGTCCCCCATGTTTGGGGCCTGGCGATATCCACCTGCTGTCAATGGCACACCCACTAAGCGCCAGGCCTTGCTTTCAGCATGTCACATACAAGATCTCATTTGGCAATGGTAATGTGAGCTAGGAACTGTTATCATCCCATGTGAACAATGAAATCTCAGAGAGGTAAAGTGACTTGCCCAAGGTCACCAAGCTAGGAAGGAGTAGAGCTGAGATTTAACCCCAAGTCTGTCTGGCTCCGGAACCTGCCCTTTTTGCACTCCACAAAATGTGTCGCAGAGTCAGGCAAATGCTGACTCCTTCCCCGGGGCCACTCACCACCTTTTCTCTTCTCCCTTTCCCCTCTCAGGCTTCCTTTCTCTCCTCTCATTTCCCATCCTCTCTGCCTCAGTAAGCAGGACTAGTGCTTAGTCTGGGATAGCTTCCTGCAAGGGAAGAGGAGGGGATGGATGAGCAGCACCTGGAAGTCCGGAAGACTGGATGGATAGGATTAGCATCTGCAGAATCAATGTGCAAACCTCGCAGAAAAGACTCTGGAAAATACTGCATTTTAGAATGGAATGGTTGGACTCTTCCTACGTGACAGCTGCAGAGACCCCGGGCTTGGATGCAGGAGACTTGCCTGTAGTGGCCCAGCCCTCCCTGAAGTTGTGCCCACCCAAGATCCAGGCAACAAGGCTATCAGGGTAATCTAATGGCAGCCAGGGACGCCTCCACCCATTCCCCAAAAGAGGAGCTACAGAGAATCCTGCTGAACTAAATGGACTGGGCAATAATAGTGAAAATGTAGACGGAGTGCTAGAGAGTGAGGAAAAGGATATTTCGAAGGCATGGTGAAAATGACATGGCCCCAGCTAATCCAAAAAGAGATAGAAGAGGTAGGAAGGCTGTCCAGATTTCTTATGAGCTGATTAATCTCCTCAAATAAGTCAGAGTCCAACTTCCCAAAAGGCAAAAGAAAGTTAGGTTAATCTACTCTAAATGATTCCTGAGCTTCTCAGGGTGGCAATCAATACCCACACACACTCTCTCTCTCCTCTCTCTCTTCATGAGTAATTCTCAGTAATTACAAGAAAGAGGGTTTTGTGGAAAATGACATTCTAGCTGCAGAGAGAAGCCCAGGCAAAAGAATAAATTGGCCTCCAGTGGGAAGCCAGCCCTTTCAGTGGGGGAGGCTGTGGGACGGCCACCATCATATAATGTCTTGGGCCACAGAGTCCACCATAGGTCTGTCTGCCTGCAAGAGCTTTGAGTGGAAGAAGAAAGGCCAAATGTGGAGGATGAACCAAGATCTCCCACAGAAGCAAAAGGTTTCTACCCACTAGCACCCATCCTTGATGCCCTAGGAGTGACAGTGTCTGTAACTGATGTGCTTGAAGCATATCAATACTTAACACTAATACGTCAAGGATACCATCATCGATGAAAGGATGCTATCATTGATGAAAGGATACTATCATCGTTGAAAGGATACCAATATTGCTGAAAGGATACCAATATTGCTGAAAGGATACCATCACTGATGAAAGTCATCAGTGATGACTTTGGGGGCACCGTAAGCACTCATCACCAGCCTTAGGGCTCCATCACCTTTATTCTCAGGAGTACCCATCAGTGCCCATCCTGAAGGCTGGAGGGGCATCCTCCTGATGCCCCTGAGTAGAGGAACCTTATATTTCTTGATCATCATTGTATAGCCACTAGCCATGGTGGCTGGCACATAACAGAAGCACAGTAAACATCTGTTGAGTAAATGAATGAGTGAGTGAATGTTCTTGGGAAGGATGGACACCTCTTCTTGGTCCTGTCTACCACCCTGTCCTCAGGGCCTTACACAGTGCAATGCATAGCCAAGGAGAGGGCTCCATAAACATCTGTTGATGTGTGGGAGGGCGGGTGGGGGAATGGTGGATGCACACGTGATGCAGGATGCACACATGGAAGGAAGAAAGGAGGCCTTTGGAGCACAGTCACTGCCCCTCTGTAATGCCAGGGAATCTGCCTCTGAGACCACAGAGCTCAGCACAAAGGAATGCCAAAAGGGAAGAGAAATCTGCCTCCCGCACCATCCCTAGGGGTCTGGGCCCCCATGTGGCTAGATGGTTTTGGTCGATTCTCCCCTTTGCAGTGGGGATGAGGGTAGGAATGGAGGCAGGCAGAGGCAAGGAGAGTCTCTCACCTCCTGGACCTGCTCTCCCCACTCGCATCCCACTTCAATCCGAACACAATTTTCCAGAATGTCCCTAGGTTCTGGAGGGAAAGCTCATTACCTGTGATCTGCCTATAAAAATGTCAAGAGCTGCCTGGCAGCTGGAGAGCCAGTTGCCATCAACTCAGCCTGGCAGTGGCTGCGGGAGTCAGCCTGGCCTCTCTGCAGCCACCAGCTTCATGCAGACCCAGCCGTGACCTCTGGGAGAGCTGACCACCCCGTGACACTTCCAGAGGGTCCCTCTCAGGATGGGGAATGCTCAGCCTACCTGCCGTTTATTCAGCCCTCACCGTGTGTCACTCATTCCCTGTGCCACTGAATGCACATCCTCAGGACAACCCTGGGGGTCAGGTCCAATCACTAAGGAGCTCTGTTGCACAGTTGTGGAAACTGAGGCTCAGAGAGGTGGGAGACAAGCTGCCTAAGGTCACACAGTGAGCATGTGGCAGAGGCAGCCCTCTAATCCAGGTTGATCTGTCTGCAGGGCCTGGTCCTATGGAAGGCTGTTCACAGCCCATGCCACCAAGGTCAGCATTGTCATGCAGCAGCTTGGGATAGGAGCAGCCTCACTGCAGGCAGGGTGACCAGATGGCAACAGGGAGCACCCCTATCTCAGTGACCTCTATTCTCTGACCTCTGCCAATCACCTGGCTGCCTCCAAGATGTCCCCATCCCATGGGATCTGTACCTCAAGTCAGAAGGCAGAGATGAGGGCACCTGGCTGGAGAGCCTGCTAGCCCATAGCACATCTTCATGTGAATTAGAAGTCACTCGTCATCCAGATGAGGGCCTGGAGGCTTTGTGCAGTGGGCAGCCTGCACCACCGGGTTGGCAGCCCTACCCTTGCTCTGAGACCAAGTTCTGCTCTTAAATCACGGAACCTTGGAACTGCAGTTCTGGAAACATTATGGAATCGATCGGTGTTTTCCCTGTCTCAGCCATTCAAATACCATATTCATGATTTCTGCTCTATCCAAGTACAACCTGAACTATTATTTACTTAATGTTTTTCTTCCCCCAACAACCTCCTTTTTAAGCTTAGTTTTATTTTGAAAGCAAAACTTCCATCAGTACATTAAGTGGAAAAACAGTAACACAGAACATAGACGGTGATGTAAAAATAAGCACACTAAACAGGGCTACTGATGCCGGGTCTGATAACATTGCCTGCAGAAGGCTTCAGTCTGGGTCTATACTCTCTTTATTACAGAGGAAGATTACTGAGTATTAGAGAAGTGATAAAGACATGCGATCCCCAAACCCAACTTTCCCTTTGACATAATCGAAAGACTGAAAGAGGACTGAGGAGGAACCACATTTCTCACTAGGTGACAGTTCAGTGTTATTTAATGCCATGTAGGGATTGTCAGGGACGTGCAAACCACACACTTGTCAGCACTAGCATTGATGCTGTCAGGGTTTCCTCAAGGTCGCCCGCCTGGCCACTGCATCAGTCCAATGCAAGAGCTGAAGACTCTCTGCTTGGTTCTTTCACTATTTGCTGTGTGTCCTTGGGCAAGTCCCTTCCCCTCCCTGTGCCCCAGCTGGACAGTATATTCTGTGTGAATGCTTTGGCTCTGATGTTCTAGGATTCTGAAATCTTAAAGGGATGATTATGTCATCTAGGATCTGGATCAGCAAACTTTTTCTGCAAAGGGCAAGAGAGTGAGTATTTTCCAGCTTTGAGAGCCACACAGTCTCTGGTAACTATGCATCTGTCACCATAGCATGAAAGCAGCCACAGACAAGAAGTAAAAGTGGATGTGGATGTGCTGTGTTCCAATAAAACTTTATTGGCAAAATAGGCAAGGTGCAGCCCATAGGTGGGACTTTGTCAATGTCAACCCCTGGTCAAGGTCTAGGGGGATGAAAGATGGCCCAAGGTTGGGGTAAATTTCCACCAAAACCAGATCTGTGATGAGTCAGGCGTTGGTCTCCTATGAGACCCCAGTCTCCCCTCCAGGAAGTGATTCTTCCTCGCTGCCTCCCAGGCAGTCAATATCTGCCTGTTCTCTCTCTGCTCTGCTTTCAAAACTTATTCAAAGTAAAAGATCTAAGTCATACTTTGAGGTAAAAATGATGGACTCCCTCATAGCTGGCAGCATCCCCCCATCTCAGTCTGGTGTAGCTGAGACACACACAACCTTCTGGAGATGGACAGATTTGTAGTGGAAATCTCTCTCCTCCACGTGCACAGGCCCTTTCACCCCCTGCACCTATTTCTTCAACTATGAAACAAGAACTGATATGGACCCACCCCTAGGAGGTTAATTGCAAGGATTAAAGAGTTAATCTCTACAAAGCACCCAGCAAGTAGCTGGTGTGTCATAAACCCAGGACACCTGACCTGTTGTTATTATGAATAACAACACTGACAGCCCGAAGCGGGCCCCCTTGGACCCTGGCCCCCTTGGCCCACCTCCCACTGCACAGCCCTGCCTGCCGTCCAGCAAGGCTTTCCCACAGCATGTCTGCTGCCCGAATCACTGCCTTTGGTTTCTTGGAAGGCAGCTTTAGGGTTTTGTGATTTTTTTTTATTTTTAGCTTGATTTTAAATCCTAGTTTATTCTTAGCACTTTAAGAGAGGAAGTGAAGATTTGGGAGGCAGGCTGGGTCCTTCCTGACGTTTGGTTTTCCTGTTCTTCCACTTCTATTTCCCCCTCCACCCGGCCCACCTCTATGGCATAACTTGTTTCTTCCCGCAGAAGAGGTGGCACTGGTGGCACTCTTCCCTCCCCTGGGTTGGGGTAAGGGGATGGAGTCAATGATGGTGACTTGGGGCCTAGGCACTTTCCCCTGTCCTCCTGCTAACCGCCTATCCCAGCCCTAGTCAGGATCCTTCTGGGGCCTCCTCTTCCCATCCCCAAGCCTTGGGCTTAGGGCACTGGGCCAAGGGTTCCCCCGAAACTCTGCCATTTCCTAACTGTGGGTCTTGGGCACAGCAGTAAAGCTCTCATGACCTCTGTTTCTTCTTCTGCAAAACAGGTATAGAAGTTCCATCTTGCAGGAGTGTAGGAGGCCCCACAGAGACAACCAAGGAGTGGGGGCTTTGTGAGTGCTCTGCACGCATGGTAGGGGGTGGGGGTGTCTTGGTGACCACTGTCTGGCTGGAAGAGGGTCTGGCTGTCTCCCAGGGGCCGCTGGGTCCAGGTGGAAACAGGCAGAGAGGCTTTCCCAGCTGGGTGTTTCAAGCTCAGGCTCTGGAAATGTTGCAGCTGCCAATCTGCTACGACCCAGCTGGGACCCACTGACAGCATCTTAATTTCTGCCCAAGCTCTTTTCCAAACGGGCTGCTAATTAGGGCTAATGGGCAGCTCTCCCTGCTGGCTCCCACTGCCTCTTCCTCCCCCTGCATTAAAGCAGGCCACTGAGCAGGGCCCCTGGGCATATGCCCCAGGCCCCCATTGGCGGGTCGGTCCTCTGGGTTAAGCATTGCTCTCCAAAATCTCTCGGCAGGGGTGAGCTTTTTTGTTGTTTTTTTCCCTGACAAATGCGGGAGATGGGGGGACTAATATTCACCCAGGGCAAGCAGTTGGTCATTCAGTGGCCATGTACCCACTTCCTACTTATGCCAGGCCCTTGGGAGGCACTGAGGACGTGCAAATAAGCTGAACCAGAAGCTAGACATTCCTGGATTCAAATCTTAGCTTAACCTTGTTCTCACTGTGTGACCTTGAGCAAGTTACTTAACCTCTCTGAAGCCAGGTCTCTACGTTTGTGAAACAGTTCCAACCTCATAGGGTAGCTCTATGATAAGAATGAAATGAGATATGGCGGGCTGAACAGTGTCCAGCACCACAGCCATGAAACTGGCCGAGGTCAGGGAGTCATAATGGGCCTTGAATGCCATCTGGAGAAGCGGGACCTTCATGTCGAGGGAGGAGTAAACAGTAACTACTATCTGATCATGTTTATTTCTGCTCAACACTTATTAAGCACCTCCTAGGTCCTGAGAATATAAGAGCTACACCTACACAGCACTTACTGTATACCAGGCACTATGCTAAGAGCTTTACATACACTGATTCAACCCTCAAAACAAGCCCACAAGGTGGGTACAATCATTATCCCCATTTTATTTATTTTATTTTATTTTATTTTTGAGACAAAGAGTCTCACTCTGTTGCCCAGGCTGGAGTGTAGTGGCATGATCTCGGCTCACTGCAACCTCTACCTCCCAGGTTCAAGCAATTCTCCTGCCTCAACCTCCCGAGTCACTGGGACTACAGGCATGCGCTATTACACCAGGCTAATTTTTTATATTTTTTTGTAGACACGGGGGTCACTATGTTGACCAGGCTGGTCTCAAACTCCTGACCTCAAGTGATCCGCCTTTCTCAGCCTCCCAAAGTGCTGGGATTACAGGCGTGAGCCACCGCGCCCAGCCTATCCCCATTTTATAGATACAGAAACTGACACACAGAAAGATCTAGTAACTTCCCCATGATTACTCAGTATTTAATTATCCACTGCTGGCCAGGCGCGGTGGCTCACACCTGTAATCCCAGCACTTTGTAAGCCCGAGGTGGGCAGATCACGAGGTCAGGAGTTTGAGACCAGGCTGACCAACAGGGTGAAAAGCTGTCTCTACTAAAAATACAAAAATTAGCCGTACGTGGTGGCACACGCCTGTAATCCCAGCTGCTTAGGAGGCTGAGGCAGGAGAATCGCTTAAACCCGGGAGGCAGAGGTTGCAGTGAGCAGAGATCACACCACTGCACTCCACCTGAGCGAGACTCCATCTCAAAACAAACAAACAAACAAACGAACAATAAAACATTTGTTATCTCACAGTTTCTGCAGGCCAGGAACCCATGTGGAGTTTAGCCGGTGCCTGTAGAGCTGGAGATATCACCTCCTTGCCACGTGGGCCTCTCCATGGGGCAGTTCACAACATAGCAGCTGGCTGCCCTCAAGACAGCAAGCAAGAGAGGGTGCGCAAGATGGAAAGAAGCCACAATCTTTTTATAACCTAATCTCAGAAGTGACATCCTATTACTTTTGCTATGTTGTATTATTAGAGGCAGGTCACTAGGTCCAGCTCAAAGTCTAGGGGAGGGGGTCTGCACTAAGGCAAGAATACCAGATGCCACAACCCCATCGGGAACCATCTTAGAGGGCAGCTACTATGGCCGGTAAATAGCAGAGTTGGCATATGAATCCAGGCAGGCTGGCTCCAGAACCTATCTTCTTAATTCAGAATCTGGTTCATATTCCAGTTCTGCAATTGTTGCCTAAATGATGAGAAACTAGATACCATTCCTGCCTTCCTGAAGCTCTCCATCTACAAAAGGTAACAGAAAGGTAAGAAGGCAAAGTGGAAAGTGTCACAACGGAGAAAGGCAAAAAGGAGGTTACACAGGAGGGCTTCCTGGAGGAGGTAATGCCTGACTGAGACACAAAAGACAAGGTGGAGTTGACCAAGCAAAGAAGGGTATGAAAGAGAATTTGGCAACCAGAACAATTTGTGCAGGGCTGGAAGCCTGGTGCTTCGTGTGAAGGCCAATGTGTGTGTAGGATGAAGGGAACTGAGGTGGATAGAGAGAGTGCTGGAGAGGTGAACAGAGGCCAGGTCATAAAGGGGCAGGAAAAGGAACTTGGATATTATTCCAAAGAACTAAGGAGTCAGGGAAGGTTGTCCACAGTAGGATTCGTGTTTTTAAGATTATCTTGAATGGCATAAATAGAAGAGAGTGACTGGGGAACAAAAATGGGAGTGAGGAAGCTCTTCTTCCCTTTATTCATTCATTCAGGTAATGCACATTTTGCAAGGACCAACTATGCATATTGTTCTAGTCACTGGGGATACAGCAATAAATAACACAAGGCTGTTCTCTCGGAAGTTACATTCCAGCGGGAGAGAAAAAGAAATTTGAAAAACTAATACATAAAAAAGGAAAATTATCAGAGTAATAGGTACTATTGAAAAAAAAAACAGCAAAACAAGGTAGCAAAAAACCAAAAGGGGCACTTTCAACTGGGTGGTTGGGGAAGGCAACATTGACCTTAAACTTGAATGAAAAGAAAGAGCTGACCCTGCAAACACAGCATTCCAGAGATAAAGCCAGTGCAAAGGGCCTGAGGTGCAGCGAGCCTGGGTGGGGGCACTCCAGGCAAGAGGGAGAAGGACAGGAAATGAGGTTGGAGAGGAAGAAACAAGCCAGAAAAAAAGGATGTCATCTGATGCTGAGCCATAGCATCCAGGAAGAGAGATGGGACTGCTGAAGAGTGATATTAAGAAGGCATAACCCACTGGCCTTGGGTAAGCACATTGGAGTAATGATGCGGGGCCCAGTGGACCAGGGGAGCCACAGCAAGTGAGGGAGAGAGGAGACACTGACCCAGCCCTGGCCCACTTTGCAGACAGGCCTCCTCCCCACAGGCCCAACTGCACATTAACACTCATGTTGGAGGCAGACCCAGGTGAAGGCAACCAGTTAGGCAGCGGCAACCAGTTAGGCAGCATTTGCATATTTGTTTTGCATAAAAAGTTATGGATGTACAAAGACGGATAATTAATTACCCAGCATATTTTCCCTCCGCTCCCTCCTCTCCTCCTCACATTACCACCATGGCCCCAATCGCTTTCCTCTCCTTCTGGCTGAGTCAACAGAATCCCTGCCTCTTCTTCCAAAGGGGGGCACGGGCCCAATAAATATGTGCTTATTAAGTGTGTATTGTGGCCAGTCAGGCCTGCACAAGCAGCAATCTAAGACTGTTCTGCCTGAAGGATTTATGCCAGTACCTAGGGCCACTTTAGCTATTTATTTTTGCAGAGAAATTAAATTAGATAGTTTGATAGCTTTCAGTGTAATTACGAAAGAAATTTACATGAGTTGTTGATGGGAAGGGGGATCATTAGGCACCCGAACCCCAAGGGTGTCCACGGGGTGGGCCTCCCCTTATATCCTCCCCAGCTACTACAAGGGAGTGGGGAGGTGTCCCTCTCAGGGAGAGCCAGAGGGGTGGAAATTCAAATTGCTGGAGCCTGAGCCCCAAGGCAGCGGGAGGTAGTCTGTCTGTGTCAGCAATGAGCTTGGAGCATGGTAAGTGCTCAGCAAATGCTCAGCATGGATGCAGGGATGAATGGATGCTTGGTTCACGAAACAAGGGGTTTCGCCTCTCTGAGCCTCAGTTTCCCCATCTGTCATAATGCCTCCCTCCCCAAGTTGTTCTGAGAATTAAATGAGATAACGTAAGCATAATGCTCCCTAGCCGTAAGCTTCATTTATTGAGCACTTACTGTACGTCAGGAACGATTCCAAATACCATATTGAACCCTTATAACCGTTTTAAGTGGATATCAGTACTTTAATGGATGAGAAAAGTGAGAGTTGACCACCTCGTTACCCCAGCATCCAGGTTTTAAAGCAGGCAGCCAGGCTGAGCTCAGCCTCCAATCAAAAGCTGGTCAACCACCTTAGCTTTCTTTGGGGTAGGCAGCGAGGCTCTTTCCCTTGCATTTCAGAGTTAGAGCCCTACTTACTGCCTTCTCCCACCCCTACGTGTAGCCAGGGAAACCAAGGCCCAGAAACGAAGAGCATGAAGAGCGTCGTGCCAGCGTCCCGCTGCGCGAGCCTGGGCTGGAACCCGGGTTCTGCGCCGCCTCCGCGCTCCCTTGCTGCGCTCACCTCTCCATGGGCCGGATAATTAGCGGTGGCTGATTAGCAATTATTGCGGCCCCCCGCGGGGCAGAGGAGGAAGCCCGCCTCTGGGCTGGGCCTCGGGGTGGGGGACAGGGCGATGAGGCACGGAGAGCCCCTGTCTTCCCCTCAGTCCCTGGCCCGCCCGCCGGTCCTGGACAAGGCAGGCTGCAGAGGGCAGTACGGCGAGGGCCCAGGGACACGCCAGGAACCCAGGGCCAGGGCAAACGCACTTTAATCCAAAATCAGGAAACTGAGGCTGAGTTGAGGGGGCCTCTGGGGTGAGATGGCCTGACTTCTAATCCGGGCTCTGCCATTAAATCTGGCTCCGTGGCCTTGGGAGTTACTAATCCTCTCTGAGCCTCAGTTTCTTCACCCATAAAATGGGAAGATCATAATAGTTCCTTCCAGACCAAGCACTACAGTTCACACCTGTAATCCTAGGGCTTTGGGAGGCCTAGGCAGGAGGCTGTCTTGAGGCCAGGAGTTTGAGACCAGCCTGGGCAACATAGCGAGACCCCTGTCTCTAAAAATAAAAATTAGGCAGGCTTGGTGGCATGGGCCTGTAGTCCTAGCTGCTCAGGATACTGAAGCAGGAGGATTGTTTGACCCCAGGAGTTCAAGGCTGCAGTGAGCTACAGTTGCACCACTGCACTCCAGGCCTGGGTGGCAGTGAGACCCTGTCTCAATAATATAATAATAACGATAGTTCCTTCCTCTTTGGGTTGTTATGAGCACAAAATAAGACTCTGCAGGTAGCATGTCTGACAGGACTTAAGTACTCAAGAAGCATTGTTTGGCCAGGGGCGGTGGCTCACGCTTATAATCCCAGCACTTTGGGAGGCCGGGGCAGGCAGATCACTTGAGGTCGGGAGCTCGAGACCAGCCAGGCCAACATGATGAAACCCCATCTCTACTAAAAATACAAAAATTAGCCAGGCATGGTGGCACACGCCTGCAATACCAGCTACTCGGGAGGCTGAGGCACAAGAATTGCTTGAAGTCGGGAGGCAGAGGTTGCAGTGAGCCGACATCATGTGACTGCACTCCCGCCTGGGTGACAGAGTGAGACTCCGTCTCAAAAAAAAAAAAGAAGCATTATTATTATTACCAAAATCCCTGAAAGTGGGGGAAGCCGCTAACTGGCTTTCTAACCTGCGGCTGGATGACCCATGGATGGATGGATGCAAGAGAAGCTCTCCTGTGGGGGCCTAGGAGCAGCTCGAGGCAGCCCTGCTTTCCCCCGCTTTGGGAGCCCCCCAGATCTTGGAGGTGAGTGAGGACAAAACACTGGGTATTGATCTGCTGGCTGTGCCAGGAGTACTGGGTCCTAGGTGAAGTCATTCAGATGAATCCCATCTCCAGGTGAGGAAACAGGCGCAGCCAGCAGGGGGCCTCGCACAGATCAGAAATTGTGCCCTGGGCCCCTCTGACCCCATGACCCCTAGGAGTAGGCAGGGGCCAGGCTGAAGCTCCTTTTTCGTGATGGAAAGTCACTTGGGCCCTAGGGGCCAGTCCCAGGCCCCACCAAGGTCCCACCAAGGTCCCGCCGAGGCCCCACCAAGGTTGGGAACCGGGCTAAATGGAGCAGGGAGGATTGAATGGAGGACGCCAGCCAGGGAATCCTAGAGAGGACACCAGACAAGATTCAATTAAAATGCCAGCCTTGGTGAGTTCCCCATTTTAATTTTCAACAAATTAGCTTATAAAGGGGGGGATGGAAATGAAGATATTAGATTTTTTTTTAGAGCCAAAAGGGAAAATCTTTTGAGGATTATATTCCTTATTTCTTTTTAAAAAATAAAATAAAATCACTCTTAGCCAGAGGATTTGGGGGATTTTCGGGCTCTACCCCCCTTGGAGGTGATTTTCAGGACCTGCCTGTTACGTGCAGGATGGTAACGGCTTTATAACAGAGAGCGCCGTCTCCTGAGCCAGCACGCACTGTGCGCCTTCCTCACCAACCCTCAGGTCAGCATCATTGTACCTGTTTACACGTACCTGAGGCCCAGAGAGATGAAGTGATTTGTCTGAGGTCACACAGCTAGGAAGTGGTAGAGCCCAGTTCCAGCACGCATGTGTTTCCCACTGCAGCCTGGCTCTTGTTCAGCCGAAGACCCTGGTCCAAGCCTCGTCCTCACTCCCTGGTCCCCATCACCCCTCTCCAGGAAACTGCAGTGTTGAGAATGGAGAGACAAATAGACTCCAGCCTGCCTGCTGCATCCTGCAGGACCCGCCGGAGGCCATTAGTATTCCAGAGGCCCCACAGACTTCCTGGCCTTCACCCAAGGTGGGGTAGGCCCCCCCTCCTGGCTTCTCCAGTGATTTCTGACACCACCACCACCACCCCCAATGCAGGAGCTGAGTCTTGGTCTGCCCTTAGGTAACCTAAGCCTGGGATCCAGACCATCCATCTCTGTCTTCTGGCAAAGGCCAGCCCCTGCCCTTTCCCCCAAGTGACTGGCCCTGGCAGCCAGTGCTCTTGGTCTCACCGCAATGTCCTCCACTCCCATACCCCCACCCCATCCTCCTGTCTACTGAAAATAATTCGTTTTGCCAGTGTGGAAATAATACAAGCTTAGATTCAGCAACAGCATACCCTCCCCAGCGTGCCACCTAGGCAACAGCCCCCCACCCCCGCCACCGAACTCCAAATCCCAAGGGCATTCCCAAGCTCTGCTCCAAGACCTGGGGCAGCATCCTGGCAGATACAAAGCTCCCACTCTTCTGGGCTGTGTGCTCTTGGGCAAGTGGCTTAACCTCCTTGTGCCTCCATTTCCTCATCTGCAAAGTGGGTATTATAAAAATCTAGCCTGAAAGGTTGTGGTAAGAGTTCAATGAAAGCACAGACTTGCCAGGCCCTGGTACAACAGAGGATGCTTGGCAAATGTTACCCTTTCCCTCCAAAAACTGGAGGCAAAGGACCTAGTTGGGATGGAACTCTACATGGGAAGAGGTAAGGGAGGGCTGAAAGAATGAGACAAAGCTCCCATGCCAGGCGTAGTGGCTCAAGCCTGTAATCCCAGCACTTTGGGAGGCCGAGGTGGGTGGATCACCTGAGGTCAGGAGTTCAAGACCAGCTGGCCAACATGGTGAAACCCTGTCTCTACTAAAAATAGAAAAATTAGCCAGGTGTGGTGGTGTGCACCTGTAATCCCAGCTTCCCAGGAGGATGAGGCAGGAGGTATCGCTTCAACCGGGGAGGCGGAGGTTGCAGTGGGCCAAGATTGTGCCGCTGCACTCCAGCCTGGGCAACAGAGCGAGACTCCGACTCAAAAAAAAAAAGGGCTTCTGGTACTGGAGTCCATTGAAGCATCGGGGAGCCCAGGGACAGATAAAAATGTCTCCGCCGCCTTCCTGGCCCCGTAGAAAGAGCTTAGAGTCACAGGGCAGGTGCGCAAGGGCAGACCTCAAACTTCCCAGATCAGTGGTGTTGCAGCAGCTTCCCTGCACAAGGACCGGAGCCTGGGACTGGAGGTGCCAGATCCTCAAGGCTTGGTATGAGCTTGTTGAGGGGGTAACTCTCAGATGCTGCTGGTAGCTAGAGGGCTGGAGTCTAGCTTGGGCAGCTAACTGAATCTGGGGTTATGCCAGATCTGTGTGTGAGCAGAGGTTTGGGGGATGTCTGCACTAGAGAATGAACCCTGAATTTGGGGCTGGCTCTTGTAAAGCTCCAACCTCAAGATTCGGCAGATCTATTAGGTGGGTGCAAAAGTGAATGTGGTTGTTGCCATTCCTTCCAATGGCAAAAATCGCATGGATGCTGTGAAAGCTGAGATGGACCGCAAGCCCGTCTATGAGCCCACGCCTGCGAGAGATCAGAATTTGAGGTAAGCCATGAATTTGGAGCGCCCTCACAGTGAACCTCAAAATCTTGGAGTATCTGTGAGCTTATGTACGGGGGTCATCTGAATCTGGATGTGAACTCACATCCAAGGAATGGGGTCTGTTTGGGAACCCAGTTTATGGGGGCCACACCAGTCCTAGAGGTGTGTTTGGGAAGGACGCGGGCCTCTCAGGGCAGTAAGGAGTGACTCTATGGCAGATCCCGAGCAGCTAGTGAAGACCCAGTTCCCCATCGTTTTGATCATCCTGCACCCCTCTTTCAATGCACACAGTCCTCATAACCTTGGTCTCACCACTGCCCACCATCCTGTCCTCCCACCCCCAGGTCTACTCTGAATTGCTACCTCTCAGGGAATTACAGTTGCTGAACTCCAAGTCTCAGGTGCGCTCACATTCCTTCCCTGGGGCAAGAAGAGTCAAGGGATGAGGGGAGAAAGAGCCCGCCATTCCCTCCTCCTCCGACAGCGTAAATCCTCCCCAAATCGCCCTTCAGGGCCCAGGAAAAGCAGATCCGATTCTTGGGGAGCTTGGAGGCCTGCTGCCTTATCTAAGTCTCTGGAACAAGCATTTTGCATTTATTTCCCCAAATGTGTTGCCGAATTGCGTTCCAGCCCATGGCTCCCAGCCATCTGCAGAGAGAAATCCAGTTAGACCTTGTATAATAAGTTCCTGACAATCTTGCTGAGGATGCTGGGTCATAAAAGTCTCCTGGTTTTATCGCCGGTAACAGACACGGAGTGAAATTGAGTTGTCTTATCAAATTTAGATAATATATATCCCTCTAGAGTAGCAGGCTCTGCATGGGGCTTTCATGGTATGAGCCCAGGAGGGGGATAGGGAGTGGCAGAGTGTTCCTGGGGATGTGGCTCAGGGTGGGGGCCGTCCTGGAAAGCCTGGCAGGACTGACAGGCAGCAGGGTAGGGTTACTAGCATCCCAGGTTTCGATGTCAACAAGACCTGGATTACAAACCTGTGTCTATCATTCCCATGCTGAGTGAACTTGGAAAATTTACTTTACTGCTGAGGGCCTTGGTTTCCTCATCTGTAAAGCAGGCAGATGCCTGCCCCCTTGATTATTGTGAAATGTAAACAAGATGCTACATGCAACAGGCTTAGCCCAGTGCTTGGCATGTAGTGAGCACTCAATACATGTTGTCTGTGGACTGGACATGGCAGCTCACACCTGTAATCCCAAGGCAGGAGGATCGCTTGAGGGCAGGCAGGAGGATCGCTTGAGGCCAGGAGTTTGAGACCAGCCTGCACAACACAGGGAGACTCTGTTACTACCAAAAAATAAAAATACAAAATTAGCCAGGCATGGTGGCCTGTGCCTATAGTCCCAGTTACTAGGGAGGCTAAGGCAGGAGGATCACCTGAGTCCAGGAGGTCAAGGCTGCAGTGAGCTATGATCACACCACTGCACTCCAGCCTGGGTGATACAGCAAGACCTGTCTTAAAAAAAAAAAAAAAAACTCTGTAATTTGGGAATGGGAGAAAAATACTCTCTGGTCCATTCTCTTCCCATTTTACCGGTGGAGAAACTGAAGCTCAGAGAGGGAGTGGACATGGATGGTGGTCACACAGGCAGGCGGGGTTCTCAGTCTCTGCTTCAGGGCTGAGCAATCCCAACTGACTGCCCCCGCAATCAGGCCTTCTGCAAGAGGCTGGAAGTTGCCCTTTCCTGCCTCTGCTTAAAGTCCTGCCATCCAGTGCCTTGCCCAGGAAATGGACATACACGGTAGGAAGCCTGGGTCCCTTGGCTCCAGGAATGGACTCTCAGGACATTGCCAGTGCCGGGCTTCTCTAGGGCTCCCCAGCTGGTCCTGGGAAGCTTGTCTCACTGTCCCAGGAGGGGACGATCGTACCAGAATTGACCTACTTTTCTCCCACAGCCAAGATGCCTCTCTCTGGCAACTTCACACTTTGGTTTACATACCTCCAGTGATGTAGAGATCGTTACCTTACCAGGCAATCATTCCGTTTCCCTATCTTGGACTTAAGACAACCCCAAATCTTCTGACTTCCAAGCTAAGACTCATTCATTCTAGAACCACACCCTGCCACCACAACTTTCTTTCAGCAAGGCCTGAGTATGTGTGAGCCTGCCTGTGTGTTGGTGGGTTTCTCTGTGTGTTCCGCACTGTGAGCTCTGAAGGGAGAGGAAATGAACTGGTAACAGTTCTGTATCCCCAGGACTCAGGGCCTGGCACACAGTAGGCACTCAAAAAAAAAAAAGAAACAGTCACACAATAGCTAACCTTTACTGAGCACTCCGTGTCAGGCATGAATTCCATGTGCTAATTTATTTAATCATTATAATAACCCTGGGATGCAGTTACCATTATCTCCAGTTTACAGAGAGGCAACCTGAGGCAGAGAGAGGTGAGATAACTTGCCCAAGGTCACACAGCCAAGACACGGTAAAGCCAGGATTTGAATGGTGAGAGTCCAGAGCGGTTATTCATACCTCCCAGGTGAAGATTATTTGGAATTAAAAAAGGGAAGGGGAAAAAGGAAGGGCAGACCCAGGTAAGTATCTCTGTCTCCCCCAAATAGCCCGGCTTCTGGAGGGCAGGAAACATATATTACTCATCTCTCTCTCTCCCAGAATCTAGTACAGTGCTTGGCAAACATTAGTGGCCAGTAAACAAGAAATGTTTATTGAATGAATGTTTAAGCCAGGCATGGTAGCTCACACTTGTAATCCCAGGACTTTGGGAGGCTGAGGCAGGAGGATTGCTTGCATCCAGGAGTTCGAGACCAGCCTGGGTAACATAGAGAGATCTTGTCTCTACAAAAAATGAAAAATTAGCCAGGCATGGTGATGCACACCAGTAATCCCAGCTCCTCAGGAGGCTGCTGGGGAGAGAGGGGTCTCAAGGCTGCAGCAAGTCGTAATCGTGCCACTGCACTCAGCCTGGGTGACACAGTGAGACCCTGTCCTCAAAAAAAAAAGAAAAGAAAAAAGAAAAAAAATCACACATGAATGTTTATACATCATAGGCATATTTTTCTCCCCCACTATCCCTAGAGCCCTTGAGGATCAGGAACTGAACTATCTTCATCTCTGTAGAGCTGCCACTAGCCCATTCTGTGTGAATTAGAAAAAGGTACCCCCTCTGGGCAGGCAAAATCCTGTGGATTCAGCTTGGCAAGCTAATGACCCGTTGCGCAAAGAAAATAAAAATCCCCCTTGCCTGGTGCCAGGGGTCCCAGGTTGACAGGGGGAGCCCCCACTCTCCTGCAGGTGCACCTTTGTGCAGCACACAACTTGAAAGGCTGTCCATGGAAATTCTGCTATGGCTTCCAGGGGCCCAGCACTAAGCCTGACCATGCAACAGGCATCGCGTTTGTTGAACGGCTGTTTGCAGTATTCACCTTTCTTCTACCCTATTTCACCCGCAGCCAGTCTGAGCCCCAAGAGAGTGATTGGTGGAAGAGCCACCAGCTGGGTATGATGTGGCCACAGTGCTGATGGGGGAGTTCGCAGACGTAAAAGGGGACAGGCAGGGTCAGGCATAATTGGTAAATATTTGTCTATCTAATCAGAGGGCCTTTTAATTAGCAATTTCATCCTTGCAACTGGTTTATTTTTTTTTCTTTCTGCGGGAAGTCAATTAAATGTAACAGATGGAGGAAAACATGGGGGTTTCCTTGTCTCCCACCATCTGTCCCATCCCATTCCACCCCCAGCTGTGCCCAAACCTCATTGGTGGGGCTGCCTGCCAGTTGCCAGAGAAGGGCAGTGCTAGGGGACATAAACAAAGGCAGGATTCCTGACCCCCGGGAAGCCCTCTTTGGTCTCTCTGGCCACCCTACACATGCAGGCTGATCCTGCCTGCACAGCCTATGACTCCAGGGTCCTAAGATCCTTTGCCAACAAGGTATCTCTTTCTGCCTGATCCAGTAGTATAGGGTCTGGTTGCCTTTATTTGAGCTCCCATGACAGGCCTGACAAGGGCCCGCATGCAGAAGAGACTCTTGTCTAGCTCAACAAACCTTTATTGAGGGTCTGCTTTCTGCCAGGCAATGTGTTGGGCGCTAGATACATAAATCAAATAGTCCCGGCCCTGCGGGAGTGTGTAACACATTGGGGAAGACGTTTTTCCATTCATTTATTCTTTCAATATTTATTAAACAGCATGTGCATCAAGCTCTGTGCTAGGCCCTGGGGACGCAATGATGAATCCAACAGGTCCCTGACTTTCAATAACTCAGTAAGCAGAGGACACAGGCCAGTAAAGTCATGCATTCAATACGTATTTATTGAGTGTCTGTGTGAGCCAGGCACTCTTCTGGCTGTTGGGGACACAGCAGTGAACAGCACAAAGTCCTTGTCCTTTCTAGTAGGGGGAAAGACAATCAACAGATGGATGTATAACGGCAGGGGTGATCCGTGATGTGAAGAAAAAATAGTCAAACAGCCATCATTTGGAGTTGTATGGAATCTTTTTTTTTTTTTTTTTTTTTTTTTTTTTGCGACAGAGTCTCACTCTGTTGCCCAGGCTGGAGTGCAGTGATGCAATCTCGGCTCACTGCAACCTCTGCCTCTGGAGTTGAAGCGATTCTCCTGCCTCAGCCTCCTGAGTAGCTGGGACTACAGGGGTGCGCCACCACACCCAGCTAGCGTTGTATGCAATCTAACTGAGCTCTGCAAGTATCCAGATTCCTTGGCATGGCCTATGAGGGCCCTGATCCCCAGGCTCCGGCTTTCTCTCTAGGACCGTTTCTCAGCACTCACCACCTTCTGGGCTGTGTTCCAGCCACACCCACCTTCTGAGGATTCCTCCAACTTGCTGCGCGCTGTCTTGAGGCTTTCGCCCAGACTGTTCCCTCCATCTGGGGCACTCCTCCCCTCTTCTTTGCCTGGCCAACTACTCAGCTGAAGCGTCCCTTTCTGGGGAAGCCTTCTCTGATCTCTCAGGCTGTGTTAGGTTCTTCTACTGCATTCCTGCAGCCCAGTGTGGGTGTGGCAGGTCCTCATCTGTCTCCTCACCCTGTCTGGGAGCCAGCCAAGGCCCCAGACCATATCTGTCTTAGTCCTCTGCACTGTCTCACCAGCACCAAGCTCAGTGCCTGGCACATGCCCCATCCCCTATCAAGCCCACCTATATTGACTTGGGTTCAACCAGATGAAGAAAAGGAGAAGGGACATCCCAGGGAGGGCCCAAAATTTGCAAAGACAAAGCAGCTTGAAAGATTCCTAAGTGTTCCAGAAATAGGGATAAGGTCAACATAGTCATTTTAAAAAGGGCAGCACACGAAGCTAGAGTTAAGCATAGGTCTTCAATGTTAAACTAGGATGTCTGCAGTTTATCCTTATAAGCCTACAAACCAACTTCAGTCATTCACATGAGTCTTCTATGACTTTGCCAAAGATCCATGTGTCCCTGTACTGGGGCTGTTGGCCTTTTTCTTTAAATTATCATTTTTCTTCACTTTATTTTTATAACAGCTTTATTGAGATATAATTCACATAGTATAAAATTCACCCTTTTTTTATTGAGACAGGGTCTCACTCTGTCACCCAGGCTGGAGTGCAGTAGTACAATCATGGCTTACTACAGCCTTGGCCTCCTGGGCTCAAGTGATCCTCCTGCCTCAGTCTTCCAAGTAGCTGGAACTACAGGTGTGAGCCAGCATGCCCAGCTAATTTTTGTATTTTTTTGTAGAGATGAGGTGTTGCTATGTTGTCCAGGCTGGTCTCAAACTCCTGGCCTCAAACAACCCTCCCTCCTCAGCCTTCCAAAGTGCTGGGGTCACAGGCATGAGCCACCAAGCCCGGCCAAATTCACCCTTTTAAAATGTATAATTCAGTGGTTTTTAGTATATTCACAGAGTCATGCAAGCACCACTGCTATTGAATTTCAGAACATTTCTCATTTCCTCCAAAAAGAAATCCTGTACCTTTTATCAGCCTCTTCCCATTCTTCCCTACCCCAGCCCCTGGAAACCACTGACTTTTTTTTCTCTGGATTTGTCCATTCTGGACATTTCATATAAATGGAATCATACAATAGGTGACCTTTCGTGAATGTCTTCTCTCAATTAGCACACGGTTTTCAAGATTCCCCATGTTGCAGCCTGTGTCAGTACTCCATCTCTTTTTATGGCCAAATGCTATTCCATTGTATGTACATACCACATTTTGTTCAGCCATTCATCCATTGACAGACATTTGAGTTTTTTCTACTTCTTGACTATTTTTAAATAATGCTACTATCGATATTTGTGTACAAGTATTTGTATGGACGTATGTTGTCATTTTTCTTGGGTATATACCAAGCAAAGGAATTGCTGGGTCATGTGACAACACCAAGTTTAACTTTTTGAGGAACTGATGGACTATTTCCTAAGTGGCTGCACCATTTTACAATCCCACCAGTGATGTACAAGCATTCCAATTTCACCAGGTTTAGCCGTTCTAGTAAAGTGATAATCACATTGTAGTTTGAAATGCAATGGTATCTCATTGTGGTTTTGATTTGTGTTTCCCTAATGACTAATGATGTTGAGCATCTTTTCATGTGCTTATTGGCAATTTGTATGTCTTCTTTGGAGAAATGTCTGTTCAAATTCTCTGCTCATGTTTTCATTGTATTTGTCTTTTTATTGTTGAGTTATAAGAGTTCCTTATATATTCAAGTCTCTTATCAGAATTTTTTTTTGCTTTATTCTTAAAAGGAAACCTATGTCACCATCTAAAATGGAAAAAAAAGTGACACCTGTCATACATCAAAGGTAACTGTAAAAAATACAACTCATTAATTCAATCAGCAAATAATAATCATCTTCTATGATTCAGGTACCATTCTTGGCACTGAAAATACAGCAATGAACAAGACAGGTAACATTCCTTCTTATGTGGAGTTTGTAATTATATGGAGGAAAGCAAAAAAAAAAACCTGTCATGCTCAGCAAAAAGCAAGAAGAGAGGGATGCAGTGGTGTCTGGAGTGGCTTTATTGTTGAGTACTCAGGGAAGGCCTCTCGGAGGAAGTGACCCCCCCCCCAGCAGATAGCTAAAGGAAGAGAAGATCAAGGGAGAGAAGTTCTGGGCAGAGGGAACACAGTGGGACCGAGCTCAGTAGGTTCAAGGGCAAAGGCAGGGCAATGTGACGAGAGCAGAGTGAGCAAGGGAGAGAGGGATATGGATGGAGTAAGAGAAACTGACAGAAAAAAACCCCAGTCACACAGCACCTTATAAACCAGAGCAAAGGGCTTGGATTTGTTGTAAGCACAAGGGGATGCCCTTTGAGAGTTTTAAGCAGTTGAGTGATGTAATCTGATTAATGCTTTTAAAAGATCCTCCAGCTGCCGTGTGGTAGGTTTGGAGGGATGCAAGTTGAGAGCGGCATGATCAGCCCAGAGGCTGCTGCAGCCTGCAGGTGAGGGGTGATGCTGGCTCGGACCAGGGCATGAGGACATGAAGGGAATTGGCTATTCCAGAATATGTTTTGCAGGTAAAGTTGACAGGCATGGCTAATGGATTGGATGGGGAAGGCAAAGAAGAGAGAGGAGTCAAGGATAACTCCTAGATGTGTGACCACCTACTGAAGCAAGGCAGGCAAGGGGAGAGGCAGAGGCGTGGGTAGCACAGGCTCCGTTTAGGACTTGTAGATTAGAAATACCTATTGGACATCCAAATAGAAATATCAGGAAGGCAGCTGGAAATTGATCTGGGTCGAGAGTTACATTTGAGAATCAGTGGTAGTGGTTAATGCTCTGGGACTAGATGGAGCTCCAGACAAGAATAGGAATGAGGCAGAGCCTGATAGTACACTTGCGTTGAGAGGACCAGCCGCAGCAGAAAAAGCAAAACAGGAGACCTGCCGGGAGCAAGCAGTGAAGCAGGGTGGCAAATGAGAAAATGCAGCATTGGGGAGCCCAGAGGAGAAGGTGTTTGAGAAGGAAACAGTTGTAGAAATCAAAGCTTAGAACAAATCAGCGTTATTGAGTTCTAACTAGACTCAGTTGTTTGCTGGTGGCCGAGTCTGACCTGATCTTCCTACAGCAAAGGATATGAAAGACAAACCAGCACCAAACTGGGGTGTCCTCCTTGGGATCAAAAGAGAACTGTGCAAAGTCTCCCAGGAGACCTGGATCATGTGTCACCTAAGGTTATCCCCCAACCCGCAGGGGGTTCTCCTGACACACTTTGAAAACCACTTTTATAGGGGGAGAGGAGTCATTAAAGGCTACAGATGAGGGGAGTGACATGGTCAAATTGAAGAGGACAGAGAATGGGCCGGAGGAGGAGAGGCTGGGCACGAAAAGCAGGATGGAGGCTGAAGCAATGGCCCCAGTGAGAGATGTGAGGTCTGGGCTAGAGCAGAGGAAGCTGAACCTAAGGTCACCTGAACCCCACTCAACCCCTCAAGCCCCAGAGCCTAACACCTGCATTGCCACCTTGCTTTCTGTTCATCCCAAGTCCCACCTCTTCCCCCAGCTCTCTCTGACCCTCCATCCTCACACTCCTCCATTTTTCAGATGAGAAAACTGAAACACAGAGAGGTCTAGCAAGTTGCCCAATATCACACAGTGAATAAATGGTGGAGCTGGGATTCAAACCCGGGGACTCTGACTCAATCCATATTACAATGATGGAGAGAATGGAATCCAACCACCTATCCAGCAAGGAACCCCTTTGTTAGTGAGCTATTCCTTGCATACCTCCAGTGTCAGGCATTTCACCCCCTCCAGGATCAGGCTGCTTTTTTGGTCAGGTGGATTTGTACATCCCTCTTTTTCTGTGCCACAGTCTGTCTTCCTGTAGCATCTCCCCACTGGCAATGCAGCAGAGGCCTGGGGAGTGGCAAGGTGGCATAGAGGTTAAAATGAGGACCCTAAAGCCGAGCCGACCTGGATTCATAGCTGTGTGTCCTCCAGCAAGTTGCCTTACCTCTCTGGGCATCCACATCCTCATGTGTGAGCCTGACTGATGATGGAACTGGCTTCTGTGCTGTGAGGATTACATGGCAGATGTTTAGCCCATTGCCAGGCCCACAGCAAGCTCTGGATAAGTGGGAGTGTGATCCACTTAGGATGACAGGTGACAAGGATCCCATTTAGGATGACAATATCTGCTCAGTACACTCTGTGACCTTCTCACCCAGGACCCCTTGCTCCTCTCCCTCAAAGTCATTGGTCCAGGTCCTCAGCTCCCAGCTCTGCTCTACTTCATCCCATCCTAGGCTTTCCCCTCTGCCCCCTCCAACTCCTTCCTGTGGCTCAGGTAAGCCCAGCTGCACCTGCTCCCCCTCCTAATCAGAATGCCAGGGGCCACCGCCCCCGCCCCCTGCAGAGCCCCATGGGGCTCCTAGTTAATTCCTCTTCCTCAATCAGCTGTGCTCTAGTGGCCTCTCTACTGATTGCCCCTTTGTTCCCTGCCAGGCCGGTGCCTCTGGAAGATGCCCAGATCCACCCACCGCCCCCTGGGTGCAGGCCAGCCAGCCTGCCCTGCCCACCTGGCTCTGTCCATTAGGCTGTGTCTGGGCCTGCAGCCTTCTGAGTGGGCTGGGATGCGAACAGGGCATGTACAAACAAAACCAACAGGAGCCTGTGGGTGTGCACACACAGGTGCAGTCCAGAAACAGACATACTTGTGTTAATTCCAGCAACACACACACACACACTAAAGAGAAACAGCAACCACCATGAGCAGGAGGCAAAGTGCTATACACACATTCTTTTAAAGGACATCCACACTAACCAGGAAAACACACACACTTTTGTAGACAAAACCCCACAAATCCAAACCACCGAGGGACACACATACACACACATTCCAGCAGGGGCTCTATCCACTGGAGCCTGGATTTCGGCTCTCTGCCCCTCCTCCTGCTTCTTAACTCCTTGGATGGGCTGGCTAATGCCCAAGGCCCTCGGTCTGAGCAAGCACAGATAACGAGGCAAATCTCATTTCCAGAGCAGTCTATGTCTGGCTTCCACCCCCGCCCCACCTAATGTGAGCCCGGGGCTGCACTCAGACACACACCCACCCAGCCAGCAACATCAATAGGTGCTGAGGGTCTGGCTGTCTGGCCTTCATCATCCCCCAAAGCCACTGTACTCCTTCCTCAGAAGGGGAGAGGGTCAAGGTCCCAGAGCAAGACCAGGGCAGGCTAGGGAGGGCCTGTCCTGCCCAGTGGCCCCAGCAGACCCTTGACTACTCAAGGGACCTCATTGTTTCCCTGTGGCCAGGGCTGGCCTTGCTCAGGAGGCCGAATGATCACATCCCAGCCGGCTGGCTGCCTCCAATTCCAGCTCAGTGCTCAGGGTGGTGGGGGGCCCCCTGAGAGCTGGCTAAAGTGGGAGGGGAGGCAGGAAAGCTCTGGCACTCTGGGCTTGGCAAGTCCACTGTGGACCCTTTGGCTCTGAGGCCAGCCCCTGATGCACCAGCCTGAGACACAGCCATCCTGCAGGATCTTTGTGGGGAATATCCCAGACACTGCTGGGCAAAGAGGAGGGAGAGGGCACCAAGCAGCCCCAACCCTCGCCCTGCTCCAAGATCGGAACTCAGCTGGAATATGAAGTCCTACTACAGAGGTTGTTAAAATATTGAACTACTTCCAAACCTCCTGGTAAACAGCTGTGGCCCCAAGCTGCCTGAGTAACCCCAACACTGGTGCCTTCCCTTGGGTCTCCCTTCATTCCCAAAACTTAGGCACGAACACCTGGCACAGCAGGGGGCCTCCACGGCGGGTAATTAAATATGGGAAGCATCACCCAGGCCCTTGGCCCTGACTCTGACTCTGTCTTCACTCCCACCTCACCCTGAATGCAACCCCTCCCACTCCCTCCTTGCTCTCTGACCCTGGGAGTTTGGAAGCATGAGTGACACAGGACCCATCACAAGCTGGAGGGTCTTTCATTCAGCCCCTTAGATAAGGATCCTATTGGGCAAGAGGCTCCATAGAGAGTTGGTGGCATAAGCAGAACGCAGCCCCACCCCATCAAAGGAAGGAAAGCCAGTGAAGTCCCCTCTCTGGGTCTCAGCCAAGGGGAGTGGCAATAGCCCTCCCACCTGAGCCCCAGCTCCTGGCTCCCACCCCTTGCTGTCCCCCTGCTGCCAGTCCCTCGATCATCTGTATGGATTTATTTCACAATAATTTCATTTCATCTCTGGCTCCAGAAAGATGGATTGGCCAGCGAGGTGATCGGGGAATCGGTGTTGGGCTCATAAATTTGCTGCCCCTCTATGAAGCTCCCATGAAGTCCCCTGCACTTGAGGTGGCGGAACGGAAGGGGAATGAGTGTGACAGGCCCATCTCTCCCTGCCACCTTCACTGGGGCAGGGGATGGGGTGGCAGGAGGGCAGCTTGAAAGCCTGAAAAAGAGAGAATTTCCCCACCCTAGAAATAGGTTGTCTCTCCACCTTTGTTACAAATAAGGCTATTTGTCACTTGGCTGGGAGGATAACCCGCCTTGCCCCGCCCCTCCTCAGCCCCAGCCACAGGAGAGGCAGTCACCAGCTGAGTGGCACTGGGGAACAGGGGCAAGAAGCAGGAGTGGGTGCCCCTCCTCTTCCCTCTCACTAGTCAGCAGGAGGCATTGTGCTGGGCAGAATGGAAGTTTTGTCCCTCCCAAAAGGAGGGAGCAACACACACACAAGCACACGCACATCATGCACACCTAACCAGCATGCACACACACCAACACCTGCTAGAGAAGAGATCACAAGTGCAATAGCACAATCAAGGCAGAGTAGGAGAAAGGAGCATGGGATTTGAAACTGGGAGCCAGATATTGAATACTGGTTCTGCGTGTGGCCTTGGGACGCTTACTCAACCTTTCTGAGCTGCACCTTGCTCAGCTGCAAGGATGACCATACACCTTCAAAGGACTGTTGTCAGGACCAAATGAGATAATATGGGAAAAGCACCTGGCACATAAATGGTATCAAGAATCACGATTACTATACCCACCCACACCAACCACTCCCTTACTACACGTGCACGCACGCATGCACACACACATACCTCTCCATTCTATACGTCTCTCCATCGTGTGATTTGTCCTTCTTTTCATATCTGCACAATCCCTAATTGACTTCTCACCTTTGACCTTCAGGAGCTGCCCAGAATGATGCATCCCAGAGTCTCCTGGGGCTGCATTCAGGTCTTCTACCCTGGGTCCACCCCTGGACATTAGAACCCTCCCTCATCCTATTCCACACAGTCCCTCCTGCCCCAACTTGCGTGCTCCCAGCTGTCTGGAAACCAGTCCCAGAGATAAGGCTAGATAGAGCCTAGAGGTCCTTTGGGACAGGTTGGCTCAGTAGAAGGATGGATGCCACTTGTGAAATAGAAGCAGTGACTCAAATAGGGAAATAAAGTCCAGACCAGGGGTCCTCAGTTCTGGCTGAATCTCAGAATCACCAGGGAAGCTCTAAAAAAATATACTGATGATTGGCCAGGCGCAGCGGCTCACACCTGCAATCCCAGCACTTTGGGAGGCCAAGGCAGATGTATCAACTTGAGGTCAGGAGTTCAAGACCAGCCCGGCCAACATAGTGAAACCCCGTCTCTACTAGAAATACAAAAGTTAGCCTGGTGTGATGGCGGGCACCTGTCATCCCAGCTACTCAGGAGATTGAGGCAGGAGAATCGTTTGAACCCAGGAGGTGGAGGTTGCAGTGAACCAAGATCGCGCCACTGCACTCCAGCCTGGGTGACAGAGCAAGACTGTCTCAAAAAAAAAAAAAAAAATACTGATGCCTAGACTATGACCGTCACATGCCACCTCCATGGAAATTTTATCTAATTGGTCTGGGATGTGGCCTGGGTAATTCTAGGGGTTAGGAACAGAAGCTTTGCAGCCAGGTGGAACCGAGGCCCCGCCCTGCATGTTCTAGCTGCCTGATCATGGATGAAGGAGCCGCTTCCCCTCTCTGAGCCTCAGTTTTTCTCATCTGAGATACGGAGTGAGCCAACACACAAAGGGCTTCAAGAAGATTTGGAACACCGGTCTTTAGCACAGGGCCTGGCACTTGGTAGTGCTTGGGAGGAGAAGGGCTTCCTCCCAGGAGCCAGTGGGGTTCCCTCAGCTCTTGGTGGCTCTGGGGTTGCTGCCAGCTCCTTCCCTCAGGCACTGCTGTGCCCTCCCGCCTCTCTCCATATTAAACATTAGCCCCCTGCCTTCCTCAAGCCCCAGGCTCAGCATTTCATTTCCCCTGCCCCCACCCCGTATTAACACTTCCCAGGGGTCCTTCAATTAGATTCACACAAGAGTCCCTTCCTCCTCCTGACCCCCAATTTCCCAGACGAGGTGGGAGGGCAGGGAGAGGCGTCTCTGTCCCTGATTTTATCCCATCACTCGGCCCTAATTAGTATTCCAAGGAGAGCCCTCTCCACAGGCCCCAGGATTTGTTTGCCAGCGGCCAGTTCCCTGTCTCCCCAGTTCAGAGTGAGTAATTCTGTCCCTCCCAGGCCCATTTAAGGGAGTGAATAATTAGTTACATTCAATTAGGCCTCTCGCTGCTACTGTGGCTCCTGCCTGCCTCACTTTGGGGGACAGGCACGCTAATGAGATGGCACGTGTCTGATGTGGGAGCCGGTGTTAAACACCATGGACCCCCCACCCTCCGCAGGGAGCAGAGAGTCAGAGGGAATGGGTAGGGCTGGGGAGAGTGGGGTGTGGAGGGGAGAAGACAGGAGAAACTAAGGGTGGGGACTCAGGGATGAAGTCAGAGAGGAGGGGAGAGTGAAAGGTGGAGAGAAAATGGGAGGTAGGAGACGAAGAGATGGAGAGAGAGGAAAAGCGGAGGAGGCACCAGGGAGAGACTCATGAGGAAAAGGAAAGAGAAACACTGCCTGAAAGTCCAGGAGGGACTTCATGGAGCCTCTTCATGAATCAGCATCCAGCCCTACAGTGGAATCCTATGCACCAATTAAAAAGCATGCTGTTGCTGGGTGCAGTTGCTCAGGCCTGTAACCCTAGCACTTTGGGAGGCCAAGGCAGGTGGATCACTTGAGCCCAGGAGTTTGAGACCAGCCTGGGCAACCTGGCGAAATGCCATCTCTACAAAGAAACACAAAACTTAGCCAGGTGTGGTGTTGCATCCCTGTAGTCCCAGCTACTCAGGGGCCTGAGGCGGGAGGATCACCTGAGCCCACGAGGTTGAGGCTGCAGTGAGCCATGATCGTGCCACTCCAGCCTGAGTGACAGAGTGAGACCAAAAAAAAAAAGCCATGCTGTCCATTTCTATGTAATTGGCATGGAGAGACGTCTGCCGTACACTGCTAAGCAAAGAAGGCTGCTTACAAAACAATGCATATAATAATAGCCCAAGTTTAAAAAAAAAAATGTTTATCTCAGAGAAAACAAGTCTAGAAGGACCCATATCTTGTGGTTAGCAGGGGGTGGGAGGTTTACAAGTGGTCTTACTTCCCTGGTCCTGTTTATTGCTTGGATGAGGGGTGTGGTGCATGAGCATGACTTTTATAATTAGGCAGAATAATAACACTTGTTCAAAAGAGAACAAGGTGAGTCGGAATAGCTGGAGATGGGAAAGGAGGTAGTTAGAAAGCATTGGAGAAAGCAGGAAGGAGGGTGCGGGCAGATGCTGCAGAGGATGGGAAGGAGCACTGGAGTGAGCGGGAGGCAGAGAACTAGCTGGGCACCAAGGCCCAGAGGGATGTGCCAGTCAGCAGGGAGCCCCAGGGACAGGAAGGGAGGGCGAGCATAGGAAGAGAGAGGCGCCCTCACCCCCTGCCCACTGGCTGTAGCTGGCTGGGCCCAAGCTGCTCACCGACCTTGCTGGGCTTCTCCTGGAGCACCCACGGTAACCATACTGCTCATCCCAGGAGGAGCCCCCTCAGGAGCTTCCTCCATTTCCCCAACTCCAGGACCACAGCATAGATTTCTTTTTTTTCTTTCTTTGTTTTTACAAATTAAAACTGCATCTCCCCACCCCTACAGATGGGTTTGTAATTTGCTGTGCCAGAATCAGTCGGTGGGAGAGAAGTCCTTGGGGGCAGGGTCTTTAATAACTTCTGCTGCCCGAGGAATTGACTGCAGGGCCTGAAGGCTTAAGTGGGAGAGCTGGTGTGTGTTCCTGCCTGTGGCTGGGGCTGCACGGGTGGGAGTGTCGGGGGACTGTTCATAGAATGAGGAGGACATCTACACACAACTAGGCCTCTCCCAAGGGAAGTCCCTCAGTCCCAGAGCATCAGTGCCTTAGGCCCTGGTTACCTGGGGTGCACAGGGTGGATCCTAAGCCCCCAGGGGCTCTTCAACTCCTGGCTGGGCACAGAGAGAGACAAGCTGCCCAGGACATGTTGCCTGAGCCAGCTCTGGACTTTCTCAGTGCCTCTGTTTCCCCACGTATAAAAACAAAAGGATAGGACACAGGGAAGTTTCCAGTCTCTTTTAATCCCAGCCGTCTGTGACATGCTTTCCCATGCTCTCACCAAGCTTTTGTGGGTTTTTTTGTTTTTTTGGTTTTTTTTAGACAGAGTTTCGCTCTTGTTGCCCAGGCTGGACTGCAGTGGTGCAATCTCGGCTCACTGCAACTTCCACCTCCAGGGTTCAAGCGATTCTCCTGCCTCAGCTTCCTGAGTAGCAGGGGTTACAGGCACGCACCACCATGACCGCAAATTTTGTTGTATTTTTAGCAGAGATGGGGTTTCACCATGTTGGCCAGGCTGGTCTTGAACTCCTGACCACAGGTGATCTGCCTGCCTCAGCCTCCCAAAGTGCTGGGATTACAATCGTGAGCACAATGCCCGGCCACTTTTGTGGATTTTTTGACCAATTTTTGGAATTTAAAAATAGTAAGAGTTCACATAAAAATCCAGATTCCAGGCCTGGCACGGTGGCTCATGCCTGTAATCCCAGCACTTTCAGAGGCCGAGGCGGGCAGATCACGAGGTCAGGAGATCGAGACCAACCTGGCTAACATGGCGAAACTCCATCGCCACTAAAAATACAAAAAATTAACCAGGCATGGTGGTGGGCGCCTGTAGTCCCAACTACTCGGGAGGCTGAGGCAGGAGAATGGCATGAACCTGGAAGGCGGAGCTTGCAGTGAGCCGAGATCATGCCACTGCACTCCAGCCTGGGCGACGACACAGCGAGACTCTGTCTCAAAAAAAAAAAAAAATCCAGATTCCAGACAATCTGCAACCCTCATTCCTGCTCGGCAACCATTGGAAGGAGCCAATGGAGGCTGTCCCCCAAAGATGGGCAGAGCCTCTCCATTTTGCCTAGCGTCTGCCACCTGACTTGACTCCCAGCCCTTTCTCCAGCCCCTGCGGGCATGAGTTTACATCACCCCGCAACATATGCCTACTTTCCTACTCACTGAATGAGCAAAAACCTCAGGCTTTTGAGTCAACCTAATTAGGTCCAAATTCCAGCTCTAACTCTCGAGACCTTAGCAAGTCATTTGACTTCTGCATCTCATCTGTAAAAAGTATATTGTAAGAGACCACGTCTTACGCAGGGCTGTCATAAAGATTAAGGCAATGCATGCAAAGTCCTTAGCGCTGTGCCTAGCACATAGTGAGCACTCAGTGTCTTAGCAGTGTCACTGTGCACAACCCTAGCTCCGGATGGGGCACACAGTGGGACCGCAGCTGGTATTTGTTAAGGAAGGAAGTATTCATGACAAGGATGAGACCTGGGAATGGATGAAGTTGCAGAGTAGAAGCTTCAGGAGGCTCAGGCTGATGGGGTCAAGGGAAGAAAGGTCTCCTCTTCCAAGTGTGGGCGGGTGTGGGGCGAGTCAGCAAACCCAACTTTACTCAGGGAGCCCAAGCCGCCGCCAGGGTCTTCGGGCGTTACCTTGGCGCCACCTTCTGGCTGATGCGCGCCTCACGGCCACCCCCTCCGTCCACGCACCGGGCAGGACCCTACACCCTGAAGAGGTTGGTCCTCTCCGCTATTTTCAGAACTGGAAGGATCCTTAGAACTCCTAGGGACCCATCATGCATCCGGGAACAAAAGCCCAGAACTGAGTAACTTTCCTGAGGCCATATAGAAAGCTCCTGGCCAATCTCTATTTAGAACCAGAATGTGCTAACGCTGCCAAGAATAACCACCTCTTCCCTTCATTAGGGACGCTAAGAAAAACAAAATTGCACATTGTTGTGCATGGGCTCTGCTGATTCTCAGGGGGAACTTCTCCCAGAAGCAGATCCTGAGACTAGGGATGAATGCAGGTCGTTTATTTGGGAGTTGAACCCGGGAAGCACCAGTGGTGGAGAGGGGATGTGAGACAGGGAAAGGATGGGAATCAGTGCAGAGTGCCCACTGTAGGTTCCATAGCTCAGTCCCTCCAGGGAGCCTCGGAGACACTGTAGAACACAGCTCACATTTGTCCCTCCCAAGGGCAAGGAAGCTTGAGTATTTATCCTCCCACTTTCAACCTTGGCTGGCTGAAAGTACTTCGGGGAATTAACTCCCCCATCTACAGCTTACCTGGCCTGCCTCTGCACCAAGCATGTTTTCAAGACCTGGAAAAGCCCTGAGGCAAGTGATCCCCAGTGCTTGCAGTCAGAAACTGGCTGCTTACACAGTATAGGAATATGAATGCTGGCTGGGCGCGGTGGCTCACCCTGTAATCCCAGCACTTTGGGAGGCCGAGGCGGGAGGATCACTTGAGGTGAGGAGTTCAAGACCAGCCTGGACAACATGGTGAAACCCCTGTCTCTACTAAAAATACAAAAAATTAACTAGGCGTGGTGGCGCACACCCATAGTCCCAGGTACTTGGGAGGCTGAGGGAGGAGAGTCACTTGAACCTGGGAGATGGAGGCTGCAGTGAGCTGGGGTGGCACCACTGCACTCCAGCCTGGGCAACATAGCAAGACAACACCTCAAAAGAAAGAAAGAAAGAAAGAAAGAAATATGAAGGCAGTAGTTCCCCAAGTATAAACCCTGGGCCGGCAGCATCAATACCACTTGGGAAACTTCTTAGAATGCAAATTCTTGATCTCCATCCCAGACCCACAGAATCAGAAACACAGGAGGTGGGGCCCCACGATCTTTAACAAGAAGAGGTGGTTATTCTTGGCAGCGTTAGCACGTTCTGGTTCTAAACAGAGATTGGCCAGGAGCTTTCTATGTGGCCTCAGGAAAGTTACTCAGTTCTGGGCTTTTGTTCCCGGATGCATGATGGGTCCCTAGGAGTTCTAAGGATCCTTCCAGTTCTGAAAATAGTGGAGAGGACCACCTTGCAGGTGGTCCAGATACACGCTCAAGTTTTGTTGTTGTTGCTATTGTTGTTGTTGTTGTTGCTATTGTTGTTGTTGTTATTTTAGATGGAGTTTCACTCTGTTGCCCAGGCTGGAGTACAGTGGCATGATCTCGGCTCACTGCAACCTCCACCTCCCGGGTTCAAGTGATTCTTCTGCCTCAGCCTCCCAAGTAGCTGGGATTACAGGCACCCGCCATCATGCCCGGCTAATTTTTGTATTTTTAGTAGAGACGGGGTTTTGCCCTGTTGGTCAGGCTGGTCTCGAACTCCTGACCTTAGGTTATCTGCCCACCTAAGCCTCCCAGAGTGCTGGGATTACAGACGTGAGCCACTGCGCCTGACCCACACTCAAATTTGAGAAGCTCTGACCTAGAAGAGAACACAGGAGGCATCAATAGCGTCTGCTGCAGATATTGTCACCATTTGTCAGATAGGGAAACTGAGAAGTGAAGCAGTGAAAGTGACTCATCCAAGGCCACACAGATGATCTGTGGCAGGCGTGGGTCTTTGGTCTCTTTCCACCATACCACCAAAGAAGTGAACAACACTCACTCTTAGGCTCTAGATAAGAGACAAGAATTAGGTCCCAAAGTTCCCCTTCCCCGCCACCACCACTTTGCTCCACTTTCTAAACCAAAGGCCTCCACCTGGTGTATCCAAATGGTTCTTGAAGCTCTTCTGGGAAGCCTGCCAAGCCAGGTGCCCCTCTCTTGGCTCGCAGCTGCCCTCACAGCCTCCACTGGGATAAGCCCTCTCCACATCTCCCCTTGCCCCCCATCGCCCCACACCCTCCAGCCAGCAGGATGTGTTGGGGAAATCCAAAGCAGGTTCTTTCCTGGGAAAGGCTGAGACCCCTGGGTTAAACCTCACCTCGAACCTTTGTGCCGGGGTTCTGCATGGCACTTTGCATTGCTCTTCCTTCTCCTCCTTGTCCTCCAACCTTCCTCCCCTCCCCTCCCCTCTGCTCCCACTCCATCTGCCGCTCCTCCTGGCTAGGCTCCCCCTCAGTTGGCTCAGCAGGAAAAGAGAACAGGATGGTTTATTTTTATCCTGAGATACTGCTTGGGGGAAGGGGATACCATCTGACCGAGAAGCAGTAGCTCCTGCAGCCACAGGGAGGTCAGAAGGCGGTGAGAGACCCAGGATCTCCCTGGGAAGGAGCTACAGATGTCAGTTCCAGACAGCAGGCAGATCTGGGAGGAGCTCAGGACCCAGAGTGAGGAGCTCTGAGCATGGCACCACCAGACACCGCTGTGTGACCACAGGCAAGTCACTTCGCCTCTCTGGACCTCATTTCCACCTCTGTAAAAGAGGGAGGGATGCAGACCCACCCTGCTGGGGAAGGCTATTTTTGTGAACATGAATCAAATGGGAAGAGCACTTTGCAATCTCAATACCACATGTGAGCACACATGGAAACCACCCTGGAGGGGCAGCAGCCTGGGGACATTCTTATTTATCTACAGAAAATGCCCTCATTCCGTGAGCCTGACAGCAGGTTAAATAGCTCATGTCACCCAGCATGTTCACCCCCGTTTTTCTTTTTACATGTTTGATGATTTTTTAATTACATAAGCATTATGTGAATTCACTCTCCTTTTGGGAAAAATGATGAAGCATTATGGGAAAGCCAAATCTCCCTTTAACCAACCCTCCCCCAGACCCTTCTTCCCCACCCCAGACGTCACCACTCTTCGAGCTGTGGGTTTTCTGTGTACCCTTCCAGAACCCTTGTTATATCAATATATGATGCATATTGTATTTATACATATATCCATAGGCAATATACATACATAAAAGCATGTACTTTTTTAAAAAGTTCCATACCCATCATTCAGCAGCATGCCTTTTTTTCCTTACTCAACAGTGTTTTTGAGATTCTGTTGTATAAATATATTCTAATTTTATTTAGCCAGTCTCCTGCTGATGGACAGTTAAGCAGCTTCCAGTTGTTCACTATCACAAACAATGCTGCAATGGGCATCTGTGTATATGGCTTCCTGGGCGCAGGGAAGCCACCATGATGCCTCTCTGGGCACCAAACTGCTGGATCGGAAGGTCTGGTGGATATTACTAAACCATACCCCAACACCACCACCACCAAACTTCTGCCTCTGTCTTTAATACAAGTT
This sequence comes from Homo sapiens, assembly GCF_000001405.40. Lineage (NCBI taxonomy): Eukaryota > Metazoa > Chordata > Mammalia > Primates > Hominidae > Homo > Homo sapiens. The sequence goes on along the minus strand of NC_000020.11, from coordinate 46,129,267 downwards.
GGGAGACTGGATGGGCTCCAGGGTGAAGTGAGAGGTTCTTCAAGGTGAACTGTTTCTGCATCCAGTGCCAGGTCTCCTGTCTCAAACTGCAGGGGTGCAGGCAGAAGCGGGGAGCTATGCCCAGTCAGTGCCAGCCCCTCACCCTCACGCCACAGCAGCAGCAGCACCAGGCTCTCTGGCCAACTGCCTGTTTGCCCACGTGGCCACACTCCTGGGTGGGTGCAGCCTCACTGTCTCTCCTGCACTGAGATGCGACTCTCTTTGCCATCCTCCTGGGTGACCGGTTGGCATCCATGTAAAGTCTCCTGCACTGGAGCAGCAGTGTTGGAGCCAGGAAGATCGTCGGGAAAATTGATCTCCTGGGGTTCCTGCTTGGGGTGGGGGGCCTGGAGAGGCAAGGTGTGAGGTCACCCCCAGCAGCAGGGGCAGCTGTGCCTCTGAGGAGCCCCTCCCTGGGAAGCGGATCCCTTCCCCAAGCCCTCCCCCCTTTCCCAGACGGCGGGTCAGTGCTGATTCCTCGGGTGCCTCCTGCCCCCTGCTGGCCACACCAAGGGCGACGAAGAGCTTCCAGAGTGGGAGCCAGTGGGCTTAAGGGGCTGCCACATTTGCTCCCACCCATTTGACCCAGCCCCAAGGCCCAAAGATGCAGCTCCCCACGCGTTGAATGCCAGGAAAGGAGTGAAGAACAGCCAGTGTTAGGCTCTGCCAGTGGTGCCAGGGGCAGTTCTGTGGGGGATTGAGCTCTGGATGGAAGGAGCATGGTGGGTGGGGATGACAGTCCCCAATTCTGCTGCCACCCCACTGGCTGCAGAGACAGACTCTGAATCAGTTTTACTGCCCCATAGGCAACCGTGAGGCCATCTTCCCAGTTTGTCAAAACTCTGTCCCGGGTTCTCAGGGGTGACCTACCTTATTGGTTGGCTTCTTGGCCACCTTTTCTAAAAAAAAAAAAAAAAAAAAAAAGGATGGGGAGTTGGAGAGGCCAGATAAGAAACAGGTGGTCTCCCCTCCCTCCCCCAACACCTCCCCACCTGAGGACTCACTGATAAAGACCAGCACCAAGAGGATGGCAAACAGGATCCCGAAGATGATGGGGATCACCACCAGGGCTCTCAGCCGATCCTGGGGACCTGGAGAAATCAGGACTTCAGCATGCACCCCTCACCTGCAGTTTCTCCCTACCCTCAACCTGCTGTGACTTGTCAGACTCCAGAATCTTCCAATGTCAGAGCTCATCTACATCAGAAGGTTCAAACCGCGGTCCTTGGGGAAATGTGGCTGGCAGATGTCTTTAAAGGAGCCAGAACATTTTCTTAACGTTTGGAAATATTTGCCGACATTTTTAAACTGGGAGATCACATATTCAAACCTAGACATCTGATTTCTCTTACAAACTGGGAAGACTGGGTTCCAGTTGGCAGCCTCCCCACCTGGGAACCATCTAGAAGCGAGTGGTGGCAGTGGCTGTCACCACCTGCTCACCATGCTCCCCGCCACTCCCTGCTCTCTGCCCAATGCCGAGGTCTAGCATGATTCATGTCTGCATGTTGCTTTTGGTATAGAAGAGTGGAGGGGAAAGGTAAAGTATTTCTCATGCCGAATTTTTTTTTCAAAGTGGGAAAATAAAAGAAAGACCAAAAGGCAGGGCGGAGACTAGCGTGAGGCAAGGGATGAAATTGTTTCAGGACAAAATTGAAAAGGATGTCCAAAACACTCAGTCATCAAGGTAAACATTCTTTTAATGCCATATTTTGAAAATCATCAGGCGGACACCAAGTCAGCAAACTACGGCCTGCAGGCTGGCTGCCTATTCCTTTTACTGGAACCAGGGCCAGGATTAGGGTGAGGTGAGTGAGGCAGGGTCATGCAAACACAGGGTCGGATCCTGTTCTTTATTTAAAATGTTGCTATCTTGCTCATCATGGATTTCTTTGCATTAATTTTTATTTTTAAAAATATTGCATCAAAATGAATTTACCTTGATTACTACACTTTTATGGCACCTTCTTAAATATTGCGCCCGAGGGCAAGTGCCTTGCTCACCTCATTCTAGTCCCAGCCCTACAAAGAGGAAAGTACATTTTGAGAAAAAGCAAAGAGAATGTATTTTTCGTTTTTTTAAATTTTATTATTATTATACTTTAAGCTTTAGGGTACATGTGCATAATGTGCAGGTTTGTTACATATGTATACATGTACCATGTTGGTGTGCTGCACCCATTAACTGGTCATTTAGCGTTAGGTAAAGAGAATGTAATTTTCTTACCCCTGACCTTTTTCACTGATTTACATTATCTGATCTTTACTGTAGGCCAACCTTCTCACTCTAAAATCAAAACCTACTAAGGAAGTGCTGTTATCATCCCATTTTACAGATGAAGAAACTGAGGCTAAGAGAGGGGAAGTGATTTGCCCAGACTCCCAAGATAAGTGGCAGAGCTGTGATACCACACCCCCAAACTGCCTCCCCTCCCCTTTTTCCCATCCAGTGTTCCTGTGTGCCTCATCTCCCCCTTCAGTTCCCACCTTCCTAGGCTTTCTCCAGGGCCCATTGTCCAGGACTCACCACAGACAACATCAGTCTTGTTTGTGCCTGCCTGTTGCACAACCAGGTCTTTGGTCTCACAGCTATGCACAGACACGTGCACAAATGCACACACACAGAGAAAGAAAGAGATATTAAGTTTCCCCAAGCATAAGATTTCCAACTCTAGAGTGAGTCAGTCAACAATCAACAAATCCAGGTTCACTGAGCACACAACACGTGCAACGTCCTATGCTGGTTATTATAGGAACGACACAGACTCTTCTTACAGAACTTAAAAGTGCAGAGAAAAGATTCTTGCACATCTTGAAGGAGTAATAAATAGGGGAGTCTATAATGAGTGCCAAGCTTTGTGATCTAGGTAGGCTAAAGTGAGATGGGAATGGTTCAGAGGAGACAGAATCCACCAAGGCTGGAATGGAGAGATGATGAGTTCAGCTTAAGATAGGGTTACTCAACGTCAGCACCAGTGACACTTGGGCTGGATCATTATTTACTGGGGGTGTGGGGGTGGGGGTGGGCTGTCCTATGCATTGCAGATGTTCAGCAGCATCCCTGGCCTCTATCCGCCAGATCCCTGTAGCATCCCCCTCTCCGTTTGTGACGAATGAAATGTGTCCAGACATTGGCAAACGTTCCACAGGGAGCAAAACTGCCCCCTGTTGAGAACCTCTGGTTTAAGGTTCTTCCAGAAAGACTTCCCTGAGGACATATGACCTGAGTGGGCCCTAAAGGATGTAAAATTTGGATCAGCAGTGCAGTCCCGCTAAGTGGGACGATGTGATGTGGGGAAATAAGGCAGGTGGCATGCAGGATGGTGTTAGGAAACTATGGAAAATTGTGTCTTTAGAACCAGATCACTGCCAAGTGTGAAGTTTTCAACTGGATTCAGCTGGTCAGTCTCATCAGCATCCAACCAGGCGACTTCACTAGTGAGAAGATTCAGCTGCCCAGAGAGCTCAGAGGAGGAGAAATTACAGAAGAGTGGCCAGCCAGGAGACACAGCAAACATATAGATATGAGATGATGAAGACCTGGTCCAGGTGGCCCCAGGAGGAGTGGGGCGGAATGGACACAGGACATTGCAAAGGAAAAATCATCTAAGGTGGGAGAAAGAGAGAGAAGCTTTGAAGAAACCATGTACTTTAGTCTTTTTTTTTTTTTTTTTTTTTTTTTGAGACAGAGTCTTGCTCTTTCGCCAGACTGGCTGGAATGCAGTGGCGCGATCTCAGCTCACTGCAACCTCCACCTCCCAGGTTCAAGCAATTCTCCTGCCTCCGCCTCCTGAGTAGCTGGGACTACAGATGTGCGCCACCACGCCCAGCTAATTTTTGTATTTTTAGTAGAGACAGGGTTTTACCATATTAGCCAGGATGGTCTCGATCTCTTGACCTCATGATCTGCCCTCCTCGGCCTCCCAAAGTGCTGCAATTACAGGTGTGAGCCACCACGCCCGGCCTACTTTAGTCTTACATGAGTAGAGCATTCAGGAATTTACAATACACTTTACATGTTTTTAGCTCAAGCCTTGTGAAATGAAGGTCATTCCCATTTTTCAGATGAGGAGACTGAGGCTCAGTGAGGGTCACACACTTACTGAGCTGTAATCAGATACGTAAGCCAATGCACTGATTCCATTAATACTATACCACTGGTGGCCGGGCACGGTGGCTCACGCCTGTAATCCCAGCACTTTGGGAGGCCAAGGCAGACGGATCACGAGGTCAGGAGATCAAGACCATCCTGGCTAACACGGTGAAACGCCGTCTCTACTAAAAATACAAAAAAATTAGCCGGGTGTGGTGGCGGGCGCCTATAGTCCCAGCTACTCAGGAGGCTGAGGCAGGAGAATGGCGTGAACCTGGGAGGCAGAGCTTGCAGTGAGCCGAGATTGCGCCACTGCACTCCAGCCTGGGCGACAGAGTGAGACTCTGTCTCAAAAAAAAAAAAAAAAAAAAAAAAAAAAAAAAACTATACCAGTGGTGCCTCCAGTTATCAGTCAACATTTATCAGTAAAAATTTAAGCACCTACCATGCGTCAGGTACTGTTCCAGGTATAGGGGATGTATCAATGGAAGAAAAAAAAAAGGCCAAGTTTCTACATTTAAGGAATTTTCAATCTATTAGGGAAAGGCAGACAGTTAACAAATAAAATGTATACTCCTATTTGTGCAAAAGTAAAAGGAGGGAAATTTTGTGTGTGTTTGTGTGTGTGTGTGTGTGTGTTGGTTTGTTTATATGTAGAATCTCTGGAAGGATATGCAAGGAACAATGGCTCCCTCCAGAAAGAACTGGGAGCCTAAGGGGCAGGGATGGGAGAAAGACATCACTTTGGCTCTTTTGTGCCTTCTGTCCCATGTGCCTATCTTGCCCATTTTTAAAAATCAAATGCAAAAAGTTAATGGGGCAGGTGTTTGTTTTTTGAGACAGAATGTCGCTCTGTTGCCCAGGCTGGAGTGCAGTGGCGCTATCTTGGCTCACTGCAAACTCCACCTTCCGGGTTCAAGTGATTCTCCTGCCTCAGCCTCCCGAGGAGCTGGGATTACAGGCGCCCACCACCACACCCAGCTAATTTTTTGGTATTTTTAGTAGAGATGGGTTTTTACCATGTTGTGCTGGCTGGTCTTGAACTCCTGACCTCAAGTGATCCACCCGCCTTGGCATCCAAAGTGCTGAGATTACAGGCAAGAGCCACCGCGCCTGGCCTGGGGCCCATGTTTAAGGTATTCCAGGCAGATGAGTTTGATGGAAGAGAATGAACAGTGTGTTCAGAGGATTGCAAGTAGCATGAAGCTATGCGATGCAGGAAAGAGAGCAGGAAATGCAACAGGAAGGTTGGGTGCCATGCTAAGGAGTCTTAGTTCCAACAGAGAGACAGGAAGCATCTCAAATAGGAGAGTGTCATGATTTGAAAGAAACTGTCGAACGCTCATGTTGGCAAGAGGATGGAGACAGAACCAGCAGGAGGGGAGAGACAGAGGCAGGGAGGCCAGGAGGCAGAAAAGGCATCACCCAGACCACAGTGATGAGGCCCAAACTAAAGTGACAACAGTGGAGACAGTAAGTTCCCAAAACACGTAGACAGCCAGTGGCAGGACCTGGTGTGGGTTTGGAGTTGGAGGTAAGAGAGGGAGGCCCTCAGGGTGAGCACCCAGAGCCCAGAAAGCCCTAGAAAGCCAGGTAAGGTGAAAGCAAGACGAGGAAAACTGAGGAGAAGCAGGAGGGGCAGAAGGAAAGCTAAAATAAGTGTCCCAATACCCCCAAGATAGGAGGCTCTCATGAAGCGAGAGATCAACAGTGTCTATTACCTCAAAGAGACAGCAGGCAAAAAAAATGTGGAAATGTGCCTGTCTGGTTGGCCATGAGGCCACTCTGCAGATGCTTCACAAGTACATGAGTGTGTGTGGACCTCTGGGAGCAGGGACAGGACAGGTGGCTGGAGAGAATGGAGGCAGCTCCATGCCACTCTTAGAGCAGGAAACACAAGGGATGAGTGCTTATACCTTGTCCAAGGGTGACATTTTTCGAAAGCAGATGACACATTGGAGAAGAAGCCGACTGGGCAGGGCTCGCAGATGGTATCAGAAACCCCTGTAGCTGGGAGTGGGTGGGGAGGGGGACATTAACCATCACAGTGGACCACCTGTCCGGCTCACAAGGCAGCCAGTGGCCAGGCAGGACGGGAAGAGCTCCTGCCTTGAGCACTCTTCCCCCGATGTGGTACTGCCCCCGACAGCTGCAGTCCCCAGGAGGACTTCTCCCATTGCCCTTCAAAGGCAGATCCCCATGGCAGAAGGCAGAATGAACAAGGTCCCGTCTGCAGCTCACTCCAGTGGGGATACCGACATAGGTTGGAGCCTCTGCTTCCTCTGCCTCTGGGGCTAAGTGCCCACTGCCCAGCCCCTCACCTTGGGCCCTAAGCTCCTCTGTCCCCCTCCAAAACTGATTCCCAGATGAGCCACTTACCAATCTGCTTGACCCCAAAGCCGGGCGAGCATGAGCGGTGCAGGACACAGCTCTCACAGGCCTCACTCGTACAGTGCCAGCCTTCTTCACAGGTGCAGATGGTGTCTGTTTCTGAGGTGCCCTTCTGCTGGACCCGAAGCCCTAGGTCTGAGAAGAGAAGGGCAGGAAGGATGGGAACCCCCTGCTGGGCCATGCTCTGAGCCTCACTCCCCACATTGCCTGCTCTTTCTTCCTCAGACCCTCTTCCAAGTAGAGATGGCAATCAAATCATTTAATGATCAGTACAGCCCGGACTCCAACCAATCAGAGCAGACCCTGGCTACATAAAATTAGAATGGCTGCATTGTCGGGAATATCAGCCCGGTTCCCAAGCGTCCCTTTCCCAACAGCGCACGCACTGGGGTCGCAGTATTTGTGCTGGTGGCAGTGTGTCTCTCTGTTCCAGGTGTCTAGGAATTCGCTTTCACCGCAAGGAAGGCATTCCGTTTCAGTGAACTCTGTGCAGTCACTCACCAGTTTCTGTCCTGGAAAACATCAGGAAATGAGGGAGGGCTCTGGCCAACTCCATGAGTCAGACACTAACCACACAATGATCAGGCCAGGCTTTAGGGTAGGGGATTCAAAGATGAAAGTCTTGGATCCTTCATAATCAGGCGAGGAAGATGGAGAAGCTGGGATCCCTAGTTCAGGGTAGACAGAGTTTTACCTGGTAGAGAGGGAACCAGAACATTCTGACAGTGAAGCAGGGCTGGGAAATGGGTCGTTTCAGATTTGAGTTTACAGTTAACATATGGGGTCTGCGTCTGCCACCAAAGCAAAGGGGGACTCCATGATGGGGCTAGAGGGTTGGCATCTCACCTGGCTGGCACAAAGAACAGCACTGACTGTTTATTAGGTACTGTTTTTCTCTGCATGCAGTGGGTGGTTCTGGATGGACCTAAAAACAGAATTGTGCAATTTGAAGGGATCTTGAAATCTCCGTTGCAACTTCTTCAGCAGAAAGGTAAAAGTCATCCAGGACAGAGGCTGCAAACTGAAGTGCAAGTCAAAACAGAAAGTGGAACCTGCATGATATTTGGCATGTTTGTTTTCAAGTAAATTGTCAACTGAGCTGATTATAATCGCACCCAGAGAATCATTCTGGTATTTTTACAAAGCAATGGTACTGTAAACTCACAATATTCTCTGAACAGAACAGAATTCCTTGGGGCTTGATGCCTGAGTCATTCCTCTTCCCAAAGATCCCATAGGATATGGGGACTCCAGCAGCTCCCCTGGAGTCCTGAAGCTGGCTGACTTCAGCTGGTCCCAGTGCTGTTTGGGGCTATGTTTAGCACTTGGCCTCTTCCTCCTATTCTTCTGCTTCCCTTCCTGCTCCTTTCCAAAGCCCATCATGTTTTCTTCCTCCAACTCCTCATCATCTGTTCATCCAGCCCTTCCCTCATAAAATGCTAGAATGTAAAGCTGGAAGGGTAAACTCACACTTTCATTTTACAGATAGTTGAGACTGAGCACCAAAGAGGAGGGTCACTTGCCCAGAGTCTCACAGTGACAGAGTCCAAATGAGAACTCAGGTCTCAATGCTCCTCTCTCCATCAACTTGTGTTTCATCTTCACCATTTTACTACATCCAGGTACCACCCATGCTATTAATTACTTATTGTTAATTTCAATACTTTTATTTTATTTTTTGAGACAGAGTCTCGCTCCATCGCCCAGGCTGGAGTGCAGTGGCATCATCTCAGCCCACTGCAACCTCTATCTCCTGGGTTCAAGCAATTCTCCAGCCTCAGCCTCCTGAGTAGCTGGGATTACAGGTGTGTACCACTATGCCCGGCTAATTTATGTATTTTTAGTAGAGACAGGGTTTCACCATGTTGGCCAGGCTGATCTAAAACTCCTGACCTCAAGTGATCTGACTGCCTTGGCCTCCCAAAGTGCTGGGATTACAGGCACAAGCCACCGTGCCTGGCCGGTACATTTACTTTAAATGTAAACCTCACATCATTGCCAAGAGACAAGAACCAGTATCACTTCTCATAAATAAAAGGTAACCCTAAAAATAAATTCTGGGGAAACAAAACAAGGTTATTAAAACCCAGCTGGTTGTTTGCTTGTTGAAGGCCCTCCCAGGCCTGCTCTTGATTTTTGTTTTAAAAGAAGGATTAGCAAGCCTTTGAGAGGCATTAACTCTATTCTAGCTCCAGAGACTTCCTCTTTGAAAAAATGAGAAGGATTTTTAAAAGAACTGTAAAGTAAGTGTATGTTTAATTCTATGTCCATGTGCTCCTTAAAACTGTCCCACAGTTTGGGAACAGCCAGTGAAAAGAACACAAGTTTGAGAGTCAGACAGCTTTAGACTCCAGTCCTGACTTTGTAACACTTACTAGTTATTTTGCTTCTCTTAGCCTCAGTTTCTCTATCTCTAAAATGGGAGTAATAATGCCTGCCCTGCAGGTTGGATTACGAAGATAAGAAAGAATACATGTATATGGCCTAGCACAGTGTCAGGAACATAGTAGGTGCTCATTAAATGGCAATTTTAATCATCATTCATTTGTTTCTGCTTGCATGATATATGGCAAGCAGCCCGGCTACCTGGCTGGCTGTCCAGAATCCTACCTAACTGGTGGCTCTCATTCAACCTGGGTATCTCAGCAAATTACTTACAGAAATGTGTCTTACCCAAAATGGGAAAGGAAGTAGAAAAGGCTACTGCCCCCCACCAGCTCATTGCAAGACACCATCCTGTGAACGTGGAGCTCCCACACTCCCAAAGATAGGAAAGTCCTTGATACCATCTTCAAACACATGAGAAATAAAACGCTCCCCTAAAAGTCTGTCAATCTCCAGTTCTCACTCCCCATAGTTCTGGTCCTTCTGCCACAAAACAGCTCAGGACCAGAGCTTGGAGACTCTCACTATCTGAGAGGCAGGCTCGGGAATCATGCAGATGTAGATTCACAACCAGGTTCTTCCATTAGCTAGCTATGAGACCTTTGGCAAGACAATCCCCCTTTCTGAGCCTCAATTTGCCCATCTGTATAATGGGGGAGTTGTGAGAAATCAGACAAAGAAAACAGGCAGTGTTTGGCTCAGAGCCTGACACACAAGAAGCCCTCAATAGATAGCTTCTGACATTGTTGTCACAGCCCAGCCTCTACCTGGAGCCAAAGTTGGGAGTTATGAGGGCAAACTCTGCTCTTGAGAAGCCTGGATCACACCCTTCACCCCACCTCCTCTGGCTCTTTCTCCACTCCTACCACAAGGGCCCCCCTTTACCTCTTTCCAGCTCCGCCCTCCCCCTGCCTCCCTGTTCCCTAAGAGCCATTGCTTCAGGTGAAAGTGAAAGCTGTGGGACCAAAGCAGCCTCCCCACTCCCTCTCTTCCCTTGCTGCTTCCCTTGCTTTCCTTGATACCATGGGTCATTCCTGCCCAGGCTTCAGGCAGGAATCTACAGCCCTCTAAAGTAGGGGGAGGCCAGAGGGGCTGGGATGAAGGAGCCAGGTACTTGGGGGATTCCCAGCCTCCAGAATGAGGAACTACAAAAATACATTTAAACAAAAAGTGAGTCAAGTGTAGGCTTCTGAAAATCCCGGAGATATGCTTGGTTGGCTCTGAGCCCCTCTGGTGCCTGGAGAAACCCCTGGTTTCTCCAGCCCTCTGATCACCAGCCCTGTCAGAGCCAACCAGAACTCTGGTCTCCTAACCCTTTATTGTGTCCCATAAACTGTTCATCTCCCCAGGGGTCTCCTATGTCATCTTAAATTCAGGAGAAAAAGGCAAAGCCCTGGGGATTCCTCCTAGGTTGGAACACCCAAGATACGGTTCGGGGTGGAAGGCGATGTTAAAAGCTCCTTGCCTTCTCACAAAAGTACCTGGGCCTCTGCACCCATCTCTTGTTCCCACAAGATGCCCTGGAAGAAGGCAGCCCCAGCTGGCAAGGAGATGATAACTACTTACAGAGGCTGGCATCTGTCCACAATAAGAAGGGGACAGGAAACGGGCCAGACCCGCCCCTTCCCTTGGTCCGCCTCACTTCCCGCCCTCTGAACCCCCTACCAGTCTCTGTGTGGCCAGCCTCTGAGGCTCCCTAAACCCGTCCAGGCCGTCTAGGCACGCTTGGGCAGCCAGTGCCTTCCCTGAGCGGCCCCTGTAGGCCGCTCCCGGGACCCCAGCCCGGGAGAAGAGAGAGGCAGCCCACCCCATTCAGCCAGGAGCGGGGGCACCTTGCCCAGCTCCCACCCACCCTCCTGCCCCCACAAAAATCAGCCAGGAAGGCCTCTTCCCCGAAGTCTTCCTTCCCTTTCCTTCTCATTCCCCACTCCCAACTCCCGTCTGGTCGGGGCAAAAACAACTCACAGCGGTCAGCAAGCAGCCCCAGAGGACGCACTGCAGAGGCAGACGAACCATAGCGAGGTGAGACCAGGCGGCAGGACCACTGGGCGCCCGAGCGAGGCCTCTGCTGACTCCCCTGCCCCAGCCTTGGCCCCGCCCAGGAAAGGGGCGGGGTCTTCAAAGACCAATCGCGGTCCACCTATCGGGGGGGCGGAGCCCCCAGCAATTCACCGCGCAGGAGTTTCCCCAGAACATTCCCACAAGTCTAATTCCCCCGGGAGTTTAGGGACGCATCTTGCTGTGTACGGGAGGAGGCATGGTCCCAGAGACAGCTCTTCTTCTTTGCCCCCAGGTCCCACAAAGGCCAAGCCGAGGCGGGCTAGGAGCTAGCCTGCTTCCTGCGACCGGAGAGAGATCCCATGGGTGCTGGGGCCTGCCACAGGGACCCTCACGGTTTTCCCCTCCCTGCCCCGCTCTCCGCTGCCTCTAGGTATCCTGGCAGAACCGAAAGAGGCTCCACTGCGGAGAGGCCTGAGGAAGTTCCCCCCACACCACCACGCAGAAAACGGGAAGGCCACAGCTGGGGTATGGGGAGGCGTTTCAAGGAAGAGTTTCCCAACTCAGAATTTCGCTCTCTTTCAAAGGAAATTCCCTCGTGTGGGCGCGTCGTCTCAACTTCCCATCCATTCATCCATGCATCCATGCGTCCTCACCTCATTCCATTCCATCCCACCTCCCACCCAGCACCTGGAGACAGGCATTTATTAAGAGTGGGGCCGGGCGCGGTGGCTCACGCCTGTAATCCAGCACTTTAGGAGGCCGAGGCGGGCAGATCACTTGAGGTCAGGAGTTCGAGACCAACCTGGCCAACATAGTGAAACTCCGTCTCTACTAAAAATACAAAAATTAACCGGATGTAGTGGCGTTCGCCTGTAATCCCAGCTACTCGGGAGGCTGAGGCAGGAGAATCGCTTGAACCGCAGAGGCAGAGATTGCAATGAGCCGAGATCGTGCCACTGCACTCCAGCCTCGAAGGCAGAGCAAGACTCAGTCTCAAAAAAAAAAAAAATAAATAATAAATAAAAATAAAAATAAAGGTGGGGGCCAGGCGCGGTGGCTTACGCCTGTAATCTAACACTTTGGAAGGCCAAAAAGGGAGATTGCTTGAGGCCAGGAGTTCAAGACCAGCCTGGCAACATGGCAAGACCCCCATCTCTACAAAATAAAGAAATTTTTAAGTTAGCCAGGCATGGTGGCAAACACCTGTAGTCCCAGCTACTCAGGAGGCTGAGGCAGGAGGATCGCTTGAGCTCAAGAAGTCAAGGTTGCAGTGAGCCATGATTGCAATGATTACATCACTGCACTTCAGCCTGGGCGACAGTGCAAAACTCCATCTCAAAAAAAAAAAAAGAGTGGGCCAGCCTTTTGTGGCATCATAAAACACTTTAAGTATGTTAGGAAACTCGGGACCCTCTCATTTTGCAGAAACACACACACTTGTGCCTACATTTCCTGGGTTCATGAACTCTGAAGACGTGCTTTTGTTTTTTTGTTTTTTGTTTCGTTTTGTTTTTTGGGTGTTTGTTTGGTTTTTGGTTTTTGGGTTTTTTTTGACAGAGTCTCATTCTGTTGCCCAGGCTGGAGTGCAGTGGCATGATCTCGGCTCACTGCAACCTCTGCCTCCTGGGTTCAAGCAATTCTCCTGCCTCAGCCTCCCGAGTAGCTGGGATTACAGGCTGGCGCCACCACGCCCAGCTAATTTTTGTATTTTTAGTAGAGACGGGGTTTCTCCACGTTGGCCAGGCTGGTCTCAAACTCCTGACCTCAGGTGATCCGCCTGCCTTGGCCTCCCAAAGTGCTGAGATTACAGGCATGAGCCACCGCACCTGGCCCTCAAGATGTTCTTGAACCAGTGTTAACACTCTGCTTTGCAGCATGGAACACCTGGGTTCTGGTGCAGCCTCTGCCTCTGAAGGACTGTGTTCCCTTAGGCCTAAATTTTTCTCCAAGGAAAACTTAGGAGCTTGAACTAGACAACGGTTGAGGTGATGACCCTCCAAGCTCTCAATTTCTGGAAGAGGACAAGAGGCCAGACCTCACAGATCAGGGAGGATGGAAGAGGAGGACACTTCTAACCCCATTCTCATGGCTTCTGCTGTTAAGGGCACATTTGCAAGTCTTGTGGATTCTGCCTCTAGGATCCATCCCTTATTTTCTGTCACCTCTGCCACTGCCCTAATTCAGAGGGTGCCATCTTTCATCTGGACTGTCCCAACAGCCTCTCTCATTCCACAGGATTTATTGAGCACCTACTATGTGCCAGGCAACTCTTTACACTGCTGCGATTCTCTTGATAAACTCCAGATCTGATCGACTGGGACACTTTCCTGCATAAAAGCCTCTTTGGGTTTCCCTGCACCCTCAGGATGATCCAAATTTCTTATCCTGGCAAAGCACACCCTTCCTCACTCAGCCCCAACCTCTCTTTCTATGCTTACTTCCTGCCACGTCCTCCCATGCACACTGGCTTCAGCCTCTCCCCACTTCCCAGGCACACAATCTTTTTTCCTTACGGTTTATCTCATTGCTCTTGATGTTTCCTTCCTTTCCTTCTCCTTTCTTAAACAGTTTAAATGTTGCCTCCTCTTACACCTTCCCCAACTCCCTGAGGCAGAGGTAGGTACTCTATCCCACCCTGCCTCCTCCCCTGTGTTGCCACAGCATTTAGCATGCCAGCTCATAACTCCTTCTGCCTGGTCCCATTTGACTGTGAGCTCCCTGAGGGCAGGACTGGATCTATCCCAGTCCTAGGTACATAATAGGACACCAATATATGGGTGCTGAATGAATGAATAAATGAATGAGTGGGTTCAGCAACTTCTCATCCTAAGTACAGCCTCCAATCATGACAAAGAGTTGGTGGCAGGGGGTGCGAAGCTGGTAATCTCAACACAGACCTCAAGCTGCAGTGGCCTCTTGAGAATGGTGGTCAGATACCAAAAGGCCAGAAACTCTTGAAATCAGGGTCCAGGGAACTTCATTAAAGCCACCCAAACATGCCCAGGATGGAGAGAAGATTAAAATATCTTTTCCCTTTTTAACATACTTTGAAAAAAACAAGCACGGTTTTAAATCCTTTGAGAGAGGGGTGTTACTATAATGATTTCAGCCATTACTTATTCTTTATTTGCTTGATTCCAAAATTGGGCCTTTCACAAAACTGCCTGGGGAAGCAAGTACACAGAATTAAAACATTAATTATATTATATAAAACATATCATAGCAGCAATTAAAGCAGCTTAAATTAATGTGTGAAGGAATAAATGTTAGCCTTCGGGTTGCCCCATGGGGCGAAGACCAGATAAGATAAAGGGAAGATATTTTAGTATATACATATCCTGAGGAGGCATGTGCTGGTGGGCACAGGCCCAGAGAAGGCCTAGAATCTTGTTGAGCTGAGAAGAGTGTGCTGGAGGAGGAAAGCGAGAAGATGATTTAAGGGAAAGTGGCAATATTCGGAGGCCAATCAAAAAGGGAACAATGAAGGGTTCTGCAATAGGAATGGGGCAAAGGACATTCAAAAGAGTAGGGAGCCAGGATTTTGGAAACTCAGAGATGAAATGGCCTTTGTAGGGAGGTGGGTTCACAGTGCCAGGTGAATGGGTGAGGAGCATGCCTAGAGGTCCAGTGTCCACAGCGCTGCCAGAATCTGGCATCCAGAGTGTTCTGTCTAATATGCAAATCCAATTGTGTTGCTCCAAGGTTTAAAGTGGCTCTCCAGGGCCCTCACCCCTTAAGCTTGCAGAGCTGCAAGGCCATGGGCCTCCTGGTGTACATCTCTAAGCATCCTTCCTGCCTTCCCCTTCATGCTCCAGCCCCACTCCCCAGATGTCCCGTGCTGTCACCTCTGCCTGGAGAGCTCCCTTCCCACTGCCACTCTCCTTTCACCTGGCCAACTCTTTCTCACCCTTCAAGGTCCATCTCAGGCAACCCTCCTCTGGAAATCTCTCTCTAACAACCAACCTATCCCCCTGTGCTCTCTCAGAACCTGGGGCAGCTTTACCCAAGCAAGACTCTAGCCCGACCACACTGTATTTCAATTTTTCTGTTTACTTGTGGAGCCAGTGTATTGAGGCGATTCAACTCTGTGGGGTATAATGATGAAGATTTTCTCCCCTAATCTCTGCCTTCAGCCATGCTGTGTTGAATCTCCCTTTTCCATCCCTTAATGACATTTTGGGCAGATTGCATTACTTTTGGATCACTTTCTGTTGTTAAACCTCCATCCTTTAGACCTTTATTCTCAAACTCAATTTAAATCTCATTTTATCTTCTCTCTTACTCATTCAAGAGTTAACTTGAGCCAGGACCCTGCCTGCTAGGAGGAAAAGGACTTGGTGGAGGTGGGGCGGATGGTCTGATTGGGAGACATACCCTACCACCCCCACCCCAACCCCGTGTCCATATATGGTTTCTCATGGGCAAATGAGTAAGTTCCTTAGCGGCTTCTCCACTGCACAATTCTCTCACAGGGTCATCCAGCCCAGGCTTGACCTCGCCTACCCCACCCCACCACCTAGGGCCTACCAGTGTCCTGACCCTCTTGCCCAGCAGTCAACCTGCTTGAGTAGGCCACCAGAAAAGTGCTCCAGCCAGGCTGATTACTGCAACGTCCACTTGACCTAGAGAAGCTCACGCATCCAGTCAGCTACACCACAATGCCCCTCTTCTCACCTCTCCTCTACCCTGCTCAGATAGGCACAGTCCACTGCCCACAGTCCACCACCCATCAGGGAACAGCATCCCAGCACCCCATGCTTGCAGTCACCTCTCAGTCTCCATGAGGGACTTCCTTTGAATTTCCACTACCCCACCCTTAACGGGGAGGGAGGAAATGGCCTTCTCCTATGAACACCTGACTACTCAGTAAAACCAAGGACCTCCTTCCTCCCCAAGATTGCTGTATGGGCAAGGAAGAGGAAATTGGAATTTTGGGCTGTGGGTGTAAAGCGAGTTCTGCCTCCTTTAGTAAACCTGGAGGGAAACTATCTGGCTCCCTAAAATACAGGGTACAGAGGACCTGTTGGCTTTGGCTGTGGGCCAGCCATGTGGCTGATTCCTAAGGAACAAGGAATTTGCACTCAATCGCCTTTGGATCAGGCCATCCCTCACTTCTAACTTGAATTGTGGAGAGGAGGAACAGTGCCTCCTTTATCTTCTTAACCTAACACCCACACAGAGTCTGAACACCTGCCAGATGCTGAACAGGTATTTGTTGAATAAACGCAGAACTATAGAGTAATGAGGCTGAAGGGATCCCTCAGACCCACCTGCCCATTCCCACACCGTCCTGGGTAGCAGCCCATCTCCATAAGATGACAGGGCTCTCTAGCTGGGATTCCCAGGCCTAACTATGGACAAAAAGCTTTCCCTTTAGCTCACCAGTATCACGTGGGAATTTATCAAAGGGAACTAAGAAACTCAGAAAAGAACCCAAGCAGAAATTTGGAAAACCCAAGAGCCGGCAAAACAGATGCGAGAACAAAGCAGAGAATGTCTTGATCCTTATCTGGTTAAAGCCACTTACTCGGCTGATCTGATCCCCGCACAATGAGGCCTGGAGCCTGGTCCTCAGCCCTCCCAGACTCTGATGTTTGGAAGAAGAGATGCTTTGGTTGCAGGGGAAAGGATCCAAGTTTTTACTGTGACCTCAAGAGGCTGCGTGACCTGGCCATTGGCAACCTTGGTTCCCACCGCAGAGCTTTGGCTATGCTGCCCCCTCTGTCTAAAACGCCCCTCCTCCCACCTTTCATCTGCTGACTCTTCCTCACCATTCATGTCTCAGGGTAAGTGGCCCCTCCTCAGAGAGGCCTTCCCTGACCATCTTATCTAAAATGAGTTTCCTCTGCTACCCACCCACCTCCCCCGCCACTGTCCTCTCTTGTAGCACCTGTTCTAATCAGAGTTGTCCTTGCAAACAAGAGAAGATGTAGCAGTGAACTTAAATAAAAGAGGACACTATTGAAAGGGTGTTGGGCAGCCCAGAGAGCCGACAGGAAGGCTCAAGGGAGGCACCCAGGCAAAACCACAGGAGGCAGGGAATAGATGAGACTCTGCCACAGAAAAGTTCTATAAACCATCTCTGTGCCAGCCTACCTCCAAGACAGCCCTCAACAATCCCTACCTCCTGGTCTTCACACCCTTATGTAGTCCCCTTCCTTATTGTACCAGGGTTGGTCTGTGTGACCAACAGAAACCAGCAGAAGTGAGTGTAGGTCACATCAAGGTTAGGTTACAAACCCACTGAGGTCAGGTGCAGTGGCTCATGCCTGTAATTCCAACACTTTGGGAGGTCAAGAAAGGAAGGATCACTTAAAGCAAGGAGTTCTAGACCAGCTGAGCAACACAGCAATAATTCATCTCTACAAAAAAATTAAATAAAAATAAAAGGACTGAGGCTTCCATCTTATGTGTGCACTGTCTCACTCTTCTTTTTCTCTCTTCTCTCTCTTCTTTCTCTCTCCCTTCTCTGTCTCCTCTCTCTCTTCTCTCTCTCTTCTCTTTTCTCTTCTCTCTCTCCTTTCTCTGTCTTCTTTCTCTCTCTTCTCTCTCCTTTCTCTCTCTCCTTTCTCTTCTCTCTTTTCTTTCTCTCTTCTTTCTCTCTCTCCTTTCTCTCTTCTCTCTCTCCTTCTTCTTTCTCTCTCCTTTCTCTCTCTCTTCTCTTTCTCTCTCTTCTTTCTCTCTCCTTCTCTTCTCTCTCTCCTTTCTCTCTCTTCTCTCCTCTCTCTCTCTCTCTCTCCCCTCTCCCCCACCCCCTGCACTGTCTCCAGGCCCTCTGGGGAAGCAGCTGTCTGCCATGTCGTGAGGACACTCAGCACTCAGGCAGCCTATGGAGAAGTCCATATGGCAAGGATTCAAAGCTTCCAGCCCTCAGCCACATAGGAAGTGAAAGTGGAAGTGGAAGTGGAAGTGGACCCTCCCGCAGCAGTCAAGCCTCATATGACTTCAGCCCCAGCTGACACATTGATCCCAGTGGTGATCTAATCAGAACCACCCAGCTAAGTTGCTTCTGGATTCCTAACCCACAGAAACTGTGAGATAATAGATGTTTTCTTGTTTCAAGCCACTAAGTTTCAGGTCAACCTCTTACCCAGCAATAGATAATGAACACAATCTCTAACTACCCCTGAACTTGAGCATCACTCCTTCGAGGTTCAAAGTCTTGGGAAAGGAATCAGAGTGGCCACACTTGGCTTACAACGCACATTCTATGCCTCCTTGGCTTCCTTGTCAAGCCTCCTGCCCTCCTTCCCCTCAAGTAAGAAGGGTACACATCCTGAACATCCAGAACAATCCATCTGCCCTGCAATGTTCCCTCAGAACACTCGGCACAACTTGTTGTTCTCTATGCAGGATGACATTTTTCTCCTTTCCCCTTGCTCTTCCTAATTTTGGGCACACACCAAACGTAAGAACCAGAGAGGGCAGATAGTTTTTGGCCCAATAATGCAGGGAAAACATCCTCAAAGTTCTGATTGCCTTAAAAATGCCAGACCGTGAAGAAAGACCCATTAGAAGGCAACTTCTGCCCAGTGAATTAGCTGGGGAAAAGAAAAAAGCACTTTGAGAATCAGGATCTAGAGATACAATTCTGTATATTTTCATGCAGCCATAGCCCAGTGAGTAATCGAGACTTTCCCACTCAAGATAAATATGAAACAGGCGCTTTATTACAGACCAAAAAAATCCATGGTCCCATCTCATAATGAAATCAGCATTTTGGTTTGTACATTTGCGTGTGCCACCTTTTAATCCTTGCCTATAGGGACCTTCAGATTTTTCTTTCCAAGGGATATCATAAATAGATTATCTATTTTACATTTTCCTATAATATTAGACCACGTATATTATTTCCACCTTTATAAACTCCTATTTTTATTTTTTCTTTTCTTTTCCTATTTTTTTTATTGGAGACAGGGTCTCACTCTGTCACCCAGGCTGCAGTACAGTAGCACTATCATAACTCACTGCAGCCTCAAACCCCTGGACTCAAGTAATCCTCCCGCCTTGGCATGTATTTTTTTTTTCTTTATCTATCTTTACACCTCTCTCCCCATAATAGCCTGATAAATATCTGTCTACACATTTAAGAATATATTTGTTCATTTAATAAGAAAAGGAATCTCTATCTTTTTTTGCAGTCATTTTTGTCACTTAATAATATATCATGGAAATAATTCCAGGTTAGTAGATACAGATCGTACACATTCTTTCTTTAAAATAATTGTGTAAGATTCCATGGTGTGGACTTGTCACAATCAATTTAACCATTTTCCTGTTGATGTACATTCAGGTTGCATCCAGGTTCTCTCTACTGCAAAGCAGGCTGCAACAATGTTTTTACACGTATGGTTAGGCACGTGTGTTTTTATTTCTATACAATAGATTTCTAGAAGGAATTTGTGGGTATTTATATTGTAAATGCTAACAGATATTTTAAAGATACTTTCCAAAAACCTTGGGAAATTCATATGTTTGAAGGGACCTTTACTCTGCCTTCTCCCCAGTACTAAATGTTATCATTCATTTTAATATTTGACCATTTGATGGTGAAGAGAGAGATCTCTTTGCTGCATTTATTTACATTTCCTCAATTATTAGGGAAGTTGAGGATCCTATCAAATGTTTATCAACCATTTGGATATCCTCCTCTGTGAACTAACTGTATATATCCTTTGTCCATTTTCTATTAAATTGTCTGTTTCATATTAACTTTATTCAATCATGTAGTCACTCAACTAATATGCATTGAGCACTTACTAGGTCACGTGAACTAGACAAAATCCCAGCCCTGAATATTAACCCTTTACTCTGTCATCCATGTTGAAAATCAGCTCAGATGTCTAATTGTATCTCCAGTCTCTCCTCTACAGATAGGCTCTGGTACAGCAGTCCCCAACCTTTTTGGCACCAGGGGCCAGTTTTGTGGAAGACAATATTTCCACGGATAGAGGGGTTGGGAAGGATGGTTCCTGGTTTTGGATAAAACGGTTCCACCTCAGATCATCAGACATTAGATTCTCATAAAAAGCACGCAACCTAGATCCCTCACCTGCGCGGTTCACTATAGAGTTCGCAGTCTCATGAAAATCTAATGCCATCGCTGATCTGACAGGAGGCAGAGCTCAGCCTGTAATGCTCGCTAGCCAGCCGCTCACCTCCTGCTGGGCGCCCGGCTCCTAACAGGCCACGGACTGGTACCGGTCCACAGCCGGGGTGTTGGGGATCCCTGCTCTGGTAGATTGTAGTCATTATGCTTTCAGGTTTTATGATGTAAAAATACCTAATAATACCTAGTACTAGCACCGCTAGCCACTAATTGGTTAGAGCAGAAAGAGGACTTAATCCAATCCCCATGTAGCACCTTGTTGGTACTCCACCCTCAGGCCTTCCATATTCACTGTTCCCACTCTTCCTGTCCCCTATCTCAAGCACCTGTGACCTTCTGCCCCAGAGCCTTTTTTGGCCACAAGAGCATGTTTAGCCCTTCAGAGGGCAGGCCAGAAGGGCTGGAGATAATGCAGCCTTCTACCAATGACAGATGAGGAGTTGGTGGATCAATGCCGCAGCTGCCTTTCCCCGCAGCTGGGATAACTAAAAGGTATGTGTTCTACACTGTCTGTCCAGTCAAGGTGAAGCCACAGTTGCCCACTGTGTAACCTGCTCATTCACCCACCCTGTAATGGCTTCCTTCTCCTCTCTGTCTCAGTTCCCCATTACCCCATCAGTGCTCCCCGGAGTCACCTCTCAAAGAAACTACTTGCTACTTGCACTCAAATCTTTGTCTCAGTTTCTGTTTCTGGGAGAATACAGCAAAGGCACTTTGATTTACAAATGAGGAACTAGCAGCAGGAGGCAGCATCGATCGATGAGTAAAAGTGTAATTTCTGAAGTCATAGGCCTGGCCCAAAATCTGATTCTGTTACTGACTGTGTGTCCTTGAGCATATTCTTAACTTCTAGTTTCTTCTCTGTGAAATGAGCCTAAGAGCTCACATGGTTATTATAAGGACTAAGTTAACTATGTGATTTTCTCACATAATGTCTAATAAAAAATGGTATTACTCTTTAATATTAGAAAACTGAGTTCTAGAGAACAGAAGTAGCTAGCCTATGGTCACCCAGGAAACTGGGACCCTTATGCCCCATTTCAAAGACTCTATTCTCTGTCATCCTTTGGGCCAGGGATGTTACAGTCATGGGATTTCCCTTGTCCTAGGCTTTAAATACTCCTAAACATCTAGGTGGATTGGAGTGTTGATTTGTGCTGTCCAATAGAACTTTCTGTGATGATGTAAACATTGTATATTTATGCCATTCAATATGGTAGCTACCACTAGCTACATGTGCTTGTTGAACATCTGGAATGTGGCTAGTACCACCAAGAAAGTGGGGGTTTTATTGTATTGACTTTTATCAAATGTAAAAAGCCACATATAGCTGGTAGCTACTATGTTAGATAGCTCAGGTCTAGAGAAAAGGGGTTGGGGCCAGGTGCAGTGGCTCACACCTGTAATCCCAGCACTTTGGGAAGCCAAGGAGGAAGGATCACTTGAGCCTAGGAGTTTGAGACCAGTAAGGACAGCATAGTGAGATCCCATCTCTGTAAAAAAAAAATTTTTTTTTTAAGTAAAAAATTAGAGAAAGGGGGTTGGGAAATGGTGGAAAGAATCTCTCTTAGGTCTTTTCTTCTCCCCAGTCTCTCTTACCTCCAGTCTCCCCTCCCAGCCTGAGCTATTCATCCCCCTCATCATAGGTCTCCACCTTTCCCTCCTTTGTACGTGTTAAGTTCCATGGAAGGAAGCAGCAGGGACTGTGACAACTGTTGTATTTTCATACACCCAGCAAGGTGAAACAAACTCCTTTGTGATCCCTGTATTGAAAGACAAGACGAATACCTGCTATAAATAAAGCTGAATAAAGATTCTTTTCTAGATGGCTTCCATTGTTCCCTCTTCTCTTACAGTATTCACGCTGAGATAATTTCCAGCTTCTCAGATCCTCCGTAGTTATAAAACATACCATTACCTCATTTTCATTTCATTAGATTTACAGATCACGAGACTACTTTGATCCTTACCAAGTTCATCATTAATGGTTTCAAAATAATGATTCTTTCCGTTTCAGCATGAGCCAACACAGAATTTCCTACCCATGTATTCTTTTATCTCTTGCTTCCTACTTTTAACTCCCTAGTCTAGACAATAGTGGCTAATGGAGTTTTCCAAATGCTGACGTGAATTTCACATCCATAAAGACATTCCCCGCACAGTTCTGTCACCCCACAGCAAAAACAGTAAAAGTAATAATTTCTTTCCAAACTACTTGATCCTGATGGATGCCATAGAAAGGTATCTGATAAACCACCAGCTCTCCCAGGCTATATTTCCATGGTACCTGTAATTAACCCTGCCAGGTACAGTGGAACATGTGGGCTTAGTAGTCTCACAGAAATGGGTTTAAATCCTGACTATATCACTTAACAGTGAGAAATAAAATGACTCTATCTTTTTGAGTCTCAGTTTCCTCATCTGTAAAATGAAAGTATGAGGTACTTACTTTGCAAGGTAGTGGCAAAGACTCAAAGGATTTTTTTTTTGAGATGGAATCTCGCTCTGTTGCCCAGGCTGGAGTGTAGTGGCATGATCTCAGCTGACTGCAACCTCCGCCTCCAGGGTTCAAGCAATTCTCCCGCCTCAGCCTCCTGAGCAGCTGGAATTACAGGCGCGCACCACAATGCCTGGCTAATTTTTGTATTTTTAGTAGAGAAGGGGTTTCACCATGTTGGTCAGGATGATCTCGAACTTCTGACCTCGTGATCCACCCAGACTCCCAAAGTGTTGGGATTACAGCCGTGAGCCACTGCGCCTAACCAACTCAAATGATTTATACGACTTTGCCATTAACATACTACTCTGTGACCTTGGGTAATATCCCTACTCTTCTGAGCCTCAATTTTCTCGTCTATAAAATGGGAATAAATAATAATACCTACTTCTAAGGGTGTTGGGAGGATTAAATGAAGATATATATAAAGTCCTCAGCACTATGGCTGACTCAAAGAAAGCACTCACCTCTTAATATGCCCTTAAAAGAGCTTTTCACCCAAGTTGTTGGCTACTTTCTTTAAAACAGGATTCTTAAGTTTTCTTTGTGTTGTAGATTTCTCTGGCCATCTGGAGAATCCTACAGACTCTTCTCAGAAAAATCTTTGTAAATGTAAAATATGAGAGAGTTATAAAGAAGACCAGTTATATTGAAATATAGTTATCAAAATATTAAGACAAGTATGTGATATAGTATATATATGCCTCTTTAATACTGGATTAAATAACAAGCTCTAGTGGCAAGCCTAAAACCTCCATAATTTCAGAGTAATGATGTGTGCAAACAATAATTCAAGACATCTGCAGCAGCAACTCTAGTGTGATATCAAATAGAAATATCTGTGCCTTCTATTGGTGACAATGTAGCAGGCCCTGCTAACACTACTGTAGTTTATTGCCTACATTCATGATCAAAAGAAATGCTTAATTTAAGTTAGAGGTCAATGAAAATAAAGGAGTAAATTTTTTCCATCCAAGTTCATGAACCCCAGGTTAAGGTTCATAATATATTTAGCACCCGTTTATCCTCAGCTGTGGGTCTAAAGTCATAGATTAGGAGACAATAGGAAACATCTCCTCACGTCCCATTATCTGGCCTCTGATTGAGCAAATGGTAGAAAAGAGAAATGCACCATCCTATAAGAGCATGCAACAAGATGACAAACTACTACCAGCCAAGCTTATTTAGCATTAAGTGGCAGGCGTTTTTCTCAGTGTTTGACCTATGTTAACTCACCAACATTCACAGCAATCCTTTGAGACAGGTACTGTTACCATCCTTGTTCTACAAAGGAAAAAACTGAGGCACGGAGAGGTTAGGTACGTCCCCAAGGTCACACAGCCAGTAAATGGTAGAGCCAGGATTTAGAGCCAAGAAGTCTGAATCCATAGTCTGTGCTCCTAGCTACCATGCCATACTCCCTCTCTACTCTGAGTGCAGGGGAGTAAGATTTCAATTACATTTCTCTCTTCTTATTAAGGCACCAGCATTGAATTAGCGCCCCCCCCCCATGCAGTATGACCCCATATTAACTATATCTGCAAAGACTCATTCTTCAGGAGGAGTAGGAGTTAAAGAGGTGAAAGGGAGGAGGGAGCGGGGAGAGGTAGGAAAGGGGCTGGGGAAGTATTTTAAGCAGAGGAAATGGGAGGTACAAAGGCCTTGAGGTGGAAAGAACATGGTGGATGTAGGACCTGAAAGAATACCAATGGGGTTGCAGATTGGAAAGCAAGGGGCACAGTGGGATAAGATAAGTCTGGAAGGCAGAAAGTATACAGATCTCGCAGGGCCTTGAAGGCAGCTTTATTATTATTCTGAGAACAATGGGGAGTGCAATTAAATTTGTTTTATAAAAATATCACTCTAGCTGCAGAAGAGAAAGAATTGAAGGGAAAGAAAAGTGGAATTGGGGGCCCTGGTTTGGAGGCAGTCAAAGGGGTCCGAGCTAGGGATGATGATGGCTTGGACTAGTGGTGGGCAGGGGTACATAGAGAAGTGGATAGATTCGAGAAAGATTTGAGAGAAAGGCTCTGGTGCACTGGATGTGGGGGCAACAGATGACTCCACTGTGGCAGACCGCATTTCCCAGTGATGGCCACAACCATATCTCAGAGTGGGACTTTGATATTCTTCCCATTGAGAGATGGGGTTCTACGCTCCCTTCCCTTGAATCTGGCCAGGCTTATGTGACTCTTGAAACTGTCATAGAAGGCAATACAGCTCCTGCCTGGTTCTCTTAGCCACTCCCTCAGAGCCCTGAGCTTCATGTGAGCAGCACAACTGCTCTGAGGTCGCCATGAAGTGAGGAAGCCCTCTCTCCACAGCCTGTGCAGAGACCACGTGGATAGGCCCTAAGACTATGTGAAGAAAAATTGCCTAACCAAGCCCCTCTGGAAACCCTGATTTCCAGAAACTATGAATAAGGATAAAATAGTTACTTAACACCACTAAGTTTTGAATTTGGAAAACTTATTCTTCAAATTCTGTCTCTACTGACTTGGCCAGTTATCTACTTCTAACCCTCATAAGGGAGATTTAACATTCTCAGTTTGGGTTATTTGTGAGGGACCCTGAAAGTTGGTGACATGTGGAAAATGGCTTTTAGGTAGTTTATCTCTGCAGTTTTAATTTGTAAACCAGCCCAGTGGTTTGCAAACCTGAGAGAGCTTTTTTTTAAAAAAAAATAAATAAATATTCTCAAGTTCTACCCTGGACTCAATGAATAAAAATCTTCAGGAAACAGTGAGCCACCAACTCAGCTGAGCTGCCTGACTCTGACATTTTACTTTACCTTTCTGTATGATTATTAGAGTTACATTCTATTTATATACCCCAACACTTGTAGGCAAATTGGAAAATGGATCCTTTGAATTTCAAGTGAAGGAGGGCATTAATCAGATTAATCTGGTCATTTGAGTAGCACAAACAAGATTCGCTTACCTACATCAAAGATAATTCTCTTTAAATATTTTCACAAGCATACTTCACATGGCTTCTGGAAACAGAATATCTAAATATTTCCATCTAGAGTAACATAATTGAAACAGTACAGAATGCCTCAAAAAGAGACAGCTATAGAAACAATTGATATCCCTGAACTTGATCCTCCTGTAGAAAATAATGTATGCGGTAAATAAGAAACACAAAAATGGTTAAGCAGTATTATTTGAGGAGAGAGAGAATCTAATTACACTTACCTATGGCTTCATGCATCAAAACTGATTCTGGGTTCAGTGGTTCACACCTGTAATCCTAACACTTTGGGAGGCCAAGCCAGGCAGATTGCTTGAGCTCAGGAGTTCAAGACCAGCCTGGGCATGGTGAAACTCCATCTTTACTAAAAGAGAAAAAAAAATTAGCCAGGTGTGGTGGTGTGCGCCTGTAGTCCCAGCTACTTGGGAGGCTGAGGCAGGAGAATTGCTTGAACCCGGGAGGCAGAGGTTGCAGTGAGCCGATATCTTGCCACTGCACTCCAGCCTGGGCAACAGAGTGAGACTGTCTCAAGAAAAAACAAAACAAAACCAAAAAAATCACCAAAAAAAACTGATTTTATTTGGATTAAAGATTTAATTATTAAAAGGGAGAAAGAATCTAATTACACCTACTCATGACGTCATGCATCAAAAACTGATTTTAATTGGATTAAAGGTTTAATTATTAAAAGGGAAAAAAGTAAGCCATGGTAAAATTAGAAAAAGAAAACATGCATTTATTTAGTCTTCTGGAGAGAAGACAGTCCAAAGTCAAAAATGGGTCAGAAGGACTGGGGGGTCTGGGGGAGAATCTGTTTTCTTGCCTTTTCCAGCTTCTAGAAGCCACCTGCTTTCCTTGGCTTATGGCCCCATCTTCTGTCTTCAAAGCCAGCAGTGTAGCATCTTTCTCTCCTCTGGCCCATGCCTCCTTCCTTCCCGCCCTCTTGTGCTTCTATCATCACATCTTCTCTGATTCTGAGCCTCCTATTTCCCTCTTATAAGAACTCTCGTGATTACATTGAGTGTTCCTAAGTAATCTAGGACTGTCTCCCCATCTCAAGATCAATGACATCTGCAAAGTTCTTGTTGCCGTTTAAGGTGACATATTCACGGGTTCCGGAGATCAGGGCGTGGACCTCTTCAGGGAGTCATTATTCTGACTAGCACAGTTGTACAGAGCTATGCTGACATGGTAGGTGTCACTGAGGCTGGGCTTCAAGCCAGGTAACCCTGCCAAAGAAGCTCTCTACTGGCCGGGAGAGACTTTAGGGTAGTCTTTCAACAACTCTCTGAGCCACCTCTATCAACATACAACAGAGCTTGTCAAGTGTGTGCAGTTCCATTCTGATTCACTGTGTTTTACAGAATCTCGCTTTGAGAAGCTATTAGTTCTGTTGGGGCTCACCAGAAACTTGATATGGTCCCAACAAAGTCCCCTCTACCCCCACTCCAATGTCCTAGTGGACCAGAATTCAATGATCACTCAATGATCAGTGAAGTTTATTCCCTCTGTCAACAGAGTAGCCCATGAAAACCCAAGGGCCTCTGCTTTCTAGGAATAGTCTAACAAATAGAACAAGCAAATCTATAAGAAGACACAAAGTGTGATGTCATCAAGTGAACCTAGAGAAGGTGAGATCTATGAGCTAATGAGCCCACACGATGAGCCAGGCATGATTCTAAGAGTGATACGTGCTACCTCATTTAACTTAACTTACTTCATCCTGACCTCCTGACTATTCTTACACGGCTTTGACAGATGAAGGAAGTGAGGTGCAGGGAGGTTAAAGCCAAAGTTTGCCCAGCTAGGAAGTGGTGGAGAAAGAAGTGAACACGGACGATGCAGATTCCACAGCTTGTGTTCTGACCCACCAAGACTTCATAAATGGTAAATTCCCTCAATATACTTGGGCCAAGGAAGCTGGAGAGTGGGATATCTGTTTGCATGGCACACTAGATATATTCCCTGGGGCAGCATAGGCAGGTCCCAGAAGGCCGTGGAGTCTGTAAAGGATGCAGAAACCTCTTCTCACCCACTCTCGGTGCCTGTCTCCTAGCCTCTTTCAGACAGCCCTGTTAGCCAAGGACTTCCACCAAGACCTGCAAGGAGAAATGTGGAATGTCTTGGCTTTTTTCTTTTCTTTTTGACAGGGTTTCACTCTTGTTACCCAGGCCGGAGTGCAACGGCACGATCTCAGCTCGCTGCAACTTCTGCCTCCCGGGTTCAAGCGATTCTCCTGCCTCAGCCTCCCAAGTAGCTGGGATTACAGGCACACGCCAACACGCCTGACTAATTTTTCTATTTTTAATAGAGACAGGGTTTCACCACGTTGGCCAGGCTGGCCTTGAACTCCTGACCTCAAATGATCCACCCGCCTCGGCCTCCCAAAGTGCTAGGATTACAGGTGTGAGCCACCGCACCCGGCCATATGTTGGCTCTTATTAGGTCGTGTGAGCCCTCTGAGAATTGTATATAAGAGATTTTAATCCCTTTGCCTGAAAAAAAAAAAATGCATCTATGCGCATAATGCTTCAGGGGGTTCTAGTCAAAAGGGTTTAGAACAAACACTGGCTGAGAAGGACACAACGTCACTTCTGCACATTCCTGCCAAAGATGTATAACCTGAATCTAACAATGAATAAACATCACACAAGCCCCAAAGAGGAACATTCTATAAAATAAATGGCCTGTACTCTTCAAAAATGTCAAGGTCATGAAAGACAAAAAAGACTGAAGAACTGTTGTAGATTAAAGGAGACTCAAGAGACTTGAAAACTGAAGGCAACATGTATCCTAGATTGGATTCTGGACTAGGAAAAAAAACAGTGTTTCTTTTGCTCTGAAGAACATTACTGGGACCATTTGTGAAATGCATATGAAGTCTGTAGATTAGACAAGAGTCAGAGAGAGGGGAACAGAAAGAGATGGGTAGAGGAGGAGTTATAGAGCAAACAGTGAAATGTTCATTTGGGGAATCTGTGTGAAGGACATTCAAAAATTCTTTTTTTTTAAATTTATTTTACTTTAGTTTTAGACGGAGTCTCACTCTGTTGCCCAGGCTGGAGTGCAATGGCAAAATCTCAGCTCAGT
The DNA here is from genome assembly GCF_000001405.40 of Homo sapiens. Lineage (NCBI taxonomy): Eukaryota > Metazoa > Chordata > Mammalia > Primates > Hominidae > Homo > Homo sapiens. The sequence goes on along the minus strand of NC_000020.11, from coordinate 46,100,689 downwards.
GCAACCTCCACCTCCCAGCTTCTAGCAATTCTCCTGCCTCAGCCTCAGAAGTAGCTGGGATTACATGCGCACAGCACCACGCCCAGCTAGTTTTTGTATTTTTTTTTTTTGAGTAGAGATGGGGTTTCACTATGTTGGCCAGGCTGGTCTCAGACTCCTGACCTTGTAATCTGCCCACCTCGGTCTCCCAAAGTGCTGAGATTACAGGCGTGAGCCACTGCGCCCGGCCCAGAAATTCTGTCTTTCTTTTTCTCTCTCTCTTTCTCTCTTTCTTACTTTCTCTCTCTCTCTCTCTTCCCCTCTCCCTCTCCCTCTCTTTTTCTCTCTCGACAGGGTCTCACTCTGTCACCCTGGCTGGAGTACAGTGGTGCAATCATGGCTCAGTCCAGCCTCAATTTCCTGGGCTCAAGCAATTCTCCTGCTTCAGCCTCCCCGAGCAGCTGGGACTACAGTTACGCACCACTAAACTTGGGTAATTTTTTTTTTCTCTTGTCTCAAGTCCCCAAAAGGGCTTTATTTTTTCTTTTCAACATTCTGTTCTGCAGCTTCCTTGGCTCTTTTTGCCCGTATGCCGAAAAGCCGGGCGTTGGCACGGGCCATGCAGAGACTAGCAAAGGCTTTGACATTCTTCTCCTCCTCAGTGACGATTCGAGCTTTCTCCTTCTTATAGACATTCCGGGTGGGCATGACCGGTCCTGTCAGCTGAGTGGCCAGTTTCAGTTCTTCAGCAGAACTGTCTCCCTTCTTGGGGGTCCGAGGGCTTCCTGAGGAAGAAGATGAGTTTGGAGAGGTACTCCTTCAGCCGCTGCACGTTGGCCTGCAGGGACAGCAATGGACTTGTTCCGCCTCCTCGGATCCACAGCAATGCCAACGATCTGGGCCACCTTCTTGTGAATGCCGGCCACCCTGAGCTCCTCCAGGCTGAAGCCGCGGCCGACGGGCGCCTCCGTGTGGTACGGAACCACGGGGGCGGGGAGGGAGGGTGGTGTGCAGCGCACGATGGGCCGGATGGGCCCCGATGCGTGACGCGGGCCGATGCGGTGCGCCTTGGCTTGCAAGGCCCTGAGTCTGCGGATCTTCCGCGTCGGCTGGTTGAACCACGTGGCCACGCGCCGCTGCCAGTCCTTGTGAAAGTGGGGCTTCAAGATCATGCCATTCCGGCTGGGCGCCATGGGTGCCTACGGCCCTCCTGTGCAGGAAAACAGCCAAGCGGAAGCAACACCTGGGTAATTTTTTTGTTTGTTTTGTAGAGATGGGGTCTCACTTTGTTGTCCAGTCTGATCTCAAACTCCTGGTTTCAAGTGATCCACCCACCTCCGCCTCCCAAAGTGCTGAAATTACAGGCGTAAGCCAGTATGCTGGGCCGATAATTCTTTATACTATTTTTTGAAACTTTTCTATAAATCTGAAGTTGTTTTAAATAATTTAAATCTTTTTAAAAATCCTAAAGTCTAGAGCCAGGTGCTTCATTATGGGTGCTTCATTATGGAGTAAATAAAAACTGCACCAAACCTGCATCCTTTCTGAGCTCTGCACACCCTCTCTACCTACGGAAAAAGGCTGACAAGAGTTCTCATGAAACAAGCAGCAGAATAGGATGGCAAAAAGTTCTGGAACCGTGGAGTGCAGTGCAACCCAGGGACCAAGAGCTCAAGTCTCTCATCTCCAGTGGTCTGTGACCCTGAGCATGTCATTTAAGCTCTCAGTGCCTCAGTTGACTCATCTACCAAACTGACATCATGGTAGTATTTACCAAGGAGACTATCTATATGACACTGGGAAAGACGTTCTTCAACAAGACACTACATACGAACCATAAAGGGGAATGTTGAAACATTTCAATTAAAATTTAAAACTTTTGAATGACAAGACACCATTGACAAAGTAAAATGACAAACCACAGAGAGAAGACCCAACCCGGACACAAGATCAGTATCCAGAATACGTAAAGAACTCCTATGAACTAATTTTTTAAAACCATAGGTAAACCTAATAGAAAAATGGGCCAGAAATGTGAACAGGCAATTCACAAAGAAAGAAACCTGGAGAGCTGTAGGATAAGGTGCTGAATATCGCTGAATTCAAGAAAATTAAAATGAAATCCACAAATACATCATTCACAGCCATCATCGTAGTCAAAAATAAATAAATGAATAAAGTCTGAAAATATCAAAAGTTGGCAAGGAAATTTACAAATGGTACTTATACACTGCTGGCAGGAATATACTTCTTTAAATAATACTTCTTTGGCGAGTAATCTTGCTAAATCTTGTAAAGTTTAAAATGTGATCTACTACAAAGATAGCAATTCCACTCCTAAATGAGTATCCTGGAAAGCTCTGAAATGGGTACCCAAGGAGATACACACTAGCAGGTTCAATGCAGCACCATTTGTAAAAAGAAGCAGGGCCGGGCGCGGTGGCTCACACCTGTAATCCTAGCACTTTGGGAGGCCAAGGTGGGCGGATCACTTGAGGTCAGGAGTTCGAGACCAGCCTGGCTAACATGGTGAAACCCCACCTCCACTAAAAATAGAAAAATTAGCTTGGCGTGGTGGCAGATGCCTTTAATCCCAGCTACTCAAGAGGCTGAGGCGGGAGAATCACTTAAACCCAGGAGACAGAGATTGCAGCTGAGATCGCGTCACTGTACTCCAGCCTGGGCAACAGAGCGAAACTCCGTCTCAAAAACAACAACAACAATCACAAAAATCAAAACAAAACAAAAACCTAACTTCCTTAGGTTTATCTAGTACAGATACATAAACTGTGGCTGATTCATACAGTATAATACTAGAAAACAAATAAATTAGATCAGTAGTTCTCAAACTTCAGGGTATATCGAAATCATCAGAAGGACTTGGTAAAGGACAGATGACTGGGTCCTACCCCTAGGGTTTCTGAGTTATTCAGTGGAAATTTGCATTTCTAACAAATTCTCAGATGTTGCTGATGCTGCTAGTCCAGGGACTACACTTTAAGAACCAGTAAACTAGTTACATGTTTCAACACACTTAAATCTTAAAAACCTAGTACAGTTTTAAAAAGTCATAAAAGGATACATAAACTGTATCTAAACACTATTAAACAACGCTATACAGTTTATGGATATATCTTTTATGATAAAAGTAAAAAATATAGGCTGGGCACTCTATGACTGGGCTCATGCCTGTAATTCCAGTGCTTTGGGAAGTCAAGGTGAGAGGATCCCTTGTGACCAGGAGTTTGAGGCCAGCCTGGGCAACATAGCAAGACCCTGTCTCTACAAAAAAACAGTTTTTAAAATTAGCCAGGCATGGTGGTGGTACCTGTAGTCCTAGCTACTTGGGCAGCTGCAGCAGGAGGATTGCTTGAGCCCGGGAGTTTGAGGCTGCAGTGAGCAATAGCACCACTGAACTCCTACCTGAGCAACAGAGTGAGACTCTGTCTGTTAAAAATAAAATAAAATTAAAGTACGAAATATACATGGGAATGTATTTCAGGGGAGTGATTACCTGGAGAGAGATGAGGGTGATAGAAGGATCTTAGCTGTTTTTGTTGTTGTTGTTTGTTTGTTTGAGACAGAGTTTCGCTATTGTTGCCCAGGCTGGAGCACAATGGCACAATCTTGGCTCACTGCAACCTCCACCTCCCAGGTTCAAGCAATTATCCTGCCTCAGCCTCCCGAGTAGCTGGGATTACAGGCAGGTGCCACCATGCCCAGCTAATTTTTGTATTTTTAGTAGAGACAGGGTTTCATCATTTTGGCCAGGCTGGTCTCGAACTCCTGACCTCAGGTGATCTACCTGCTTTGACCTCCCAAACTGCTGGGATTACAGGTGTGAGCCACCGCGCCCAGCCAGCTGTTTTTATATCACTTCATTTCTAAAGCAAGTTAGCAAAAGCATTTACATTTGTTTAATCACAGTGGTGAGTAGAAAGGTATGTATTTTATGTATGTTTGAAATGTTAAGGAACGTTTAAAGTTTAAATCATTTAGCATTCATCACACAGGGTTGCTGTGTAGAGTAAATGAGGTAATGTGAAAGTTCTGGGTAAAGATGGCAAGATGAAGTTGGATCACAGAATCTCTGTCCCTGTATATGTAACCAGAAAAATAATAATTAAAAAATTAAATTAAGAGATACCAGGCCAGGTGCAGTGGCTCACACCTATAATCCCAACATGTTGGGAGGCCAAGGAGGCAGGCTTACTTGAGCCCAGGAGTGTGAGACCAGCCTAGGCAACATGATGAAACTGCGTCTCTACAAAAAATGCAAAAATTAGCCAGGACTAGTGGTGTGTGCCTGTGGTCCCAGCTACTTGAGAGGCTGAGATGGGAGGATCGCCTGCGCCCAGGAGGTTGAGGCTGCAGTGAGCCCTGATCATGTCATTGCATTCCAGCCTGGGTGACAGATGGAGACCCTGACTAAAAAACAAAAAAAAGAAAAGAAACAAGCACCTCAACCTCTAAATGTTTTTCAGTCTTTTTCTTTATGTGAATCTTTTAGAAACTAAGATCACTTCTAATGAAGAACCATCTATTTAAAATTCAATGATTCTTTCAGTGTAGAGTTGCCAGATAAAATATAGGACATCCAGTTACATTTTAATTTTAGAAAAACAATGACTAATTTTTTAGTATAAATATGTCCAAAATATTGCATGGGGCATACTTTTTAAAAAGCGTAATTTTTGTTTATTTCTTTCTTTTGAGACAGGTTCTCACTCTGTCACTCAGGCTGCAGTGCAGTTGCGCGATCATGGCTCACTGCAGCCCCAACCTCCCAGGCTCAAGCAATCCTCCCATCTCAGCCTCCTGAGTAGCTGGGACTACAGGTGCATACCACCATACCCAGCTAGTTTTTTCATGTTTTGTAGGCCAGGGGTCCCTCTATCTTGCTCAGGCTGGCCTCAAACTCCTGGCCTTAACCAGTTCTCCTGCCTTGGCCTCCCAAAGTGCTAGAATTAAATGAATGAGGCACCATAGCAGGCCCAAAATGTTTAGTTTATTTTACTCGTATTTATTAAATCTGACAACTCTATCTCAGTGTCATTCAGGGATCTTTGTAAACATTAGCTATAGTACACAAGATGTAAAGTGCTTTCCTTTCACACAAATGAAAGATATAACAGGAAAATGTGGTTGTAATTGAAAAATTATAGGACTTTGAATTAAGACTTGGGTTCTAAGTTCTGGTTTCGACTTGACTTCTTAGTAAATGTATGGCTTTAGATAAGTCACTTAACCTAAGTATCAGGTTCCTCACACTGTATAAAATGTTTGGGTTTATTTGTTTGTTTTTGAGCATCAACTATATTCCAGGAACTTTACATGCATGATTTCAGTTAATCCTTACAATGACCTCATGAGGAAGGTCTTATTATCCCTATTGTCAAGACAGGTACCTGTGGCTTGGTTGAAGCTCTGTGAAAGCACGGACCATCTCTTTCTTGTTCACTGCTGTGTCCTTTGTGTCTAGCATGGTAAACCTAGGAGGTACTCAATACATATCAAATGTATGAAAGAAGACCCAAACTCACATAGCTAAATTAAGGGACAGAGCCATGATTTGAACCCAAATCATTTTGATTTCAAAATCTTCATTTTGTTCTTTTAATTAAATTTTTATTGATGTATACTTTACATATAGTAAAATGCACAATTTTAAACCCATGACTCTATAGACGTTTACCTGTGTACATATTCCATGTAACCACTATGGGATCAAGATATAGAACATTTCCATCTTCCTGAAAGTTCCTTCAAGCTCCTCCCCAGTCTATGCCCCCAGAGTTAACCTCTATTCTGACTTCTATCACCAAAGCTGCCGCTCTTAAGTACTAGGTTTCTCCTCTCCTGGGTTGTGTCAGATGATATGCAAAGTATTCCTGAAAGTGTTTTTGCAAACTCAGGCTGCATCTGAGTGCTGTTGGCGTTTAGAATAGGTCTTCATGGGCCGGGCGCGGTGGCTTACGCCTGTAATCCCAGCGCTCTGGGAGGCCAAGGCGGGTGGATCACATGGTCAGGAGTTCCAGACCAGCCTGGCCAATATGGTGAAACCCTGTCTCTACTAAAACTACAAAAATTAGCAGGGCGTGGGGCGGGCGCCTGTACTCCCAGCTACTCGGGAGGCTGAGGCAGGAGAATTGCTTGAAACGTGGAGGTTGCAGTGAGCACAGATTGTGCCACTGCACTCCAGCCTGGGCCATAGAGCGAGACTCGGTCTCAAAAAAAAAAAAAAAAAATAGAATAGGTCTTTAGGCCAGCCGCTCATCACCAATACAAAAGTGAGATTCAGCAGGGTGCAGTGGCTCACACCTGTAATCCCAACACTTTGGGAGGCCGAGAGGGAGGATGACTTGAGCCCAGGAGTTTGAGACCAGCCTGGGCAACATGGTGAAACCCTGTCTCTACAAAAATTACCCAAAAAAGCCCGGCATGGTAGCACATGCCTGTAGTCCCAGCTACTCAGGAGGCAGAGGTGGGAGGATCACTTAAGCCCAGAAGGTCAAGGCTTGATCGCCTTGACAGAGTGAGACTGTCTCTAAAAAAATTAATTTTTAAAAATCAAAATTTTGAGGCTATATTATGCCCTGCATTTGTCAAAATGGAAGGGTTTTACTCAAGATTGCCTTCTGATCCTACTTTCTGATTCTCTGCAGTAATCTTGTCCTTAAAAAAAAAAAAAAAAAAAACTACATGTTTTCTTTATCATAGACCCTCTGGTTCTCTCTCCTGGGATATTCCTGAGCCCATTGCTTAGACACTTTTTAATCACCACTTCATTACCCAAAACGTATCTGGCTTCATCCTATAAAGCAGTCTGAAATACTAAGAAAAATACCAGATTAAAATAAAACCAAATTGATATCTCAAAAAAATTCCTCCACTATTGACTATGGTATTGAATTTACTCTTTCTTCTTTTTTTTTCTTCATTCAACAGGTATTTGCTGAGCACCAAATGCTGCCCCCTCCAGTTTGCTGTTTGAGTGGAATTGCTCATTGCCCTGTCTTGGCTGTCCTGTAAACCACAAGGCCTACTCATATGTTCTAGGAAACACACATCGTTCTTTAGTACTGGCCACACTTTAAACTATACCTTTCTTCCCTTACAGTAAGGGGTAACCCACTGTACACCAAATTTTAACAGCCAGTGAGCTTAAAGATCTATCTGACAGAAATCAGATGGCCTCCACTGTAGCAGATTTTCAATTTATCTCCTGGTCAAACTTTGGTGCTCACCTCTGAAGGGTTACAGGCTTTTACACCAATCAGGTACCCCCTGATTTGGAAGGGAACCTCTTATCCCAGAAGACAGTATCACTCGTGGTTACAATAGCATTTTGGGCATCAGGCCGCACAGGTTCAGTGAGTCTGGCCATGCCACATAATCTCTGTGGGACAAGCAAATTAACTGGCCTCAATTGTCTCATTTGTAAAATAGGAATATAGTACACATATTACAGTGTGTCCAGAATTGGTGGGTTCTTGGTCTCACTGACTTCAAGAATGAAGCCGCAGACCCTCATGGTGAGTGTTACAGTTCTTAAAGACGTCGTGTCCGGAGTTTGTTCCTTCTGATGTTCGCATGTGTTCGGAGTTTTTTCCTTCTGGGGGGTTCGTGGGCTCGCTGGCTCAGGAGTGAAGCTACAGGCCTTCCAGGTGAGTGTTACAGCTCTTAAGGTGGCACGTCTGGAGTTATTTGTTTCTCCCAGTGGGTTCGTGGTTTCAATGACTTCAGGAGTGAACCTGCAGACCTTCCCAGTGAGTGTTGCAGCTCATAAAAGCAGTGTGGACCCAAAAAGCAGTAGCAAGATTGATAGCAAAGAGCAGAACAACACAACTCCCACAGTGTGGAAGGCAACCCGAGCGGGATGCCACTGCTGGTTCAGGCAGCCTGCTTTTATTCGCTTATCTGGCCCCACCCACATCCTGCTGATTGGTCCATTTTACAGAGAGCCGATTGGTCTGTTTTACAGACAGCTGATTGGTCCGTTTTGACAGGGTGCTGATTGGGGCGTTTACAATCCCTGAGCTGGACACAAAAGTTCTCCACGTCCCCACTAGATTAGCTGGATACAGAGTGTCCATTGGTGTATTTACAAACCCTGAGCTAGACAGAGTGCTGATTGGTGCATTTACAAACCTTGAGCTAGATACAGAGTGCCAATTGGTGCATTCACAATCCCTTAGCTAGACATAAAGATTCTCCAAGTCCCCACTAGATACAGAGTGTGGATTGGTGCATCCACAAACCCTGAGCTAGACACAGGGTGCTGATTGGTGTGTTCACAAACCTTGAGCTAGACACAGAGTGCTGATTGGTGCACCCACAATCCCTTAGCTAGACACGAAGGTTCTCCAAGTCCCCACTAGACTCAGGAGCCCAGCTGGCCTCACTCAGTGGATCTTCCACTGGGCCGCAGGTGGAGCTGCCCGCCAGTCCCGCACCGTGCACCGGCACTCCTCAGCCCTTGGGCGGTCGATGGGACCAGGCACCTTGGAGCAGGGGGCTGCGCTCGTCAGGAAGGCTCAGGCCGCGCAGGAGCCCGAGGGAGGAGGGTTGGTGGGGCGGAGAGACTCGGGCATGGCTGGCTGCAGGTCCCGAGCCCTGCCCCACGGGGAGGCAGCTAAGGCCCGGTGAGAAATCGAGTGCAGCGCCGGTGGGCCAGCACTGCTGGGGGATCCGGCGCACCCTCCACAGCTGCTGGCCTGGGTGCTAAGTCTCTCACGCCTGGGGCCAGCAGGGCGGGCCGGCCGCTCCGAGTGTGGGGCCCGCCAGGCCCACGCCCACCTGGAACTCTAGCTGGCCCGCAAGCGCCGCGCGCAGCCCCGGTTCCCGCCCGTGCCTCTCCCTCCACACCTCCCCGAAAGCGGAGGGAGCCGGCTCCGGCCTCGGCCAGCCCAGAGAAGGACTTCCATGGTGCAGCGGCGGGCTGAAGGGCTCTTCAAGCGCGGCCAGAATGGGCGCCGAGGCCGAGGAGGCACCGAGAGTGAGCAAGGGCTGTGAGGGCTGCCAGCACGCTGTCACCTCTCAATAGGGTTGTGAGGATTAAATGAGATGATATGTGTAAAGGATTCAGCACATGGTAGGCACACAATAGATGTTACCTATTATGTAAAGCAAACATCTAAATAAGAAGTCACCAAGTCCTGAGCACCTGCCTCCCTACAAGAATCTTTCTTCATAAAATTAACTTGCTCCTCTATCAAAAATACTCATCAAACACTATATATTATCGTTTGTTTATTGCTCATATTCCCTAATAGGCCATGAGCTCCCTAAGCACAAGGATTTTGTCTACCTTACTCTCTACTCTCCACAAAATCAAGTGCATAAAAAACACTCATTAAACACTTAATACACAAGTCACTGAATACATCTTTTGGCTAAAGTCCACTACCCACTTGAGGTACTGCCACTCACCTCTAAACCAACATTTTTCCCTAAGCTTGGTTATCTTAATCATCTAATTAATATGATTCTTCTTAAATTTTCATAGTATTAGGATCTATATTGGAGGGAAAGGAATAAGAATGAACATTTGTTGGGTATCCATTATTTGACAGACTTTATGTCTTCATTTCTAATTTCATACAGTCTTATAAAGTGGGAATTGGAATAACCCACTTTGCCTGTGAGTAAACTAAAGTTCTAGTTACAACCATTGAGAATCCCTATTTCTTTCCATCACAGCGTTTATCTCAGTTTGCAATTACACACTCAAGTGTGATTATTCGTCTAATGCTTTCACCAGACTGTAATCTCAAAGATAGCAGAAAAGGGTCTGCATTTGCTCATAACAGCGCCTAACAAGCAGGCATATAATAAGTATAGGGCTACATAGTAGGTATGTAATAAACATTCAGTGAATAAATGAGTGGAGTGAGCATAGGGGTAGATGTCAAAGAAATCTGGCTTCTTGTAGTGTTTAAATTCCGCAGGCACCATTTTTTCTTAGTAGGCAATATTCGCAAGGAGAAGAACTAGACCCCATGGAGTCTGAGGCGTTTCCAACACTAATAAAAGAGTACCTGATTAATATAGCTATGGCTGTGATTAATAGAGTGCATTTACTATTGTGTGAGCAAATCCCATTCCCTGTGACAAATGTATTCTATACATGAAATGAACAGTACAACATTTTACAGGCTTCACGGTCAACAGTTACATTCCGGGAAATTTTTGACGTTGAACGAATATTCCAAGAATAAATAACTCAAGAAGAACCTGTGACTATATCTCCAGAAACCTTTTGCCGCTTGTCAGTGAAACTAATAGAGTACAGAGCCTATTTAAATGTAAATTTAAATACAACATTTTCTCCACCTTTCTGCTCTCTTTGTTCCTTGTGGTCCGGAGGTTACAGGACTATATATATTCTCCAATACACACGTGTATAGGGATTTGGGGTTTTTGCTTTCAGTTTTATGCAAGACTAAATCAAGGTATTTGGGGATTTGAATGTTCTGTTCCCACAGTTAGGGAGGAGGGAATGTGCTCTGAAAACAGAAAAAAAGTACTCTGGGGCGGGGGCTGAGGCGACCACCGTGGGGCCCATCCTCAGCCTAGGACGCTGTTGCTAGGCAACTCCCTGCGTTCTCAACTCCCGCCCGAGAGCCACTTCCCGGGCCCTCATTGCCAAGGAGATCGACGCCCCAACTCAGCCCTGCCGTAAACACGCGCGGTCTTGCGACAGTGCCGCGCCTGCCGCTACGTGCGCGCCCTCTGCCCCCATCTCCACTCTCCGCCCGGCCGCCATTGCCTCGTGCCCGCGCCGGTCGGTTGGTGGCGCCTTTGTCCTACGGCGGGCAGGTGGGCCGACGCGGAGGCGGCAGCGGCGGGCCTGAGGCGAAGGAGCGGCCGGGAGCCCGCCGCGCTGGTAGCGGTGAGTGCCGGGAAGCGCTGGCCGTCAGCCGAGGCGTGGGGCTGACGGGCAGGCCGTTGTGGGGGGCCTGGCCGGACGGGGAGGCTGAGGCGGGAAGGCCCACTCGACGCGCGGCCACGGTCTCGGCTCCTCTCCGGGTGCGCGCGGTGCTGCGCATGCCCGGTGCGGGGCGCGGCCGCCTCCGGCTCCCGTCAGGCCCAGGCCCGGCCGGCCGAGGCGGCCTACGGTTCTCTGTGGTGGACGCAGGTCGGCGGCGTCGCATCGCAGCCGCCTGTCTGTGCACGAACGGTCGGTCACTAGGAGTCCTCAAGGCTTCTCTGGTTGAGCCGCACATCCCGCACCCCCTGTCGAAACGGTGGAGTCGCTCGCCCGCGGGTCCTCAGCGAGTCAGTGGCGCAGTCGGGATTCGAACCGGGCCCAAGGCGTCCCGTGGCACCGGGCGTTCTCCAGGCGTGCAGCGCCGAGCGGTGTACTGAGCGCTGTCCCCCGCCACCGTCTCGCGGCCCCTGACCGCATTCTCGGGGTGTCTCCTTGTGGTGTGACACCCCACGCGTTTTGTAGGCGCGGACCTCGGGCCCAGAGAACGGGGAGAGGAACTGTTCCCGGGTTTACCACGTAGCTCAGCGCCAGCGTCCGATCCGGCCGGCTTTCCAAGCTCCCGGCGCGGGGCACTGTCCGCTCCCCGCCAGCGGGCGAGGGGCTTCTCTTAGGACGGCGTTGCACACGTTTCAGTCTCGCGTTGCACCTTTATGTCCGTGGACCATCTGTACTGCTATTTACCAAATGTTACATTTTTTAAAAAATTCAAACTGACTCTTTTTTTCTCCTTAAATATATTTAAGGCGGCAACTTCAATCACAAACCGGGTACTGGAAAGCCAGTTATTTTTCTAATGCTTATAAAAAAAATAAATATCTGTCTGTTGAAATAAACAGTGCGTCCTTGTTCCTCCTGAAATTATTCTGCGTTCCACACTTTGGGAAACGCTGCCCGAGGAGTAGCTGATTAATTGTGGTTCTTCTGGCTTGCACTCTGTGCACAGAATTTTTCCTGAGGCAAAGCAGATTCTATGAATGCCCTGGGCTCTTCAGGGATAATGTAACAGCTTTCTTGTAAACTGTTCTCTTTGTTGACTTAAAAGTGTTAGTCCCAGGGAACTGCAAGAACTGTGTTCACTCAGGTGCACCCGGTGTGCCTGAATTTTCTTACAGCGTTGTGATGTCGTAGCCCCCTGTTGGCTCATAAAAAGATGTTTCTACAAATGCTGGGGAAGCTTTTGTGAGTTTTGACAACTCTTAATTTAATGTTTTCTCTATGAGTCAGTCTGGGTGTGAAAACTAACTTTGTGTCTACTTTTTGCAACCAGTAAAGCCCATGCTTTGCATTGTGGATATTAGAAATCACTTGGCTATTTGTTAACATCCATTTCTTCCTTTATTGTGATTTCTTTGCCTTTCTTTGAGCTCATCTGTCACTCTTCAGATTGCCTTTGAAACCTCTGACACTTCTCTTAACCTAAAACTTAGAAACACTGATTTTCCTTGTAGAATGTCCCAGCGAATCCATATTGCAAGGCTCATTGGAAGGAGTTTTTCTAGATTCAGTTTGCTCAATGTTGCATACCTGTGAACACCACAAGTTTAAAGGAGGCATTGACAGATTAACTTACTTGTAAGTTAATAGTGTGTTCATAAGATCTGTTTATGTGAATGTAAGAGCAGATTTAATTTAAATCATTGACAGGAAAGTCCCATAAGTCAGTTCAGGCTTATTCAAGTTTTCTTCCCCTCCCCTCAAAGGCTGTGTAAAAAAATATATATATATGTATATGTATATATATGTGTGTGTGTGTATGTATCTCTCCCCCTGTTAAAAACATGTTTCTTTGGGGTTACCTTGGTATGATCACAATGTAGAATTTACGTAAGGCTAAGGTCATTTTCTTCACATTTCTGAGAATTTGATTTAAGCCCGGCGTCCGTTTCAGAACTTCAGCAAATGGAAACTCATCTACCAGTGCTTGAGAGCTAAGAAAAAACAACTTGTTTGTTTTGGTTTTGTTTTTGTTTTTTCTGAGACAGAGCTTCACTCTTGTTGCCCAGGCTGGAGTGCAGTGGTGCGATCTTGGCCCCCGGGTTCAAGCAATTCTCCTGCCTCAGTCTCCTAAGTAGCTGGGATTACAGGCGTGCGCCACCACGCCCGGCTAATTTTGTATATTTTTAGTGGAGACGGGGTTTCTCCATGTTGGTCAGGCTAGTCTCGAACTCCCAACCTCAGGTGATCTGCCCGCCTCTGCCTCCGAAAGTGCTGGGATTACAGGCATGAGCCACCGCGTCCAACCAGAATAAACAATTTTTGGAAAGACTTTCGTAGTCTGATGAGAAAAGATTTATTGGTTTGAAACTTCATTTTAAATAATCATTGCAAGCAGTCCATGTTTATGACCTGCAGATGGCAGTGCCTTTGTGTAATGTTTTACTACTGTGAGGATTAATAAAATTTAGTTGTGCTTTTAAGAATGGAAAATCTTCACAAGAAATATATTAAACTTTTTCTTCCCTTCAGTTTAGGTTGTTCTCTTGTTTTTGACTCCCCACGTGAAGAATGAAACGTCTATTCCTGAAGTCACTGTTACTCTTAGTGTAGTAATGATAATAACATACAGCCAGTAGTGCATATGGTAAATACTAAATCATTGCTCCTGCCCGTCATCTTATGAGACTGATAAACTAGTTTGATCTTTTTTATTTATAGGGAAATGATGACTCAAAGAGGTTAGATTTCTTGCCCCAGATCACATAATTAGTAGAACATATTCAAGACATCATTGGAGATAATTGATTTCAGGGTCAAGCAAAATTGGGAAATGTTGAGATATAGTGGTGTCCTTACTCCAAAACTTCTCAGAGGCATTTATGTGCTAAATATGTGCAATGTCAATATCTGAGAGAGGAAGTTATCATGATGCCTTTCTCCTGCTATCCTCTCATGAATATTTTGAAGTAATAGTGTTCCTCAGAACTGACTACTCTTTCTACTACGCTGTATTTCCTCTCTGTACCTTGTGGTTTATTAATGATTACTGCATATCTTTAAGACAGCTGCTTTTAAAGCTCAATATCAGCTTTTTTGTGCAAAAATAGTTGTCCTGTGAATAGCACATATATTTGTTTAGACCATTCTGCTTAAGCAGAGTTAAACTGTCAAAAAGTTAAAAGAGCAATGACTAACAGAATTATCCTTTATGTTACTCTCATTAATGAGAGTCATTAATGACAGGATCAGGGTAAAGCCACTGTCTCAAGCAGCAGTACATTAGAGAAATATGAAGTATATTGACAGCTAAATATATAATACCAGCATGCATGCTGCTTTTTAAATGGTGGTTTTGTTACCACCAGATATGAATATTTATGGGAATGGTCATCTTCATTCTTTATCCTTTCACTTAAAAAAAGAGATAATAGGTCATCTGGACCAATTTTATGTTAAGGAAATAGTTCACCTCATAAGAATCAGAACTTTTCCAGACATCCTATGTAAAGACCAGACAACTTTAGGCAAGGATCAGGGCAGCTTAAGTTGCATTAGAAAACAGAGTGTCTTGTCTTATACCTTTAGCTCTGTAAAGTATCTTAAGGCTGGGTACAGTGGCTCACACCTGTAATCCCAGCGTTTGGGGAGGCTGAAGTGGGAAGATCCCTTTTGATAGAAGTTTGAGACCAACCTGGGCAACATGGTGAGATCCTGTCTCTACAAAAAAAATTAGCCAGGGTGGTGGTGCATGCACCTGTATTCCTAGCTACATGGGAGCCCTTTATTGAAAGTAAAATCATGACTTTTTCAATTTTTTTCTCCTTCAGTGTCAAACCAATGGTCTTTGAAGAATGTTACTAAAATGGGCAATATTTTGAATGTCTTACATTTAAATACTCCCTCACCGCATTTGGGGATAATATACATAAAGTTTCGTTAATTTGGCTTCATTGAGACTCTGTGGTAGTTCAGTTTATAGCCCCCAATAGACCCTCTAGCCACTAGATTCTTCCTTGTCCATAGCAAAGTGTTTTGCAATCTGGATCTAGTCCAACTCTTGCTTCATGTTATTCCTCTCTCTTTTATTCCTCCTATCCCCGTGTTCCCAACACCAAACTTCCTGTAGTTTTTCTAATTTATTATGTCCTTCACACCATTCCTTTACCTTTGTATGTTCTGGGATGACTTTTCTCTTTCTGGTAAACTCCCACTCATTCCTCAGGACCCAGTTTAAATGTTATTTTTAAGCCTTCCCTGCCTCCTCCCATCCCATTCACCCCCACCCCCTCCATACACACATTCTTCCTAGTCTCCTCTCTGCTCTGTTCCTTTCACCTGCCACACACATACACAAAATTAGGACTCCATTATCTCTGCCATAATCCCACTTTAGATTGTATTGTAATTATCTGTGTACTTGTGCCTCTCCTTTATTAAATAAACAGTGAACTCCAGGCCAGGCATGGTGACTCATGCCTATAATCCCAACACTTTGCGGGGCTGAGGTGGGAGGATCACTTGAGCCCAGAAGTTCAAGACCAGCCTGGGCAACATAGGGAGACAGTATCTCAAAAAAAAAAAAATTAGCTGCGTGTGGTGGTGCATGCGTCTTGTCCCAGCTACTCAGGAGGCTGAGGCAGGAAGACCGCTTGAGTTCAGGAGTTTGAGACTGCAGTGAGTTATGATCGAGCCACTGCACTCCAGCCTGGACAACAGAGCTGAGACCCTTTCTTTTTTAAAAATGAACTTCTTTAAGGCAAGGACTTTAGCTGTGTCATTTCCACATGTGTAAGGCCTGGGACATGTGTGACACATAGTAGGCATTTGACATTATGAATCAATGAAGCATTCAATGTATTAATTATAAGCTATCCTTTTCAAATTCATCACTTGTTCTCCACTTGTACAGTTTAGTTGAAAATTTGCCAGTTTTAAATCTGTATTTTAAAATTTTAAGCAGCTCAGACTCTTTTTTTGTAGTTTAGATTAGCTCAACCTTTGCAAATCCAAAATCATTTTTTCTCAGCTGATTTTTCTCCTTGAGTCAACATAGCTAACACAGGCAGAATATCCATTTTGTCAGAAAGGAAATATAGATTCAGAGAAATCAAATGACTGGAGTAAATTTCCCAAAGTAAGGACCACAGCTCAGATTTGCTATCCCCAGCCAAATGCCCTTTCCTTAAAAGAATAAGAAAGGTAGGAAATTAAATGTTGATAATTTTTGTCGGAAGAGTTGTGGTGAATGTTAATAGCAAACCCCAGAAACACTGTAGTTTGAGGTAATAGAAACTGAAGTCGTCATTGAATAAGTAGGTTCTACCCTGTTGGGTGTCTCTGGGTCATTTAAGCAATGGAGTGTCTAGCATAGACTGGACCTTTTCCAGGTTCCATCAGTATTTGATCAGGGAGTCCTAGCAAGAATATTCTAAATGGAAAGCATGTCTTTCCACTCCGTTGGAGGCAGCATAGCATAATGTTTAAGTACTTTGGTGTAAGAAAGACCTGGGTCTGAGTCTCAGCTCTGCCTCCTGATAATTGTGTGGCCTGTCACTTAATTTCTCTAAACTTCAAATTTTCTCATTTGCAAAGTAGAAATTATAGCAGTATTTAATTCCAAGAGTTGTAAAAGGATTGAATGAAATAATACACATAATGTTCTTAGTACACAGGCTCAGGAACAAAATAAGCATTCTGTAAGTATAAACTATTGTTTCCCCCATTTCTGTTCCCAGGAATAATATTCTAATACAGTTAAAGATGTAATAATTATTTTAGTTGGAGAATAAAGGAGATAATCAAATATATAGGGAAAGTATAGTATTCAAAGTGAACTTAAAGGGTTGATTTAGAAAGAGCAAGCATAACATTCTCTTATCCCTGACTTGTTACAATATAACTCATTACAATATCCCTGATGTTGCAATATATCATCAAAGTTGTCTTCATAAATATAGTTTAGCGAGAAGTCCTGTCATTTCCCCTCCCAATTTGGGGGATTTAATGTGTGATATTCTCTGTCTTGTCAGTATGGTTTTCCAACTGGCATTATCTTTATCAGCATGTAATGCCACTTTAGTAATTCTTGATTGTTAGTTGGTTTTCAACTAAGCCTTTTAGAGAGTTTTATGTCATTTGTAGTCAGTTATTAAAACAGTATAGGCTTCTGGGTTCTTTGAACAGCTAGTGGTGGTACTGTCACTAAGTGTTGTAGTTCATGTGGCTGTCAAAAGACAAAATTACAGCACACTTAGTTTAGAGATCTTAATTGTCTTTTATTTGCAACTCTAGAATAGGGCAACACCTCATTCTATAAAATAGAACAAGTGTTCCAATGAGCTGAGCAGAGGCGTTTGGCTTTATAAACAGAGAAGGGAGCTGAGGAAAGCAGAGACAAGGAGCAAAAAGCGGATTGGTCATTTCAGAGTTACTTTTCTTGTGAAGGGTAAAGCAGTGCAGACTTCCTTTTCATGCTGGCTAAAACTGGCCTATTTGTGGTTTTGGCCATTATTTATCTCCTGATTTCGCAGAACGTCAGGAAAAGATCTTTGTCTTGGCTTGATAGCGTGGAACTTCATCATGAATTTGGTTTGGTCTTTGGGCCTAGTTCAGGAGCTCAGTCCAAAGCAATGGCCTCCTGGAAATTTTCTTTGACACCGCTCTTGTTATTCCTAGTCCTCATTGTTTTCTGTGGCTGTAGCTTATGAACTATAAAATCTGGTTTTAAGGTGAAAAGAGTTGTTTTATGATTGTACAATTAAAAAATAAGTAGAACAAAGTAGTTTTTGGTACTGTGAGTGAAAGAAACATGCATTTTTATTTATAGCATTATCCAAGGACCATTTTGTGACCCCTGTCTGGCATATTAGTCTAAAATAAAATTGTGGATTAGATATTGTATATTTTGGGAGTTCTTCACCCCATCCTTTTGTAGTTTATAATGGTTCTGCCATTTCCAGCATGTTTTCTAGATTATTTTCCAGTTCTTTTCCTTGTATGTAAAGCTCTTTTTCTTGTCTAAAAATTCTTAACTGAGAAGTGCTTTTAACTGTTTTCAGACCACCACTTGGACACTATAGATATTCAGGCCAAGATAAAGCACTTCATGGTGATTATGATGATTTTGAATGGCATTCACATTGCTAGTATAATTAACAAAGTATAGAAGTATCACCCAAACTGAAGTGGAGAAGACACTGAGAGATGACTTTTGGTCTTAAGGGCAGTTGGCCAGAATAAAGTATAGCAGAAGGGGAAAGAAGTACCGTTTCTTCCCTTTTCTATTCAGAGGAGACATTAGACCTCTCCTTGGAAGAGATTCCCAAGTTGCCACTTCCCTCTTGTTGATTAATTTTTCTCCAACCAGAGTTCCCCATCTGATGTCCAGAAAGATCTCCAAATTGTCTTTCTACCTTTTTTTCCCTTCTTTACATTAACACCATTTCTATTTGCTTGGTGTTGATTATATCTCTCTATAAGGATTTAGGAGAAAATAATCTGATTATTTAATACAAAATAAAACTATAGATTAGATACTGTGTCTTTCTTTGGGAATTCTTCACCCCATTCTTTTGTGGTTTAAAACAGTTCTGTCATTTCCTACATGTTTTCTGGATTATTTTCTGGTTTCTTCCTTTTATGTAAAGCCGTGAGTTGGTGCTTTAGCATTCTCAATATTTGCATTTTCAAAGAAAATCTTTTTTAAATGAACCCTCTGCTTCCAACTGACAGGTTTTCAAATTCTGTGACAAAAAAAATAGGATGAGGGAAGTTTTTTCTTGACTTCTTGAATCTTTGCTCTCCGTGATTAGTTCCTTAAAGTTATTTATTCTTCTGTATTTCTGAACTCATGGATTTCCCAAAAGTTCTATGTGCACATGTGTTAGGATTTTTTGGGTGTATGGGGATTGGCAGTAATGTTGGTGGTTGTGTTTTTACAACTCTCACTGAAAACTCCCCAGCCCTACCCTAATCTGAGCAATTCTATTAGATAGGAAAAAAAAAAAAATCCAGGTCTCATTTTCTCCATACGTCAGCCCAGATGGAAATTTAAGGAACTCTTAAATAGAGATGAATAAACAGATACTTGACATACTACACTAAAAGTTTACTAAACCCTAAAATGAGACAATTATCTGAGAATTCTTGTTTTTGCAGAAGAAACATCCCATGCTGTCAAATATAAATACTTTGGACTACCCAATGAAAATAGATACTACGAGGCAAATTACAATCAAAATGGTTTAAAGATATAATCTTGAATATTCTTTAATCTTTTAAGTAATTACAAAACGATTCCACCAGCTTCAAAGTAAAATATTTATGTCCTTCATTCTAACTAGAACTGGTTTTGTTCCAAAGATATAGTATACATGACCATGTGATTTCTCCAGTTCTGTATGTAGATGCTCACGAAACTGGCTATAATTATACAGTGTAATATTCCTTTTCATATGTAGAGAGCAAATTATTGGTAATAGAAACCTACCAATTAAAGTAATACTATATGTGTTGTACTCTTAACCTGAATGTTTGCCAGGTCTAGTCAGTGTTTAGATGTGAGTTTCCTTTATTCACAAGACCATTTAATAATATATGAACTCCTGCTGAAGTTATGTTATGTATATTTTTTATCTTAATACACACCCAGTGTATTCCAGAGACACCTTGAAAACTACTTAAAATACTCAAAGATATTATATTTCTCTCTGAATCATAGCCAACCTATATAATTAGAAAGTGGTACACAGTAAGTGAACAGACTCAGTAAGTCATAAACCTGAACTAGTATTCTTCACAATTACGTATAATAGAACTAGATATTCCCTATAAGGCCTGTCATTATATAATTTGTAATTTAGACCATTATAAACTTTAAGAGTTGTAAATTGTGAAAGTACTGCATGCAGTAGCAAAGCTATGGTCAGATATTACTGGCCAAGTCTTACATAGAAAATATTTTCAGGTTTTTTTTAAAATAGAAGGATTATATCTTGTGTCTGCTTAATTGAAAAGGTAAGAATCAATTTAAGATATACTTCACTATTTAGCTTTATATTATTTTCAGTTTTGTCAGAAGCCATTTTTCTAGACAAATTAGAGACTTCTGATTTAAAATGGAATTGAAGATTACCTTCATTTGATCAGGAACTCAAAAGTTGGCAAAATAGCAGCATAAAATCTCTACCAGACCTCTAAGTTTCTTGTTATTGCTGTGGTCTTTCATGTGATAGGAATCTGGTTGGGATTTTTAAAATACATAATTATTATTTTAAAGCACTCGAATTATGTGAGTACTTAATACCATTTGATGTCATTAGATACACTATTAATTGTTTAATACGGAAAAAGGGGAACAAACTCTACTGCAGCAGAAAGCACTTTTATTTCTTCATTCATCTGAAGTATGAAATTTGTAATGTATTTATTTAGCTTTAAGTCATATGAAAACTGTCAGGTATTATTTTGGGGCATAGATTTCTTAGTACATGGTATTTATTATTCACTTCAATTTTTGTAAAGCAGGTATTCTTGGTTTTTAGCAAAGCAGGCTTTAGCTATACAAATTTGCTTTTCTTTAAGCTTATGTGATTCTACTTTTCTCCCATATCTAGTTCTATACGCCAGCCTTCTCTAATGAAAACAACTTAGGAGGAGTGTTTTATTACCTAACCCTACTATACCAAACGCCAGTCCTTATTCTTGGTTATCTGTAGATGTTAACAGGTCATATTCTTTGTTTATTAAAAATAATAATAATAATTTTCTTTCCTGCATGTTATTCTGGAAGATTCTATCCAGTGGAATTCAACACAAGACACACTAACAGGAGGCCCTGCTTCATGGGATATTGGAAGTTTTAAGACAATGAAATCCAGCTATTACTTCTTAGTAACATAAAATAGAATTATTTGCCTTTGCTCTTTTGTTTTTTAAACTCTCCTTATCTTCCCCCCCACTTTCTTCCTCACAAAAAGAATCTTACAGCTGCTTTCTAAGAGTTTAGAAAACAACCTTTTCCTCCCCTTGGAGGGAATGTGTCAGGTCTAGGTCTTGGCAGCGTGTTAA
Source organism: Homo sapiens (assembly GCF_000001405.40). Lineage (NCBI taxonomy): Eukaryota > Metazoa > Chordata > Mammalia > Primates > Hominidae > Homo > Homo sapiens. Next base: position 46,079,712 of record NC_000020.11, on the reverse strand, counting down.
AGCATTGACGTAATTAGTTTAAGACAAATTACGTGTTAACTAGAAAACGAAGGGACATTTCTTACCAAGCCGTGACAATGTACTACCTTAACTCAATAATAAAAATTGCCCAAGTGACAGTGTGTCTCTGCTGAATGGCTTTTCTTACACCATCTGGTTGTCATTGTAGTTTTTGTTGTTGTTGCTTTCATTTGAAATGTGCTGATGATCTTGTTTTTATTCCGTAGCATTGAACAGATGGGTTGATTATTCTTTTCAGATATTAATAAGGCAGCGGAAAGAAGAAATATGAATACGGCTCCATCAAGACCCAGCCCCACACGAAGGTAAAGTACCCTGAAGCCGTGAGTTACCTTGGGAGAGTTGGGCTCTGGGGAGTTAAGCCCAGCTTCGTACACCAAAGGTCTTTTCTTCCCCCCAACAAGTGAAACGCTCAAGCAAACAATAAGAACATGAACCCTGTGTGAAGGGCCTTGCTGCTTTTTTTAAACATACATCAGGAGATACAGAGGAAGCTTTGTGTTTTCGGTGGCAAATCCAGCAAGTTCAGCTTGCAACATGAGTTGCAGGCAATTGGAAGAGGATAAACCTCTGTCTGTCCCCAGCTCACGTGTCATTGGGAGCCTCCAGAGCAGAAGGAGTGCCCCAGAGTCATTGGTGTATGCCATGCTGCACTGCAGTGGGCAGCAGAGATTCGACTCTTCATTCCAAATGGCTGCCGGTCCAGATGTTAACCCAGGTTTACGGAAAGTGCTGCTTGAGAGATTGCCGCTGTGCCTGTGCTGCAGATCCCCTGTTTGCTTACATACTTGGGTTATCTGTTTGAGGGGAAATAAAAAGGGCAAAACACTCCAGCTCTCGAAGGTCTCCCTTTTTCTTAGCTTTCACGGAAATCGAGGGTGTTTTCCCAATGTATTCTTCCTTCCGGTGTATACAAAAGAGATAATCCTGGTGTGTACCCTCAAGATACACATTAAATTGGTCCCTCCTCTCAAAGAAGAGCTTTATTAATGATACCATTTACACCAAAAATAAAGATACTGTATTCAATTGTTCTGGCCCCATAACAGCACACAAGTGGATGCAGTTTTGTGTAGAGGGCAGACAGATATGATATATTTCATACGAATGATATATTTCATATCTGGTGTCTCTTCAAGGCCCAAATGGATTAATTGATTTTGCCTTGCCTCTAAGTAAAAAAGCCAGTTTTCCCCAGAAACATAACTAAACTACGTACCACAGTAAACTGCATTTCCTACAGTGAACTGGACAGTGCTGCATACAGTGAATCCTCGTCTGTACTGGTAGCTCCACTGGTCACCTTGTGAACCCAACTAACTGAGCATTACGCATAACATACAGCTGTCCTGCTTTTGGACAAAAACACCTGTATTTTGTTACCTGCTTATATGAAAGAATGTCCACTGTGTGTTTCATGTATATACTCCTACTTGGATGTGAAGTTCTAGCTACCGGGAATAGATTACGCATGCCCACTCTGCAGTTTAAGCAGACCCTAAGGGCAAGTAATGCTGCTGGTTTCATTCAGTTGGAGTCTTTGTCCACTCTGCCTGTGCAGCAGAGTTGAATCCAATACCATAGCTACAGCTATATACCACAGCTGTCGTGTGGATTCCCTGGCCATTCGTTGGTTTCACTGCGGAAGTGGGCATGTAAATTGGTATTCTGTCTGTTCTCTCTAAAGAATGCTTGCAGCTTGCAGGTAAATACTCTGTTGGTTGATTTGTGTGTATGTGTGAGTATCCTGAAGAACATAAACAAATCCTGCAGAACTTCAGCAGTTCCGTATAATGTCTGCTTTCATTAGCCTTCATCTAACCATGCCACAGATCTTGGGCAGTCCTATCTGTGTTGCTCCTTATTGTCCCAGCACAGAATGGAATACAGGTGGATAAGAGTTGCATCTAATCTTCAGAAGTACAGGGTTCCCATTGGAATCTTTAGTTGCCAGGTGGCTTGAAAGGAGATAAGGTGTGTATCCAATTTCCAAAGAGCGCTAACGTGTGTGTTTCCTGGTGACTTACCAGGAGTGTGGAATTTGTAACTATAAAAGACACTGACTCCGCTAGTAAAATCCTACCCCTCTCTGTTGTCTCCATGATACTTGGTGATCTCTGGATAATGTCTGTGTGTTTCTGCAGGCAAAAACAACAACAACAAATAAGCCACATTGCAGAATAGAGAATAGATCCTGTTTCTGTTATGGATTGAGAAGGGTATTTTATATCATCCTGTTAATGATACTTAACCAAATGCTTTTAACATTTCTAGTTGATTGTAGATATTCAACAAACATTGCAGTGTTGGGGAATGACCAACTTCCCTGGTTGAAACCCAGTAATAGCCGTTGCCAGAGCATTAAATTAAAAATATTAATTTACCCCAATCTAGAAATAGTTTTATGCTTTTTTTAAATAATAGTCCCCGCACAAACAAACATACAGACAGCACTGGAGAGGGCCTTATAAAATGAGCTTCTAGCCAGGCACAGTGGCCCACACCTGTGATCCCAGCACTTTGGGAGGACGAGGTGGGCGGATCACTTGAGCTCAGGAGTTTGAGACCGGCCTGGGCAACATGGCAAAACCCCATCTCTACAAAAAAATAGCCGGGCGTCATGGCTCTTGCCTGTACTCCCAGCTACTGGGGAGGCATTGAAGCGGGAGAATCACTTGAGTGCAGGGGGTTGAGGCTGCAGTGAGCCGTGATCACACCACTGCACTTCAGCCTGGGCAACAGAGTGAGTCCCTGTCTCAAAAAATAAAATGAGCTCCTTACCAACTATATAAATATACAGGTCACCTTTGTATGCCTTTTAAAATATCACCTTCCTCAGAAATCAATTGTAAAATGAGGTCATTTGGTGGTGTGGATAGGGCAGTGACTTCCTGCTTTATTTACAATCAACAGGAGGGACAGCTAGGCTAATTCAAATTCCATTAACAATCCATCTTCCCCTTGGTGATATTTCCCTAGCTGGGTTCCTCAGCATGTTATTTAACATGATGAAGTTCCATACAGTCATGTTTATTTGCTTCAGGGAAGAATGATGGTCACCATTAGTAACCCCATCTAAAAACCGAACTAAGAGTCCCAGTTTTTTACCTTAAAAAAAAAAAAAGACAAATTTAACATTGTATTCAAAATCCCAGTTTTTTACCTTAAAAAAAAAGACAGGTTTAACATTGTATTCAAAATAGCGAGCACTAACATTTTAATCATTGTCCTGATCATACTTTATCTCTTAAGATATACCAATAGGGCAGACATAAATTGCAAAGAGTAGGTGAGACGGGCAAGTAATTAATCTGGAAGGGGCAAATCATTTAACTGAGGGTGAACACTGGGTACCTCCTTTGGGTGCATGCTTCCAGTCAAAGCCTTGAGATAACTCCAAATGTATCAATAGTTGACAACAACAAACTGCCTTTATTTGGCAGCCCTAATCATTTTGTATGCCCCCAGCCACAGGGGGTGCATCATTCACAGGGGAAAAAAAACACTACCTATGGCAAATATTTCCTAAAGTTATACCTCTACATTTTTAGCGCTTTCTACGTTTAATAAGAATATTGGTATAAGCATACTGGCAAGACCTTTATAACACCTTGTTTTGCTGGACTTAACGTAGGTATCTTTGGGAGTTTTACAGGATTATCACCTCTTCAGATGTTTCAGTAAACCACAGTTCTGCTGGCTTTGCTCTCTATTCAATAATATGACTCCCTGATGACTCCAGCTGTCAGTGTGTAATTCTGACAATATTGGCCCAGCCAAGCACAGAACTCTGCATGAGGAATCTCTGCTCTGGATCACATTTCAGCCTGAATTCTTATCATCTAACTCTTGAGGGCCACTTCATTGAACTCCTGTGAGTACCTTGCATAGTTACCATGCAAGTTGTCAAGCATCGATACTAAGCATTAGTCCTTCTTCAAAGACAGGATCATGATTCCAGTTGTGCCTTAGATATCTCAGTTACCATCTTCAGCTCAACACCTTGACAGTCCAGATCTTGTAGCATATCTTTATGCAGATGTGGCCTCTAGGTACAAGAAGTAAGACTGTACTTCTGAATGACTTAAAGAAGAACAAATAGAATTAACTTGTCTGCATCCAACGCTCTGCAGAGGATTTTTCCCCATATATTTGTGAAAGATGTTAAACCTGGTATCTCTTTGGTGAAAGTCATTGGGTATCGGCTCATCAGAAATAACCTGGCTGTAGACAAGTTTCTTATATGACCTGAAATGCTTTCTGCTTATCCACAGGGCCCTAATGCTTTTGATTATTGCTTGCTCCCTGGTTGTGAGACAGCCCTTGCTCTAGGTGGGCCACAAAGAAATTCCAGGTTGTGATTACCTCTGCAGTAACACTTGAAGAAGTCATCAGTTCTCAGCAGCTGCCACCTCTACCAATAAGAAAGTTCTGTTTGTGCTGGAGAAGGTTGTCAGTGCTTCCTAAGGAAAAGCATGGACATGTGTAAAATTTGGGTCTGTGAGGTGTGATATCTCATTGCACGTCCATATCCTACCTCCACCTAATGGCAATATTCTGGACAAGTCTGTTGTCTCCATTTCTAACAGTAGCATGAAGCCCTCCTGGTGGAGGATCAACATCATACAGCAGCCAGCCATTTAGATGATGATATTTGTGGACAGTATATCTGTGACAGAAGTTTGAAGAGCTAATGAAGGATTTTTCAGGGTCAGAAAGAGGCTGGCCCTCCCAAGGAAGACATTCCGGTGAACAGAAAGGAAGAAAGGAGATGCTGACCTTTGCAGAAAAGAAAGAAAAAGACAGGGGTCTTCCTCCCTGACCGTCTGTAGAACCAAAGCCAAAGAAAACCATCTTGGATGTGAAGTTTCAGTCTCTTGCCAAAGAGAAATTCAAAGTCCATCACAGTTTTCCAAGATGATCATCTATCAGTTCTTACTCTGTAGGCTGTCACATGCCTGGTGCTCTGCACACCCCTTTAGTCCTCAGGAAGAGACACATTCTACCAGAAGCTCATCACTTGCCACCAGAGCCATTGTTTTCCCCTTCACCCCTTTCGCCCTTACGTCTCAAATGTTTCCCAGCAGTGTGACTATATTCCCCTCAAGGCAAAGAGTATTTGCCTTTTTCCCCCTCCTGAATAGATGAGGAATTTACAGCAGAATTTTAGTTGTGTTTGCCACCTGCCTTCAGTTTGTGGACTCCAGTGCTGAAATTTAACCACTGTTCAGTTTCTTTTTATCCTCTAGTGATGTAGTACCTGAGGGTATGCTGCATTTGGTTCCTTTAGTAAAACACCTCTGGTGCTGTGGGATGATATTGTTAACCTTATTATGCTCCAGAAACCTGATTCTAACCCACTTATCATCTGAGGTCCAGCGTCTCCCACAGGAAGCTTTGTCTTCTTGCACTTTGATTCGTGCATACTACTGCCCTTTTGTTAGCTGTAGTCTTGTTTTGAAAAATATGTTGGGGCCAGCAGCAGGAGCCCTTTTGTTCTGAGGAGTTCTTTGTTTGGGTCCTAAAGCAACCCTAAAGGGTTTTTTGTTTTGTTTTCGTCTCCAGAAGAACAGCAGTCTACCATAGTGTTTATCTTTTGGAGAAAGGAAAAAAGGCTTTGCCTTTCCTTTTGAGAAAATTATTATCTTCTTTGTCCCTACTTCCACCATGCCTTTGGTTCTTTTTCCTTTTGTGAATATCACCTCTTCTACATTTTTACCCTGAAGGCACTTGAGAGGGAATTAGTAGTTTTGTTGCACATGGACTTCAAATTATTTGAGGGAAAGGGTGGGGCTTGCCCTCTCAGACTGGAAGATTGAACCCAGACTTTGCGAATCTAGAGTTTTAGTCAACTTGCAGGGATGGACTTTGACAGGTAAGTAAGGTTTTTCAGTGGATTCAAAAGAATGAGGACCAATCATAACATAACACTTATAATACTCCGAAGGTGGTAAATAACATGCTATGACATGCCCCACCCCGATTTCCACCAGCCCAAGGCTTTGTGTGTGGTCTGTGGTCTGTCAGGATCATGATATCTCAGCCCTGATTGCCAAGAACACTTGAAATTGGATTCCACCTCTAATGACTACTTCTAACTGCTCCCCAAGGCAGGTTTATCTGCCGATCATTAATCCAAAAATACTTTGCAGTTGTCCTTTCTCTTTGGATCTTGAGTGTTTGCCCACATTACATGCTACATCAGATGTTACATGTTAGGAAGATTATATGATGTAATAAGGAAGGTTGAAGTAAGAATCTTGGTTAGTCTTTACTTTATTCTAATAAGAAAAATAATGCTTAGCTATTCTCATTTAAAGTCCCTGGTCTATGATATGTTTGCTCTCACAAGTCAGGAATGCTGGTGAACCTTAGAATATATAACAAATATTTTTCATGGAAGCAAAATTGGCATTTAAATTGTTTTTGCTGTGCCCGTGTAGCTGAGGTGAGGTTTTCCACAAGCTGATGACATCATGATGAATACCTAACGTGTGTAACCATGGTAGACGACAAAAGTATGAGCAAAACATGCTGCCTGCTCTTGAGAGGCTTACAGTTTAGTAGAATAATTCAATTCATTAAACATTTACTGAACTCCTATGGTGTATCCTAGAGCTACAAAGCCTTCAAGAGAACTTCTTATTTGGTAGGGAAGCCACGTAAACAATTACAGAACAGTGTGGTAAGTGCGGTTATAGAAGTTTGTACTGGAGCAAGATTCATTCAACATACATATAGAGCATCTGTCGTATAACAGACATTGTTCTACATAGTGGGTTTGTAGTGCAGAATCAAAGTGACATAGTTCTTGTCCTTGTGGCACTTGTAGTCTAGTAGGGCAGACAGACATTAAGTAAATATGTAATGTCAATTTGTGATAAATGACAAAAGTGAAAACAGTGCTATGAGAGAATTTTAGGGGCAGAAAGTAAACTTTGATTGAATCTAACAATCAGGGAGTAGGGGATATTTATATGCTGAGACCTGGAAGAGGAGTATAGATCTCTTCCTGCTACTCACGTAAAGGGATCAGGAAAGACGTTGGCTAGGCAGAGCTGAAAGGCCGGTGTGGCAAAGAGTGGTGAACTAGGGAGAGGGTGTGACAGGGTTAGAGAAGACAGGAGCCAAGATTATACAGGACCTTCATGGCATTGGTAGAGGTTGTAGATTGAATTCTAAATACTGTGGGAGCCTGGCACAGTGGCACACATCTGTAGTTCCAGCTACTTGGTAGGCTGAGGCAGGAGGATCACTTGAGCCCAGGAGTTCAAGGCTGTAGTGTTCCGTGATCCCACCTGTGAATAGCCACTGCACTCCAGCCTGGGCAGCATAGGTGAGATCTCATCCCTATAAAAATAAATACATACTGTGGGAAACCAGGGAAGGGCTTTACATACGTAACAGATCACTGTAGAGTGATCTTTCTGGAGAAAGATTTGGAAAGAGGCAAAAACAGAAATGAGGAGACTGCTTTAGAAGGCTCTTGCTGTGGTTTGAGGGTGAGATGATTATGCGCTGGCCTTCAGTTTTGCCAAAGAAGGTAAAGGAAAGTGGGCAGAACTGAGAAAGAATGGAGAAAATTTGGAAATGTGGTTGGAAGGGAGGATGAGGCTTTAAGGGAAAGATGACATCCAGTTTCGTGGCTTGAGTAACTGAGTAGTTGGATGTGCCATTTACTGAGATGGGAAGGACTGGAGGAGGAGCATGGTTGTTGGGGAAGATCAAGAGTTCAGGGCAGGTTTTACGGAGAAGGTAATCCTTAAAGCGGGTCAGACATAAGACATTGTTGTAAAAGGGTAAATGCCAGATCAAGATGAGTAATACAGATAGAAAGTGCCCTGAGCTGAGCAGAAGAGATCAGCAGTTAGGAAGGGTAGGGAAGGTTTCTTGGAAGACATGGGACACGAACTTGCCTGTGTGGATTGGATGGTACTTGGATTAGTGCAGGAAAAATATTCCAAGTATAGAAATCAAATAAATAAAACTATTGAGATAGATTATATCTTGTGAGTTATAAGAATTAAGTAGAACTGAGGAGGTTGAATTAGAAATGAGAGGGAGATAATAGCTGTCAGATTTATTAGGCTTTCTAACATAGAAGTTGGCATTTTAGGATAGTTAGTGTATTTATGTGTTGAATGAATTGAAAGCAAGTAGGTTGATTTTTAATTTTGTGTTTTGGAAACCTGTTGGTGTCAGAATAGAAATAAGGGCTTGGATTGGACTTACAAATCCAATGGGAATGGAAAGAAAAAGTGAACGGGACACAAGTGACTTTATTGGGATGGGGGAAGAAAAAGCATAGTTAATATTCAAGAACTTAAAACTTGATAAGTGGAAAGATGATTTTGTCAAAAGTGGAAAAGTGGGGAATGGGACTGATGGGGTTGGGGTAAGAAGTTTTTAATTTTAAATATGTTGAAGAGGAGTTTCCAGTGGGTTGAAACGTCTCATGAAGAACATTGAGTCAGAGCAGACAAAGCATATCTGTGACTTCACTGTTCAGGTTGTTTTTTTGTTTTGTTTTGTTCTCTTTTTTTTTTTTTTAAACCATCTTGAGCAAAATGGAATCAGCTTCTACGTAAACCCTCAGATTGAGAGATACCAATACTCAATAGCCCTGACAAAACAGAGAAACAGATTGTTCTTGGTCCTTTACTGTATGTATCTTATAGTAATTTTTTCCCCTTAATTTTATTATCCTGCCAAGATACTTCAAGTGCATTTTCCGTACTTTAAGGACAGTTCCTTTGATCACTTTTATAAGATTGTGCCATTCGCTCTTTTTTTCTTCATGAGTCTTGCCTCCTTACTCTGTCACTCCAACTTTTTACCCCTTGTAAAGTCTCTTTCAAGCAAGTCTGGTGGAAAGACACTTTCACTTTGAAAGCCTGATGAATACTGTTATCCAGTCAAAACCTTCAGTTTTTGGTCATGCATTCTTTTGATGTCCTAATCTTTTGAGATTGTGGAACCTCTAGACTATTTGCTGACCAGATGGATGACTGGCCTTAAATGTTGAGTCATGTTCTGTTTGGCTGCCCTGTTTTAGAGAAGAATGCTTGGAGGGTGGGGGTTTTCTCATATGAAGAGCTGATGGGTTGGCTACTTTCAATTTCTTTGTCTTAGCATTTTCTTGCTACCTCCCACAGGGATCCATATGGCTTTGGAGACAGTCGAGATTCAAGGCGTGATCGATCCCCAATTCGAGGAAGTCCAAGGAGAGAGCCCAGGGATGGCAGAAATGGCCGGGATGCCCGGGACAGCAGAGACATTCGAGACCCCCGAGACTTGCGGGACCACAGACATAGTAGAGATTTGCGGGATCACAGAGACAGCAGGAGTGTGCGCGACGTTCGGGACGTGAGGGATCTTAGAGACTTTCGTGATCTAAGAGACTCTAGGGATTTTCGAGATCAGCGAGACCCCATGTACGACAGATACAGAGACATGAGAGACTCCCGAGATCCTATGTACAGGTACATACGTAGTTACTCTGCTTGTTTTTTCCTGAGTTCTTTTTATGTATGTTCTGCTAAACTAATTGAAAGCTCTGTAAGAGCAGTCATTTTATCAGCCTTTTATTTCTGGTGACTGTCAAGTGATAGATGTGCTGCTGCTCAATAAATTTTGCTGAATGTATGAATGATTTTCAACATTTTTAACAGAAAATAACAGTGTTGGAAAGGTATGGAGAAATTGAAACTCTGAGAAATTGTAGGTAGGAATGCAAATTGGTATAGCCACTATGGAAAACAGTTTGGCAGTTCCTTAAAAAGTTAAACATAGAATTACCATATGATCTATCAGTTCCGCTCCTGAGTATACACTCAAAACAATTGAAAAGAGGGACTCAGTTGTACATGAATATGCATAGCAGTACTATTCACAATAACCAAAAGGTAAAAACACTCCAGATGTCTATCAGCAGATTAATGGATTTTTTTTTTTTTTCTTTGAGACAAGGTGTCATTCTGTTTCCCAGGCTGGAGTGCAGTGGCATGATCACAGCTCACTGCAGCCTTGACCTCCCAGGCTTAAGTACTTCTCCCACCTCAGCCTCTCAAGTAACTGGGACTACAGGCATATGCCGCCACACCTGGCTAATTTTTTTGTATAGACGTGGAGTCTCACTGTGTTGCCCAGGCTGGTCTTGAACTCCTGAGCTCAAGGTATCCTCCCGCCTTGGCTTCCCAAAGTGCTGAGATTACAGGTGTAAGCCACTGTGTGGATTTGTTTTTAAGTGGTGTATTCATATAATGTGGTATCATTCAGCCATAAAATGAAATGAAATTCTGATCTGTGGTACAGCATGAAGGACGTTGAAAACATTATGCTAAGTGAAATAAGCCAGACATAAGACAAATATTGTATGATTTCACTTTATGTGAAATATCAAGAATACGCAAATTTATAGAGACAGAAAATAGATTAAAGATTACCAGTGGCTGGGGAGAGGGGAGTTATTTCACGAATACAGAATTTATGTTTGAGGTGATGAAAAATTTTAGATAATGGTGATGGTTGCACAGCATTGTGAATATAATGCCACTGAATTGTATACTTAAAAATTGTTAGGCCAGGCGCAGTGGCTCACGCCTGTAATCCCAGCACTTTGGGAGGCCGAGGTGGGCGGATTGGATTGCCTGAGCTCAAGAGTTCAAGACCAACCTAGGCAACATGGCAAAACTCCATCTCTACTAAAAAAAAAATAATAATAATAATAAAAATTGTTAAAATGGCAAATTATTGTTATATGCGTTTAGATATAATTTTAAAAAGCACAAGGGAGGGACATGTAATGTTTCCTCAAAACTAGTATCAATAATTCCTGCCAGTTATTTTGCATTTAATATATGCCAAAGACCATGCTAAGTGCTTTCTGTACATCATCTCAGTGAGACAGGTTAACTCTATCACAGCCACAGAGCTGATAATGCAGTGAGTCCCAGATATAAACCTCATTTGTCTAATCCCAGAGAATTCTCTAGGTGACTTTTTCAGGATAAGACACAGTTTTATCTTTATGAAAATTTCCTTAACTTTTCAGGAGAGAAGGCTCTTATGACCGATACCTACGAATGGATGACTATTGCAGGAGAAAGGATGACTCTTATTTTGACCGTTACAGAGATAGCTTTGATGGACGGGGCCCTCCAGGCCCAGAAAGTCAGTCTCGTGCAAAAGGTAAAGTAGCTGAAACAGTCTATTCCTATTATTGATAGAACACTTTACAAAAGAGAGAGGAAACTAATAACCAGTACCCCCATCTGAAAAAGGGCTAGTGCCTTGGCCAAGCAGTGTATAAAAAGAAGAAATATAAGTAGCTTATTAGTGGGTAAAGAGCATTTGGCTTGAAAATGATTTTTAAGATGCAAATTAGTACCATCATCTGGTTTAGTCATCCAACAAGAAGAAATAAATATGAAATTCCAGCAATAAGAAATGAACAAAATGCTGGTCACTGTGGCCACCACCTGTAATCCTAGCACTTTGGAAGGCCAAGGCCGGCAGATCACTTGAGCCCAGGAGTTCAAGACCAGCTTAAGCAACATGATAAAACCCCATCTCTACAAAAAAAAATACAAAAATTGTCTTGGTGCAGTGGTGCACACCTGTAGTCCCAGCTACTCGGGGGGCTGAGGCAGGAGGATCGCTGGAGCCTAGGATGTTGAGGTCTCAGCAAGCCATGATTGTGCCACTGCACTCCAGCCTGGGTGACAGAGTGAGACCCTGTCTCAAAAAAAAAAAAGAGAAAAATGAACAAAAGATTGGAGCTGAAGACATTAAGTGCTTGTTTTTTGCCTACTGACCAAGTAACTATGACTGACTATCTGCATTATCTAGGCAAAATAGGTTTTTGGTTTTTTTTATAACTTTTACCTAACAGCATCTCTTTTTTAGATGAAGGCAAACATGTCTTTTTAAAGCCTGGTTTTTCTCAATACATCTTTAAAGGTTCTTAAATTATTTCATACCTGGCCAAGTTGAAATCTTTAAGAATCTCATTTTTAATTTTAATTTTTTAATTTTAAACTTTATACTTGATTTTTTTCTTTTAAAAAAAGAACTTTTAAATTTTTAATTTTAAACTTTACTACTTGATTTTTTCCCCAAAAAAAAAGCAAAAATGCAGATTAGAATAATAATAATATTCTTATCTGTCAAGTTGGCAAGACTTAAAAAGAATGACAGTACTCACTGTTGACTAAGGTGTGGAGAAATAGGCACTAGATGATCTACCTCTGTGGAGGTATAAATTAGTATCAGCCTTCTCAGGGAGCAGCTTGGCAGTAAGTATCAGATGCAGCATTAAAATGGCCACGTCCTTTAATCCAGCATTACATTTTGGTTAATTTATAATAGTAAAAAATATTAATACTGGCTGTTTTTAGGAGATAGACCAGAGGATTGATTCAGAGTATTATGACCTTTGCCTACAAGTAGCTCAGGATTTAAAATGAGGGTCCAGTCCTTATTTCAGTTTACCCTGGTGGTGTTTTGCAGAGCGTTTGAAACGTGAGGAACGGCGTAGAGAAGAGCTTTATCGTCAATATTTTGAGGAAATCCAGAGACGCTTTGATGCCGAAAGGCCCGTTGATTGTTCTGTGATTGTGGTCAACAAACAGACAAAGTAAGAACCCTTAGATATTTCTCCCCAGTAAGGAGAAGAGTCAGAGAAATTCAGGCTCCTGTTTAGCACCTCTATCCACTGAATCTGAGCTGTGTATTCTTGCATTGCTGTGCGCTGTTAGCCAGGGTTCTTTCAGTTATAGGTGACAGAAAACTCAATTCAAATTGAGGCCAAAAGGGACATTTTTCATTTAAGCAAAAATTAACTGGGAAATTGAGGCACAGCCACATCCAGGATCAAACCATGTCATCAAAATTGGTCTCTGTGTTAGTCTCTAAGCACTGTTTTCCTCAGATTTGCCTTTGTTCTCAGGCAGGTTTTGTGCTTGAAGAGGCAGAATGGCACTGGCCCTGAACGTGTGTCTTCTTAGCTTAGCAAGCCAAGTGGAAAGAGAACTTCTCTTTCCCAGTGTTTCCACCTGAAGTTCTGCAGTTCTTTTTAGATTGACCTGACTCACTTTCCCATCCCTGAGCCTGTCACTTTGGCAGGGGTGCTGGGTGTTCTGATTGGCCAGGGCTAAGTCATGTTCCCATCCCAAGAGCTAGAGGTGGGATTAGCCCTGTGGAACCATGCAGACTGAGAGTGGAAGAGGGTGTAGCCGCTGGTCAAGCAGAGTAGTATATACTCCCTTCATGGGACAACCCAAATGCCCAATACTTTGGGAGACACGCCTCTGCATTTGTCAGCCAAGAACCAAGTCTTTGTGAAGTACCATGGCCTTGCAGAACTGTTACATGACCATGTTACCAAGCTAGGGCTTATAGCATTGTTTCACTGCATCCCTGTTTTACATTTTCTCCTTGAAGAGGCAGAGCAGAGAAGCAGAAAGGAGTATAGCAGCTTGCAGGCTTGGCAGTAGCTATGTTCCCTTTCCCTAGGTGGTACTAAGTAAATAACTTCATGTATTTTCTAGCAGTTTGGGGTTAAAGAGCTAATTTCAAGGCAGTGACTAGGGAAATAGGTGTTGAGACACCAAGCAGTAGGCAGAGTTCACAGGCTCTTGGCTGTCTTGTTCAGTGATAGATGCTGCTTTTAACTCTAGAGAGCTTTTTTTGGACACATGATAATAGCTGTTATTTTCTGAGCACCTACTTTATGTACTACCCCATACTAGGTGCCTTACATAAATTATTTTTAATCTTCACAGTAATCATAAAAAATGAGCATTCAGCAAATCTTTTATACGTATGGTGGATGGCGGGTATTGGGGCTGTATAGCCTCATTCCACTGGTGGAGCTTACACCCAATGGGGCAGGTGACAAAAGCATACAGGTGATGAGTCCTATGAGAAGAGAATGTCAGAGATCTAATTTAGATTGGAGGGAAGGTCAAAAAAATGACGTATGAACTGAGCCATGTTACTCCTGTTTTATTAGTAAAGAAACTGATGTTTGTAAGAGGTAAATGGACTTGCTTAAGCTTCACAACTTTGCAAATAAATTTTAAGGGCTGGGATCCAAACCCATGTTTCTAGCGTTAAACCCATGATCTTCCCACTGTGTTGTGCAGCCTACCCAAAAAGAGATAAGTGCCACAAGTCTTAGGGAGCAGGATGGTCTTAAGGAAGGACCACAGGGCTAGAGAATCAAGAGAAGGACCTGGGTATCATACTGTGCTACTGGCAACTTCTGACGTGATCTCAAGCAAGTCACAACCGTTCTGAGCCAGGGTAGAGAGAGAGTATTGGTCTAGATACTTGGATCCTGAATACGGTACTGGGGTAGACTAAGGTTTGAGTTATCAGTAGGAACACACACAACTGGCTTGAGACACACGATGCAGATTTGGAGTTGGTCGCTCACCTGGATCTTATTTATTTTTACAGAGACTATGCTGAGTCTGTGGGGCGGAAGGTGCGAGACCTGGGCATGGTAGTGGACTTGATCTTCCTTAACACAGAAGTGTCACTGTCACAAGCCTTGGAGGATGTTAGCAGGGGAGGTTCTCCTTTTGCTATTGTCATCACCCAGCAACACCAGATTCACCGCTCCTGCACAGTCAACATCATGTTTGGAACCCCGCAAGGTACAGAGTCAGAATACCGGAGGTAGTCACTAGTCCATTATTAGTCCTTTATGCCTTACTCAGAAGAAGCAGGTTTTGGGCAAATGACTCTTATATCTCAGTTCATATATGGTAGGGCCCCTCTCTTAAGTACCATGGAAGAGTCTTGCATAGTCACTTACTTATCTGATAGTTTCTTAGTGGATCTCTGTTACACTATACTTAGCCACTAGGTATATACAGTGGTGTGCTGGCACACGTGTAACAACAAGTTCCAGTGTGGGGGGAGGGCGTTTATAGCATTTGCTGATCTCCATGGTGTAAATACTCCCACCATGTTTCAGTTCAAGCCACCAACCTGAAGTCACTGAAGGGAGAGTTGGAAAGAAATGTACACAGTTGGCTCTTGCCACTGAGATCTGGCTCCAGCACACCTCTGCCATGTACTCCACTGAATGTGACAAAATCCTTGCTTCTGCCAGCTTTCTAATGGAGGACAGAGAATATAACAGGCATTTAGGGTCCTTTTTGTAAGTGTGCTGGAGAAGTAACCAGAGGGGCTAAGAGGCCGTGACCCTGTAGAGGCCCAGGCCCAGTTCTCGAAGTCCTCCTCAGAAGTAGCTTTTAATGCATTGAGCCCAGAGGATTAAGAGTCCGCCAGCTGATACCCTGCTCCTCACTCTTACAGCACAGACTTAACCCTTTTCCCACTATACGCAGGATCTCTCTTTGCCTCACCCATTACCCTCATAACCATACAATTACATAAGGATCTCCAGTGGGTCATTTGTCTGAGGAATAGTCCTCAAGATGTGTGAGGACAAAAGTTCTAAGGAGTCCTCTCACTACCCAGTAAACCATGTTGCCCATGGGTGAGGAGAGGAGGTTATTTAGGGTCACAGTTTGATCTTAATCTATGACTTTTGAACTGATGAATTAAAAAATGGTAGGCCAGCTCTGTCCTGAGGAGCACAGTGGAGAGCCCTGCTTTCCAGAGGGGCCTGTTGGCCTCCTGCTGCTGGTCTAGAGGCTGTTGGGCCTGCCTCCCATGGCTGTTCCCCACGTGGTCTGTTTGAATCTGTGGGAGGATGTCATGTTTCTTTGGTTTTTACTACAAGTCTGTGATCTAGGAATTCCCCCAAAGAACCAGCTGTATATAAAGGTGCATCTCCTCACCAAAAGTGTTCGTTCACTTCCCTTCCTGGCCTTCATCTCTCCCCCCACACCACCCCACTCTCAATCTCAAGGCTTTTTGTCACCAAAATGATTTTCTTGCTGGTATGAGGTTAGGAAAGACTTGACAGAGTGCAGCAGGTGGGCACTTAAATATGTCATGGAAGAAAATAACTCATGTCATTTCCTCCTACAGAGCATCGCAACATGCCCCAAGCAGATGCCATGGTGCTGGTGGCCAGAAATTATGAGCGTTACAAGAATGAGTGCCGGGAGAAGGAACGTGAGGAGATTGCCAGACAGGCAGCCAAGATGGCCGATGAAGCCATCCTGCAGGAAAGAGAGAGAGGAGGCCCTGAGGAGGGAGTGCGTGGGGGCCACCCTCCAGCCATCCAGAGCCTCATCAACCTGCTGGCAGACAACAGGTACCTCACTGCTGAAGAGACTGACAAGATCATCAACTACCTGCGAGAGCGGAAGGAGCGGCTGATGAGGAGCAGCACCGACTCTCTGCCTGGTGAGCTACGTGGCAGGGCCGAGGTGAAGTTCTGACTCTGCATTTCTCTAATCCCCAGGCTCTGTTGGGAGGGTGTCAGGCCCAGGGCTCTTTGGAGTGGGTAAGGGAACTAAGTCCATCCCTTGGGTTCTCCCGTGGGCCACCCATGCTGATATAATGTTAATAATAACTTTATATTTGGGTACTGAATGCTGATCCCTATAGTTAATGTGGTGGATTGACTAGTATTGCTGGCTCCGTGGTAGCCAGGATGGATGCCCTTTTGTTTTTTAGCAGTTCTCTAGGGGAACTAGCCTATTGTTTTCTGTAAACAGCACATATCATGAAGCGGCCTCTTTGGGAAATTGATGTTATCGTCTGTGTACTGTATGATTGATGTGACTCAGTGATTGTTGTTCTTCCTTTGGCTGCTAGGCCTCCTGCCCTTGGGGGGTACTTTGAACCAGATACCTCCCTCTTCTGTCTTCCAGGCCCGATTTCCCGCCAACCACTCGGGGCGACCTCGGGTGCCTCGCTGAAGACACAGCCAAGCTCCCAACCGCTCCAGAGCGGCCAAGTGCTCCCCTCTGCTACACCCACTCCATCTGCACCCCCCACCTCCCAGCAAGAGCTTCAGGCCAAAATCCTCAGCCTCTTCAATAGTGGCACAGTGACGGCCAATAGCAGCTCTGCATCCCCCTCGGTTGCTGCCGGAAACACCCCAAACCAGAATTTTTCCACAGCAGCAAACAGCCAGCCTCAACAAAGATCACAGGCTTCTGGCAATCAGCCTCCAAGCATTTTGGGACAGGGAGGATCTGCTCAGAACATGGGCCCCAGACCTGGGGCTCCTTCCCAAGGGCTTTTTGGCCAGCCTTCCAGTCGCCTGGCACCTGCTAGCAACATGACTAGCCAGAGGCCTGTGTCTTCCACAGGTATCAACTTTGACAATCCAAGTGTACAGAAGGCTCTGGATACCCTGATCCAGAGTGGCCCTGCTCTCTCCCACCTGGTTAGCCAGACCACAGCACAGATGGGGCAGCCACAGGCCCCCATGGGATCTTACCAGAGGCATTACTGAAGCTAAATCTTTCAACTCTCCCCAGTCCCCTCATCCCCTGGCCTCCTCCCACTTACTTGTTCTAAATAGAGCTGTTTGGAGGATGTTCTCTGCGCTCCCAGGCCGGCATCGAGTGTCATCAATTTCTACCACCTGCTCTCTCTTCTGCCCAAGGCTGTGTTGCTTATTCCTTACAAAGTTTATACTGCATTTGGGGCTGTATCTTTTTTTGTTTTTTGTTTTGTAGAAAATAAATATCTCCGGGGGCAGTACAGGTGTCTGGGCTTGTATTTGATGGGGTTTCTCCGGTCCCTGTTTCTACTGGATTTGGAGCCAGGCCCAGCTAGCCAAGTTTGGAATGGCATTTGTCATGTCAGTAGCCACCACCTTTGTTCATTGTGAACCTACCAAGGCTTTCCAGCTTCATACACATTGACCAGAGCTCAAGCTCCTGCCTGCAACTCCTGCCTAGAGTTGAAGAAAAGCAAACTGGCCTTGGCAGGCACAGTGTCATCATACCCTCACCCCATATGTTTGGGGTCTGCTTGAGGATTCATAAATCAGCCACTCTGGATTGTTGAGGAATGGCCATGGCAGCCACAGAAAAAAGAATTTTTCTCTCTGAGCCAAGGTTGTTTTTTGTTTTTTTCTCTTTTCTTTTTTGTTTTCATTTCATTGGAAGATCTCCAATGGACTGAACAGCTCCAGTCAGCAGCAGTTACCACAAACTGTGAATCTGGGCCCCACCACTCTTCCCTGTTAACCAGTTCTGTCAGCATCCCCCTCTCCAGCAGCACTTCCATGAAGTTGGTTCTGAGACTCTGGCCGTGAACACCCGTTTCTTCAGTGATTTGTTTTGGGCTTTTGGCTCAAAACCCCAGGCTCTTGTTTTTGTCTAGACTCTTATTCTGTTTCCTGAGCAGCAGGAGGTAGGGACCACTTTGATGTCAGACTTCTGGTAGCTGGACATGTTCTCGAGATGGGTGGCTGTTCGCGACTTTTGTACCAGAGTGAAATTGTTAGAAGGAGGGTTTCTGGCTGTGGTTCTAAATGGAGCCCCAGGAAGCTGCCCTCTCCCCAGGGTTTGTGCTCAGTAGAGCCCTGTGGATCACAGTCTTGAGGTCCTCTAGCAGGGGTGAGGGAGAGCAGCGACTTCAGCTGAGTCCCTGCCAGTGGTTAAGCAAACAATGGTTTCAAAATTCAAGGTCCCCAAATGGCAGCATTTTATGTTCTGACCTGTTTGTGTTATATAGTGGTTTTTTTTTTCCTCTTTGGAACTCTTGTGTTGTTAATAAAATGAAATGATTACTTTTTAATTAAAATGAAAAAAGTAAAAGCTTTGTTCATCTTTTTTGGGTGTGAATATGCTCTTTGCAGGATGCTTTCCCCAAGTCAGAGGTGAGGGCTCCTGTCTCGAGGACTCTGGTCTGCCCCCTTTTGTCCTCAGCATATGATCCGGCCTCAAACCTCTTTGAACCCTGCCTTCTCTTCATAGGTAGCTCACTTAGAGGCTTTAATAACAGTTCAGAGCAAAGGCCTGTTGGCTAATTATAGTGCTGTGTTCAACATCCTGCTTCTGGTAGACATTCATTGTGTCAGCAGCCTTGTCCTCTTATTCTAGGAAAGGAAAACAGGATGTGAGGAGGCCATTTGTGGTTAATGGCCATTGGTAGGGGGGCACTTCCTGTTTTCATTTTGTCTCAGTTGCCACCCTCTGTTCTACCCATTGTGCAGGGAGTTGGCAGAATTCATAGAACCTGAAGGAGCCTTGAAGAGCATTTAATAACTTGGGGTGGGTGTGGTGAAGTGGGTGGCACAGGCCTCCAGTGAGTTAGGGACCAACGTGCCAAGAGCACTGAGCCTCACCAGTTAAGTGTTCACTGCCTCCTGGGGGTATCAGTGCAGCCTGACACCTACACTTAGAAAGTGCTCACTACCTCCTAGAAGATGCCAGTGCAGCCTGACACCTAGTAAGTGCCTGCCAGTCTCTTAGGAGATGATAGTGCTGCTCTCCAGGCCAGGGCCCTGGAGCTATCGGTGGATAAATTAGATCACCAGACCTGGGCCATTAGCCCATCTCTTCTGTCGGTGGTCAGTGTTTCTGATTTAAGAGTGTGGGGTCCTCCTGGAGGGCCCCCTGGAGTGTCCAAACAGCACATCTCAGGCCATGAAGGGTATAATAAAATTATTTTTATTGCATTTTGTGCAGACGGGAGTCTAAAAAAGTAACACAGTAAAAGCCATAAAGCATTAAATGGGAGCATTCAACAATAAAGGAAAGAACCAACCCTCTCCTTTTCATATTGGCACAAAGAACACAAGATCAATACTGAGGCAGGATGCGGCATACTGAACACTTACACTGAAAATTAAAGGCAGGCCTAATAATAATAGCAGTAATAGTAATAAATACTCTTGATTTGGTTTGCAACCTCTCCTATTTACAAGGGTTTTCAACTTCATTGCATTGCCCTGCACATAGATCATCTAAAACAAAAGCAACACTAGTTATCACTACAAGGCTATTGAAATATTGCACTCAGAATAAAAGTCACTTGAATGGACATGAAACATCTAACTACAGTGATTATAAAGATAACTTGATGAATGACTTGTGATAACATTCATAACAAATATTGCACATGTAGCACAGAAAACTTGGGTTTTTGTTGTGGGATGTCTGTTTCATCAACGGAAACTTTGCTCTTGCCAACCAGACAATCTGGGCCCAGATAGTGCAACTTTGGTTCCCTAATTGATGTTGATACAGCCCCCTTCTGCACAGCCCATCACATCAGCTCTGGAATATTCAGGCCCCCAGAAGGCAGGACCTGGCTGTGGTGTTCAGAGGGAGGTCTACTGAAGGATGCAGGGGGCTGGTGTCTAACACCTCCAGCTTCCTGATTGAGTACCTGAAAGAATCTATCCAGTCCCCTGATCGAATCTCAGAGGGGACTTGGTGTAACTGGCAGACCTCCAAACCTACCCCAGCCACACCTGACGCTGTCTGGGTGGCGCCAGCTCCAGCTCTGCCTTGGGCTCAAAGGAAAAGAGGTGGTGAGGTCCGGATTACTCAGTGGCGCCAGCTCTGGGAGGTGCGTGAGATGTCAAGCTAGGTGCGCAGGTCAGGGCCCTGGGGCTGGAGGTACTGTACCCAGTCCCAGATGGTGCTGGAACGAGCATGCAGTGCCTGACCCCCTTAGTAATGTGCCCTAGGGGAAGGGAACCCGGCCACCGCGCCTTCTCTAAGGACAGAGCACGCCTCAGACCAGGCTGGTGGAGCGGAAGGGCCAAGGATGAGCTGGGGAAGCCAAAGGCCCTGGGTCCTAGTTAGAGGAGAGCAGACAGGCGCTAAGGACAAAGCGCGTGCGACTCCAGCCCTCCCTCAGGCCCAGGTCCCCGGGAGACGGAGCTAGAGGCCGCTGCTAAGCAGCGAGGCCCGGCCCCAGAGCACGGAGAAGGCGGCTGGGTCCCTCAGGCGAGACAGGAGCTGCCAGATGGGGACGGGGGAGGAACATCACGGGCGGCTCTGGGGCCTCTCAGTGGGTCCGGCCCCTAAACCAGAATCGGCCCCCTCCTCCCTCACTTGTCCCAGGGAGGAAACTCCGGGGAGGGGGCGCCCTCCAGCTCCACAATTTCAGTCTTTGGCGAGGAGCCATGGGATACGGGGAGCAGGCGACAAGCCGACTGAGGAGAGACGCCTGCTCCCCAGCGAAGGCACCGGGGCGGGGCTTCCTCGGTGGGGCGCGGGCCTCTCGGTTTCTTCCTCTTGAGGAGCACCCCTCCCCTATCCTGGCCCCAACTTGCATAAGAGCCGATGAGAAGAGGTTGCTCGCGTCTCTGCAGCCGCAGTGGAAGCTCACGTCCGCTGGGAGGCGAATCCAGGAAAAGTTGGACCCTTGTCTCACCTCATCTCGGAAAAGGACTGGAGAGGAGGGTGGGAAGCCAAGGGCGCGCGGAAAGGGCGAAGAGGCGAGAGCAGGACGGAGGTGTCGAGGGAACGAGGCCACGACCCCCGCCTGGGCCTAAAGCACTTTCGCTCTCAAACTCTTGGACGTCAAGGAAAATTCAGCTTCCCGAGGCCTCGCCTCCCCGCAGTGCCCCCAGCGGGAGAGCTCGACTATGGCGAGAAGTCTGTTGCGCTTCTAGTCACATAAATATGGGGACGTTAAAAATACACGCGATGTCTCCTGTACACTATGTATAGGCTCGGCCGCCCGCGCCCCACGGCTCGGCGAGAAGGGGCGGCGGAGACGGCAAGCGCGGCCTTCCCACCCCGCGGGCCTCCGGGCCGCCGGGAGCCAGGGAGCAGCGCCGGAGGAGCGCAGAGCGAGGACCGCGGCGGGAGTGGGAAGGGGAGGAATGGGCCGCATGGACTACCTGGGGGTCCCCAAGGCCCCAGCTCCTCTCCTTTCCGCGCCTTCTCCCAACCTTTATTGCAGCGTCTCCTCCGGCGAGACGAGGCCGGGCTTAGAAAAAGGGCAGCGAAGACCCAGGGGCCAAACTGGCACTGAGGAGCTCTGGTCTCTGCGCGGCGGGGCGCCCTCTCCGAATCAGCCCCAACAGGCGTGGCCTCCGGGCTTCAGGCAGCGGGGTAAGGGGCCAGGACACGGGCACAGGGTCTGTATGTAAACGGTGACAGCGGCGGGGGGCGCGGCGAGGGCTCCGGAGCCGCGGGCCGGGCGCGCTCGGGCCCGGGTGGCAGGTCCTGGTTCTCAGGAGTAGATGGTGATGACCTCGCGGCCGCCGCCGCGGACCAGCATCACCCGGTCCAGGTGCTCTGTGAGGACCTCGAGAAACTCCATGTCTGAGAGCCGGTCAAGGAGAAAGACCCGGTCTCCTTCCCTCCCGACGAAATTGGGGTCGCGCTCGGCTGCCAGGGGACCTCTCGCGCCCGTGTCCCTGTCCGAGGTGCTGATCCGGAGGCAGGAACAGCTCAGCTCTTCCATCCCAGGGACAGGACCCAGATTCCCTGACGTCCACCTCCCTCTTTCCCCCAATTTTAATTCCAGGATACAGTTTTCATCACCATTGCGGTTGCGGGGAGGCCCAGGCATGTTGAGCAAAACAAGCTTGGCGTCCCGGGATTTCTTCACGATGACCTCGTTCAGCCGCACGGCCGTGTGCATGCGCCGCACGTTGGACTGGTTCCTGCGGCAGGAAGGAGGAGTGGAGACCGCGTGAGCCGGGGGGGTAGAGAAGATTGGAGCCAGTCGCCCTTCCAGCCCGAACTGGGCTGCTGGGGACTGGTTCTTGCAAGCCTAGGACCACCAATCCTAAACATCTCCAGGCTAGGCTATTCAGAGATCCCAGAGGTCGTGGCACCAATTAGGGGTTCACAACAGAGTGAGGAGGGTAGGGACCCTGGCCATCCTAGGAGAGAGAATGAAAAAATGCTGAAGCACTTACAAGTTCTCCCACTCCCTTCAGGAAACACAAGAGATGCAAAGAGAGAAAGAAAAAGAGCAGAGTCAGAAAAAGAGGAAGACACTGGGGGCTTGGGCCATGGTCATCTGCCCTGAGTCCTGCTCTGCCAGCCCCCACACCCTTCACCTTTCCGCTGCCTGCAACTGGGAATTCTGAGACTTAGCAATGGGGCCCAACCCCCTAAGTCCTCAGATGGAGAAACCAAGACAATGTCTGAGCTGGGTCTGCAGGCTGACAGACCAGGATGCCTTCTGCTCTCTTGCTCTGCCATGGGGAGCAAGACCCTTTAGCTCACCCCAGCCCCCAGCCCTTAGCCCCCAGGCCCGTACGGCTTCATGCTGAAGAAGTCCTTGATGCCCTCAGAGGAGACAGGACTGGGGCCCTTATTCTTCTCTGCCACCGACTTGTCCTTGGTCCAGGTGAGATGCACCTTCTCCGGATCTGTCTCCCCTTCCCCCTCAGGCTCCTCCCCTGGGGACGGGGAGCTGCTGGGGCAGCTGGGAGCACTCTGATCGTGGATCAGCTGCACCTGAGGGATGAATGAAGCGATGGCAGTTGAGTCCTTTGGAGGCCAAGGGCTCTGCTCCCACTGGTTGGGGCCAAACCACCCAAGCTGCACACCTCCTCCTCTGGCTTCTCTTCACTGTCACCAGCCGTCTCTTCTGGGACGTTCAGGCGGAGCCGCGTGTTGGCTGGATTCTTTCTCCGGATTGAGCCTCGTGACTCATCTGTGATACTCTGGATCTAGGGAGTGACATAGGTTGGTGCCAGCTCTGCTGGGAGTCACCACCCATGCCCTGCAAAGAGCTATCACCAGAGATGATGTTCAGCCAGGATGCACTTTCTGGAACTGTACCAGTTGTTAAAATATTGCTATGATTTGAGACCAAATAGCTACTGCACCACTGATCTGCCTGCCCCACCTCCTCTCCAGAACCCCAGACCTCATCTGGCAACAAAAGGGTTAACCTTGGCACAGCAAGGCTCTGCCTAGCACTATGGTCCAATGTCAGTCCTCAGTCCACTGGTCAGTGACCATGCCATGTTTTACCATTTTTACTACCTCCCTTGGATAACACTCCCAGCCTTGGAGGATCCATCCTTCCCATCTCAAAGTGGTACCCATCACTCATCCCCCTGAGAATCCATCAACCACATTCTGATAAATACATTACCCACCCCTGGGAGACTCAAAACCCATGGTTCTATTACCCTCATGTGTAGGATTGCCACCCATTCCCTGGGCAACTTATCACCCACCTCCAGGAGCCCTTCTGTCCCCAGCTGGGGTAACACCACTCATTTTCCCAAGGACTCCACTCCCTTGGGTGGGTCTTTCATCCATACTCTGGTGGTTCTACATCACCCACACCTAGAAGATCTTACACCCACACCCTATGGGGGGGCTTATCACCATTACCCCTGAGATCCCATCAATCACACCCTAGGGGATTTTCCCCTAACTCCCACACATCAGTTATATCTCTAAACACCCATCTGTTACCCACTCTCTAAGGGTTTCTACATGAGCCCTTATCCCTCACACTGGCAGCCCACACCCCTAAGGACTCATCATCCATACGTATTTAGCATCCACTCTTCTCTCTCAGGCTCCAGAAGTCACATACAGAGGAGAAGATCTGTCACCCATACCAAAGTCCCTCTGCCTCCTGGCTGGGAGGTTGGCAGTGAAGCTGCAGTGTATACTCCTGCTGTCTGGGAGATCAGTTTCAGGAGGTGTGGTTGGGGGAATCAGGGAGATGAGGGTGAAGTTGAAATGCCAGGAGTGTCAGCCCTGAGGCATCCTAAACCTGCCACCCAGAACTGGCAGCAGTTTGAGGCTCTCAGGGGCCAGCCAGGGCAACCTCACCTCCCGCTCCCGCTCATTCTTGGTTAAATGCATCTGTTTGAGGATCTGGGAACGCTGCTCCATCACCAACGTCTTCTCATAGGTGTAAGCTGAGATGTCGCTCTCATGCTGTGGGCAGACAGAGGTTGGGGTTGGGGGGTGGGGAGAGGAACACGGAGGAAAGCATGAGGTCTGAGCCCAGGTGAAAGGCCAAGGGAAGGAAGGAAGGCCCCCGTCCTTCTGGCAGCCTAGGGCTTCCCTACCCAATCATTAATTTTGTCAAGGGTTGTAGGAGGCAAGGACGTAGCAGAGAGGGCAATGCTCTTGCAAGGCAGGCAGCTCATTCCCTCCTCAGCCCAGCACAGGACCAGGCATATGAATGGATGAACTAATGAATGAGTGGATTAATTAATCACCTGGGTGAATGGAGAAGGGAAAGAAGAAAAAGAACAAAGCGATGAATGAATACATGCAAGAATGAATGGGAGAGTGAGTGAATGAATACTTCAATGAATACATGGGTAGATTAATGAAAACACAGAGGGATGGGTGGATGGACACATGAATTGAGAGGATGGTTGGACAAGATGCTCTACAGGATAATCACCAGGGGCACACGCTCTAGAGCCAGCCTGCCTGGGTTTGAATCCTGCCTCCACCAGGTACTCTGTGTTATTGGGCAAATTACAGTCATATGCCAAATAACACCATTGTATGTGCGTCAATGGCAGACTGCACATAAAATGGTGTTCCCTTAAGATTACTGTATTTTTGCTGTATTTTTTCTATGTTTAGATATGTTTAGACACACAAATACTTCCCACTGTGTTGCCATTGCCTACAGTACTCAGTAGAGTAACATGCTGTATAAGTCTGTAGCATAAGAGCAATAAGCCTTTGTGTGTAGTAGGCTGTACCAGCTAGGTGTGCATAAATACACTCTATGATGTTCACACAACAAAATCACCTCACAACACATTTCTCAGAACATATCCCTGTTGTTAAGCAATGAATACGTGACTGTACTTCTCTGCACTTCATATTCCTAATCTGTAACATGGAAATGCTGATAATTGTATCTATCTCATTGGTCGTTGTTGGAATTTATGTACATATAAAGTGCATAGAACAGTGCCTGGCATATAATAAGCACTAGACATGGCTACTTTTATAGAGAAGGGAGGGATGGCTGAATATGTGAGAGGCTAAGAGATGGATGAGGGGGAAAGGATCCAGCATCATAAGCTGATGGGTGTTAGAGTTGCCCTACTTGGTGCTGGGGCCAAGAGGAAAGAGGGCCAGGTGGAACCCCAGCGGTGTCTCCTGGGGACTCACCATCTCCACCACCTCGACCTCCGCAGTGATGCGTAAATGATACAGAAATGTGGTCAGATCCTTCTTCATCTGGATGCTATTGTCATCCATCTGGGCCACAGTGAAGATACGCATCTTGCACTTCCGCCAGACCTGCAGGCGATGAAGGGGATTCAGAAAGGTCCAGCCCAGATGTGATGAGGAGATCCAGGGCCAGGCCCTGTCCGCTCACCCTTCCCCTCTTCCCACCCACTCCTCACACATACATGCAGACCCCAAATCCTCTGTCTTTGGGGCCACTCTCTACAAAACCTTCCCTGCTTAGGTCTGAGGGTCCCCCATTAAAGAAAGCATCACTGGCTTGGGCTAAGCATTGCTCTCCTTACAGCAGTGCACCTGCAAGAGGAGAAACCATCAGTTCCTAACATCTCAGAATGAAGTAGGTCAGCAGATCCCTTTCCCAGGAGTTTACAGGGGAGGAAGGACACGGAAGCTGACCCTGGCCAGAGCCCCTGAGTCTGACCTGCAGTTGTGCACATATGCACACAAATGCATACATGCATACACACACTCACACGTGCATACACTCACGCACACAACTCACCTTGTGGTGCCGCAGCAGGAAGGGCAGCAGCATGAGCATGCCTCCATCGTGCACAATCCACCAAACGTCGATGCTGCCCTCAGAGAAGCGCTCAGGGTTCCCAGGAAACATGGAAACGTTCTTGGTGACCAGCAGGGCTAAGTGGCCAGCTGTGGTTTCCCGGACCAGCTCTGAGGGAGGCCAAGGAGAGGGCCAGAGGGGGAAACAGTGACTCTGGTTCTCCCAACACCCAGCAGCAGCCACAAGGGCTCCTGGCAGCCAGCACTCCACCCCACTCCAACTGGCCTTGGCCATGGGCTGAGTGGTCAGAAAACCAGCATCTACTTGGGCCCCATCATATATTTATTGTTTAGATCTAGGAACGTCTATCAACCTCTCTAGGCCTCAGTTTCCCCACCTGTCAAATGGCAATAACACCACCTGCCCTTTCTGATTACTAAGAGCCCATCATGTATGACCACACTGAATCCTCCCAACACCTTGTAACCATGATCTACCTATAAAGGAGACAGAATAGCTTGGAGCTAACAGTGTAGCCTCCGGGCTGGTTCAAAACCTGGCTCCCCACTTTGTGACTTGGAGCAAACTTCTTTTTCATTTACTCTGTAGTTTGCCAGGTTGCCCAGCTCAAACTCCTGAGCGCAAGCGATCCACCTGCCTTGGCTTCCCAAAGTGCTGGGATTACAGGCGTGAGCCACCGAACCCAGCTGGAGCAAACTTCTTAATCTCTCTGTGCCTCAGTTTCACATCAAAAAAGATGGAGATAACAATGCGTAGCCCTCCTAGGACTGATGAGAGAATCAGAGAAAGCCTTAACTTGCTGGCACACAGAACTCATTCTAGAAACGTTAGTTATTATATATACTATTACCTACGATTACCAAGAAATCTGATCTCAGAGGGAGTGAGTCACGTGTGCACAGTCACACAGCTAGGAAGGACCAGAGCTGAGATGTGGGCCTAGCCTCTGTGACTTCAGAGCTGTAGCTCTTCCCACTGCCCTGCACTGTGTTCCTCCCAGGGCCTGTGAGCGCTGCAGGAGCCAAGACTGTCTCGTTCACAGCGGAGTCCCCAGCGCCCAGCACAGTGGCTGGCACGTGGCCAGCCTTGACTGCTGTCACCTGCATATGCTGAATCCACACTTGGCACGCAGTGCTTGGGAAACCCCTCAGGCCCAAAGGAGCGGAAATCCAGTTCCACCCCTCTACAGCCCCCAGCCCCACCCCTCTTCTGTCCCCAGCCCCCAATAGCGTTACCAATGAAGTTCCTCCACGTCTGATGATCTTCCTTCTGGCGCCAGTTGCGGGGCCAGCCAACAAGCACAGTGTTGTGCTGCAGCCCCCCGAGGCCCCCGGACTGGATCAGATGGGACACGCCATCACGCAAGTTGGAGGAGATCACCACCTGGCAGAAGCCCTTCACCTTCTCTGCCTCCATCAGGCGCCTGATAGACTAGGGGAGGGGGAAAAGACAAGGACCAGCCTCAGGCCTCCCTGGCCCTGGCTGGGCCCATTGTAGCCTCCTTCCCTCCCATCTCTCCCCTCCTTTCATCCCAATCTTCCTGAAGCTCAGCTCTGATCACGTCAGTCTCTGGCTCCAGAATGGCACATGGCTCCCCATCATCTCTGTGCCCCATTCCTTCTTGATCAATCAAGGCTCTTCATGATCTGACCACACTTTCTGCCACCCTCCCACTGCTCATACAGCCCCCCTGCCCGACATGCTCTCCACCATCACCCTGACACAAGCCCCTGCCAAGTTGTACATGACACCCTGTCTGGCCCAGCTCAAATGTCGCCGTCTTCAGATACCACCCCCACCCAGACCAGAATTAAACTGGGCTTCTCTGCACAGCCAGACAATTTGTTTCAACAATCTTTCTAAGTAGCATAATAAGTATTTTAAGGGCTCCCATTTAAACTGTACTATGAGGGAAATAGTCTTATTACTCCCATTTTATAGATGGGGAAACTGAGGCTTGGAGAAAGGAAGACTTGTTTAAGGACACACAGCTAATGTTACTGTGAGGATTCAAGTCAGGGAAGTCTGACTCCAACCCCCACACTCTTAACCACCACCCCTAAGTCAAACAGATAGAAGTTCAACTCCTATCTCTGCCACCTCCTGGCTGTGTGACCTTGGGTGAGTCACCTAACCACCCAAGGGGTCAGGACAAGCTACCTTGTTTAGGAATAGGGAGAACCACATGTCATCATGCACATAGGGCTTAGTTAGTATCCTGCCTGAGGAATTGAAAACACTCAACACATTGTACGACCCTGATGTTATTAACTCTAACAGCATTTATCGACATCCGGTGGGTCTGAGAGCCTTCTGTGTATGCTCTGCCTTCCCCACCAGCCTGTGAGCACCTCGAGGGCTGGGACTTGGTCTTGAACATCTCCATCTCCCCTGTGCCTCGCCCAGTGCCTGGTGCACTGCACATTCTCAGCCACCGCGTGTTGAATGGAACTGACCAGTCAAGGCCTCCAGC
Organism: Homo sapiens; assembly: GCF_000001405.40. NCBI lineage: Eukaryota > Metazoa > Chordata > Mammalia > Primates > Hominidae > Homo > Homo sapiens. Next base: position 46,050,632 of record NC_000020.11, on the reverse strand, counting down.
TCTGGGCCCTGACAGATCAGTGTGAACAGCCCAGTGAGGCAGAAGCAGCGACTGTCGCAAGCCATCGGGGTGCCCCTCCCCATCTCACCTCTGCTCCTTCGGGCCTCTTTTTCTCTCTCCACTGCTAGCCACAGCCCTGATGGGAGAAAGGCCTGACCCTCAGACAGAACCTACTTCCTCTACTACCCTTGGGATCCAATCACCTCTTTGTGTGCTTAAGGCAGACACTGGCCACCACAGCCCACATTGGTTCTGTAGGCTGCCCTGTAAGCATGGACTAGTGGGTGGAACCAAGAGCAGGTGACACAGAGCAGGGGCCTGAGTTCAAATCCTGATGTTGCTTCCCACCAGCTTTCTGACTTTCAGCAAGCAGCTTTCCGACTTTCAGCAAGCAGCTTTCCCTCTCTGGGTCTCAGTTTCTTCCTGTATCAAATGTGGATACTCACCTTGTCAACCCCAGACTGTAGGGATCAAGAGTCCACAGCTGGGAAATCACCTTGAAAGATTTATACTTTGGCAGGAAGGAGTCTAGAGTAGGAGTTCAAGGAGTCCTAATTTGAATCTTCATTTTCTGTCCTTAGACATATGACCTGACTTGTCTAAGCCTCAGTTTCCTTATCCATAAAATGGGCCCTTCTGCCTCTGATGGTCTTTCATGCTGTGAGTTGAATTCTAAAGAACTCACTGTCTAGGCTCTTAGGCTCTTCCTCTAAGGAAAAGAAAAGAAATGCCTGCACTTCCTTTGATCCTGAAGGTGATGAGGAAGGAAAGTACAAAAGGATAGAGACTGTCTTCCTAAGTGTCCTGACCTTTTCCCAAGCCCAACCAGGGCCTCTGCTCACCTCTTCTGCCCGCTGGGCCTGTGGATGATTTTCCAGAAAGGTGCCCTCAAGGACAGAGCCCACGATGGTCAGGCCCTTCCCCGCCTTCAGCTGGGAGGTCAGTGAGAGCAGCTGGGGGTGCACCACATTCTGGTCTTGGTCCACACGCACCAGCACCAGCAGCTGTGGCCTGAAGAGTGTGCAGAGTCACATAATCCATATACCATGTAACCAACCATCCACACACCATACACCCACCACCAGGTCATCTAGCCATCTCTCCTCTATAACCATCTGTCCCATCCACCTATACCCCTCACCACCCATCCATTCATCTACCCATCAACCCATTTCTCCATTCACCTCACTCACCTATCTACCCATTCAACCACCCACCCACCTATTTTATCCTTCAGTCATCCACTCATATGCATATTTCTTTACTGATACATGCATTATTCATTCAATTATCCACACATCTACCTACCTATCATCCATTCCTACATCCATCGATTCATGCTTTTGCCCGCCCACGTGTACATAAACTTATCCATCTACCCATCTATTTATGCATCCCTTTCCTTAGTCATTTAGCCGTCTTAGTCCTCCAACCACCTATCAACTTCGTAGCATTCTCTAAGCACCTACTCTGGGCTAGACCATGTGCTGAGCATTTGGGAATTCACAGATAAATAATATAGAGCCCCAGGTTCTGGGAGCCCAGTTTAGTCAACTGGGCTCAGCCAAGACAAGTCAACAATGCCCTAACCTAAGTCAGGGTTTCAGGCTCTACTCTTGGCAAGGTGAAACACAGGGAGATGAGTGAGGGGTTGGGCATGCAGCACCCAGGGCTAAGAGGTGGGGTGTGAGGATTCCATCTCCAGGTCTGCCTTCTGTGACCTGTGAGATCCTCTCTGACCTCCAATTTCCCCCTTTTTTTTTTTGAGACAGGGTCTCACTCTGTCACCCAGGCTGGAGTGCAGTGGTACAATCTCGGCTCACTATAACCTCTGCCTCCTGGGTTCAAGCTATTCTGCCTCAGTATCCTGAGTAGCTGGGACTACAGGTGCACGCCACCATGCCTGGCTAATTTTTGTATTTTTAGCACAGATGGGGTCTCGCCATGTTGTCCAGGCTTGTCTCAAACCCCTGGCCTCAAGTGATCCACCTGCCTCAGCCTCCCAAACTGTTGGGTTACAGGCATGAGCCACCGCGCTCGGCATCCCTGATTTTCACGTGAATAAAATGGATGAATTGTCATTAATCTAGAGATGCCTAAGAGCCCCTATAACTCTCAAAGGGAACGATTCCACCTGTCTCAGAGCAAATGCTACATGATCTGATGTTTGTCTGTCCCCATGTGTGTCTTCTCCACAAAACTGTGAGCTTCCTACATCCCCAGAGACTAGAAGGGGACTTGCCATACATCAGGCATTCATGTTTTATGAAAAAATGATGGAAATGATGAAATGAATGAATGGATGACTGCTCAGGAGGCTAGCATGGTGGGGTATGTGGACATTTACATACCCACATAAATGTCTGGAACTCAGCTCAGCCTCAGTGTTTCAGGTGGGAAGGAATCAGACAAGGCTGGGCTTTTAGGGCACGACTCAGCAAAACAAAGCAAGCAGGATAAGTCAGGCCCTGCTCCCTTCCCCCTGTCTCCTGAGCCTTGCACTCATGCACACACACTCTTATGCACACCCGTGCCCTCACCACTAACCTCCAGTTCTTGGTGTGTGGGGGCCCTTCCTCCAGGCGTAAGAGGGCATAGCGAGCCGCACTGAGAGACAGACCTCGTATCCCATCGCCCCACTCCTTCTCTGCCCTGGGAGCCGGGAAGTGGATCACATGAGAGCAGAAAGCCAGGAGGGGGCAGGGAGAACCATCTACACTGCACCAGCTACCCCAGGGCAGAGCCATCTCTCAGGCTCAGAAAGGACATGTGTATCACTCCTGCCAACAGACTCAACCAAGCCTTGGCTAAGTTTCCTTGGAAAATCACTTCTAAATCCATTCTCTCACCATTCCTGTCCATTTCTCAAAGCCTCTGCTCCCACCCCCCATCTTCCAATGTCATCCCATATCACCCTCTCCCTCTACTCCAGCCCCATCCTCTCCCACTCCCTGCTTCATCTCACCCCCACCACCCCAATCCCTCATGACCCCTTCCCTCTCCTTCCCACCACCCTTCAGCCTTCCCCAGCCACCCCAACCTCCACTCCCCACACTCACCCACGGTACTCAATGTACTTGTAGATGAGTCCAGCAATGAGCATGGCTACCAGTGCATAATACCAGGAGCAGATGAACATGAGGGCCAGGCAGAGGCTCATGCCCAGGAAGGAGAGGGTCCTAGACAAGGTGGGGAGACCCAGCCTCTGAGCCCCAGCAGGGCTGTTGCTGAAGCTGGGACTTAGAAAGCAAGAGGGAGATGGGGCAGGGCATGGGCAAGACCTGGGAGGTGACAGCCCGGTCTAGGGGAACTCACACCATCATCCCCATGAGGACTACGGGGATATGGGATCTTCTGGGTGAAAGAGAAGCCACAGACAGGGCACTACCCAATGCCCTGCCCAACTCCTGACACCCCACACCACCCTGTCCCTGTTCCTCAGACCCTGCCAGACAGGCCTGGCCAGGTGCATTCTGAGGCCAGGGTCTCAGGGGAGTGGAAACGGGTCCTCCCAGGAGAAGGCCACCAGCAAAGCCGGAGCATCCAGACAGGAGTGGGCAGCCCTGGTTCTAGCCCAGTTGTGTCACAGTCTTGCTGGGGGACCTTGGGCCGGTCCCTTGCCCTCTTTGGGCCTCAGTTTCCTTTTGTAGGACAAGCATGATCATTTCTGCTCTGTCTGCCCCCGAGGGCCTATTGTGAGGATGAAGAGCCATAGAGGAAAATGATGAGAGAACTACAGCCTCTGTGCAATGAGCATCTGCCATGTACTGTAGTCCTCACAAGAACCCACAGGCAGGTGCAGCTATCATGCCCATTTCACAGCTGAGGAAACTGAGGTTCTGAGAAGCTACATCATCAGCCCAAGATCTCACAGCTAGGAAGTGCAGAGTCATGATTTGAACTCTGGCCAGCTGACTTCCAGCCTCCCTGCTACATTGTGAGCTATTGGGCATCACGGACAGGAGAGAGATTCCAGCTGAGACCGCTTATGATGCTGCTATGTTATTATTTATGATTGTTAGGAGACCCTCTCGGGGACCTTCCTCATGTGAGTTGGTCAACAAAAGCTGGAGAAAAAAGGATGTCCTCTTCAGGTTTGGGGTCCTTAGACCCAGAGGGGATGGACTGGAGTAAGATGAGGATTGGCGTGGAGGTGAGCAAGTGGCTCAGTGGAAGTGTGGGGACAGAGCACCCACCAGTGGTAATATCGAAAGCGTGGCCTCCAGTTGGGTGTCCTCAGCAGCGTCTGCACTGCACAGGCCAGATTCACAAACATGTAGCACATCAGGAAGAACCTGGAACACAGGAAGGCCCCAGGGGAGACAGAGATGCAAAGGGAGGCAGAAACAGAAACAACAGCATGGGCAGAGAAAGGGGGAAAGGGGACAGGAAGTCAGGAGGTGGCCAGATCATGCTGTGGTGCTTAGGAAGGGGTTTCAAGCCAAATACCCTCACAACACACCCTAATAACACGTGTGGATGAATCTCTCTATAACAAACGATGGGCTTCTATGACCAATGGGGAACTTCCTGGGGTTGCTAAAGTGTCTGGGTGGGTTGTCACAGGTAACGGCTGCAGGATTCAGATAGAGAAACACCCTGAACCAGGGGGGAGGGCAAGAAGTCAGGCACGCACATAGAGAGGATGGGGGCCACCTCGTCGAGGGATGCAATGAGGATGCCAATCTCGCAGATGCAGGCAGTCAGGAGCAGGGCCCAGGTCGGCTCTCCATTGGCCTTGCCATGGCCAAAGACCTGGGGAAAGAGCAATCATCATGGGACTGAGACCTCAAGGATTTCTCAGCCCTCTCCCCTAGCCTCGGGAACCAGTGGAGTAGAGGCAGGAATCCTATCACCAAAGAGGAGGAAGGGAGAGGATGCATTTCTCTTCCTCCAGGAGAATGCAAATGGATAACAGGCTTTCGCTGCATCTTGCCCACCCTGAGATCGGCACCCCAGTGCCATGAAGTTCAAATGATCCCTAGAGGGGGAAAGCAGCTGCAGAGGACCAGATGGGAGAGGAGCTGTCAGGAAGCCAGCAAGCCACCACGACCCTGTGCTCCATCCGTCTTTTTTTTTTAGCACCATGGTAAAAGCTACCCTTTTCTTGCCCTTTGACTGCCTCCCCAGGTCTCCGACCAACCACAGTGCCAAAACAGGGCCATTTATTTTTTCCCCAAGAGCAGACAGTGCTCCAAGGGATGCACTGACCATGGGCCAAATCCCAAGTAAGACACACTTATCCTTCCATCTGGGTGAAGGAGAAGCCACAGACAGGGCACCACCCAATGCCCTGCCCAACTCCTGACACCCCACACCACCCTGTCCCTGTGCCTCAGACCCTGCCAGATAGGCCTGGCCAGTGCAGTACAGAGCAGAAGTGGCCCAGGAGGTAGTCTAAGGCTGGTTATGGCCCTGGGTCACTGTGTGGTCTCTCTGGGCAGGGGCCTGGCTGGTCTACTGAGGGTGGGCTGTTCTTCTCCCACACTGACCTGCAGGAAGGGCACAATGCCATCCCTCGAGATGGCCTGCAGCAGGCGTGGGGCCCCCGTGAGGCTCTGCAGCCCAGCCCCACAGGTGGAGAAGAAGGATCCGATGACAATTACCCATGGAGATGGCCAGGCCAGAGTGCCCACCACGAGGTTGCCATTCACAGCTTCGCCAAACCTGGAATGATGTGGACAGGAGATGCCAGGTGAGCAGTGCTGCCTGGATTTCCAGGGCAGGTCTCCATACCAACTACAGAACCAACTGTGTGCCTGCCACAGGACTAAGTTCTGTAAGGGTGACAGGGGAGGCAGAGCCCCAAATGTTCCATTGTTTTTTCCTTGATAAAATAATTCTCTAATTTCCTGATACTGAAAACCAGGCCTCTAGGCCTGTCTCCAGCATAGGTCCCAGCCCCACGTCCCCCACTGCATTCCCTTACAGAAGCCTGGTGGTACCAGTGGAAAGTGATTCTGAGAGGACCTCCTACACCACCCGGCCAGTTGTGTGTGCTCATGCCCTTCAGACATGAGTGCTCCAGGACAGTGAGCACTCACAGCTGCAGGCATGCGCACACATTTCTCCCCTCCACCCTGGCTCCCCATTGCCTGGAATGCCCTTCCTCCAAGCTGCCTAATCTCTGCTCAGCCTTAAAAGCAGGAAGGATAAGTGAGATAAAGTGTATAAGACACTTCTAGCCTCCCCTCCTCTGAGAAGACTTCCCTGGGAAGATCCCTAAGGACTGGACTGAAGCCCCTGGGCTTTCCTGTATGGCCACCCCTACCGACTGCACTTAAAGTCTGTTGGCCAGTATAGACCCACCAAGAAGAGCTCCTTCAGTACAAAAACCATGTGTTATTTATCTGTGCTGCCTCCAGAATCTCGGAGGGAACACAGATAAATACCACTCCTGTCTGTGTGACCAACACATGGACATTCAGTAAATGTTAGACACACTATTGAATTAATCCATTTTAAAGAAAAGGAAAGTATCATTATCCTAAAGGAAATGAGACACCATCCAAGCTTCTCAAACTGGAGTGACAGAAGGAAGATGAAATATAAGAAGATGACTTTGCAAGCAATCCCCGTGGCCTCCCTCCCACAGGCCCCTCACACAGGTCCCAGCACCTCCTGATGGGTCTGTTTCCCAGAACTCAGCCTTCTATACCCACCCCTCCCCCAGAATAGGATCAACCCCAATTATCTTACTTGTCCCGCAGGACGACCCCCTCAATGCAGGCCCCAAACAGAACAACGGAGCTGATGTCTGCAGCAGAGGATAAAGGAGAATCCCCACGGTTCAGTCCTCCCCCTCCCCACCCTTCCTGCACCAGCAGGTAAGGCAGCAAGTTCAGCTGCCCTCCCTCTTGCCCTCCCCCGAGGGTGGTCCCAGCACAGCTGTGCAGGATACAGACAGCAGAGGTGGTGGCGATGGCCAGGATGGTGCCAGTGGGGATTGACTTCTGGGCATCCCTCAGGTCCCCAGAGCGGTTAGAACCAGCCATGATCCCTGCAAAACAGAAGTGCAGCTAGGACTCAAGCCAGGGCCACAGGAGACCAGACAGATGAGAAAAAAGGGCACCACCCTCAGGGTCAGTGAGTCTGGGATCTAGTCCTAACATACTGGCTTGTGTGAGACCTTGGACATGTTACTTAGCTTCTCCTGGCCTTAATTCCCTCATCTCTCCAATGGGAAGTGAAATGTTACGGTTGCTTTCATGATGGGGTTTTTGGACTAAGAAATTCCCAACATCATCATCGACTCTCTCTTCCCCATCCACTCACAGGCAGAGTCTTCCCTCTCTGAGCTCCCCTTCACCTGTGACTGAGGGGAAGTAGATGCCAACCAGCAGGGTGAAGTAGGAGGTCATATCACTGAAGACATAAGGGTGGTCCATGTCGATAGGAGTGCCATCGGCCAGGCCCACCGAGGTCATCCCACTCCTCTCCACAATCACGCCCTTGGTCAGGTAGGAGCTCCAGAGGTTCTCTGTGGGGAGACAGAATGCTCAGGGGGAGGCCAGCCATAAGGGGACCAGAGCTCTGGGACCAGGAGGTGGGAGGGGGCAAAAAGTCAGGGTCAAGATCAACCCCATCTCACTCTCCCCGGCCTTATCTCTATTTCATTTCCACTGACATTTCCTAAGCTCCTGATTTGGGCCAGGCTATGTACAGACCTTTCACAGACTAATCAGACCCAGTCACTACCATCAAACAGTCCAATCTAGTGGAGTAAATGAGCAAATAAAGACCCATCTCAGATTGAGTCGATGTGTCCCAAATTGATCTCACCCTCCACCCACCCCAAACCAGCTCCTTTCCTGCATCCCATATTTCAGTAAATGGCACCATCATCAATTCTGACACCCTGCCCTACACTGCTCCCTCTCCCCTTCCCCAACTTCAATACCACCTCCAACTTCTGTCCTTTAACCCCTCCTTAATATTTCTTAAATATGCCCCTTCTCTCCATTCCAAGGTCTCTCCACTGTGGCACTAGTGACACTCCCGGCCAGATAATTCTTTGCTGTGGAGGACTGTCCTATAGCATTGTAGGATGTTTAGCAGCATCGTGGCCTCTACCTACTAGATGCCAGGTACACCCCTCCAGTTTTGACAACCAAAAACGTCTGCAGACACAGCCAAATGTTTACTGGGTGGCAAAACAGCCCTGGTTGAGAAGCACTGCAGTAATTCCCACAGACATCATTCCATCACTCTCACTCAGAAAACCACCATCTCTCTCTCCTGGACTCATAGCCTCAGCCCCTTCCTGGGCCCCCTGCCTCTCTCCTCTCACCCCTTTAACCCATCCACATTAGCAGCCAGAATGAACCTTCAAAAAATGGAGATCTGACCACGTCCCTCCCTTTCCCAAAACCCCTTGGTGGCTCCTCATTGCCTTCAGAATGTGGTCCCAACTCTCCAAAATGGCTTCCAAGGCCTGCCATGATCTGGCTCATGCCAGCCTCTCCTACATCGCTTCTTTCTCCACCTTATTTTGCTCTTTATGCCCCAGTCATACCAAATTACTTGTGATTGGAAAGACACAATAAACTCTTCTGCCTCTGCCTGCTTTTAGGCAAGCTGTTCTTCTGGTTGCAATTTCCTTACTCCTCTCATAGAATTGAAGATCTTTCATTTGTCCTTCAAAACCCTCCTCAGTTGAGTCCAGGAAGCCTATTGCCATCTTATACACATGAACTCTCCCCCCCCGGGCATTCTCTGTGCATTGAATGCACATCTACATATGGCATAATGTATTTGCTATTACATCTATTTCTGCCATTAGTCTCCTTGAGGCCAGGAACTGTGGCTTATTTATTTTGTGTTCCTAGCACTCAGCACAATGCTGGGCACTCTGTAGGTGCTCAGTGACCACCTGTTACGTTGATGACTTCTTTTCCTACTAGCGGTGAGATACTTGTCTCCTTTTCACCTTACTCCTCCCTGATGCCAAGGACAGAATGTAACTCAGAGTAGGTGCTCAATTAAAGCTGATTGAATTTAGCTGAATCCCAAGGAGGGCCCCTTAATCCTGACCGCTTAACCTACAATCCCTGCAGCGTTCCCTGGATGCCAGCCCTTGTCCCTCCGCAGACCTTTGATGAGGCCACTGGCAGCACCAGGGATGCCCTGGATCTCTGTGACATTGTTTCGGGTGAAGTATTCATCACAGGTGGCGTTGAGGAAGCGAGAGGAGCAGAAAAGGCCCCATAGCCGTGTGGTCACCGTCTCATTTCCTTCCCAAGCCAGCTTGGCACAGACATCAAAGCCATGGCGAGACAGCGTGCGGTTACCCAGGAGGCAGATCCTAGGGAGAGAAACAAGGGAGGAAGGTGGGGAGCCACATAACCTTGCCCTCGCTGCACAATACAGCCACCGGGAGACCTTTTAAACACACGGACGCCAGGTCCCCATATCCAGAGTTCCTCGTTTAATTTAAATGAAGCCTGGCCATTGGCTTTTTTTTTTTTTTCTTAAGCTCCCCAAGTGATTCTAATAAGCAGCCAAGGTGGAGAAGCACCGCATTAGTGCAATGCTGTGTTTCAGCACCGTGGACAGCGGTCTCGGGGGCCGCCCTCCACCTCTGAGCAGTGGATGGAGTGGACTTGGATCTGAGTCCCTGGACCCTGTAGACTTCTGTGTCTTTTCCCATCCTGGAGGAGTTGTCCAACACTAGGAGATTGTCCCATTCCAGGAGGTTGTCCCCACCCAGGAAAGGTTTCCCTACCACAGACAGCATTCATTGCTTTGGAACTCATTCCCACTTAATTCTTCCTAAGTCCACCCTACCAGCAAGAAGTTGACTCTTACAAGGTAAATTGTTCCCTCCTCCAGAAAAGTTACCTCACTCTGAAGAGATTGCCCCCAAACTAAGAGAGATTTTCCCTCCCAAGGGAAGCTACTCCCAACCCACACCACTCTGAGATTCTGAGGGGCAGGGAGGGGGAGTTTGGCAGAGACTCTGAAACAGGGCCAGGGAGGTAGGAGGACGATTCCTTGGGCTCAGAGCAGCAGCACTCACGGGAAGTTGGGTGGGTCGAAGGCAGACTTGATGACCCCAGCATAGATGGCCAGGATGGAGAGGATGACACAACCCAGGAAGACAAGGGCAAACTTGTTGACATACTTGACACCCACAAACACCACAGTGGCCATGCAGGTGAGCACACAGGTGCCGTAAACACGCATGTTGTTCAGCATGGCTGCTGCCTCCCCACTGGCATCTTCTGCCTTGAAGATGGCCATGGCTGGGAAGAGGTAAGCCTGTGGGAAAGGGGCAGGAAGAACAGATACCTAAGTCAGCAGCCCTTTGCACTACATGCAGCGCTTTAGGAAAAAAGATGCTCATCACAGCACAGTCACAGTGGTACCAGACTGGAAAAGACATCCAGTAATAGGAGAATCGCTAAAGAAGGCATGGCCTGTCCTGCAAGGACTATGATGCAGCCATTTAAAAATGACATTATAAGGCCAGGCATGGTGGCTCACACCTGTGATCCCAGTGTTTTGAGAGGCCAAGGTGGGAGGATCACTTGAAGCCAGGATTTCAATACCAGCCTAGGCAACATAATGTGACCCCATCTCAAAAACAAATAAAAATACATTTTTTAAAAAATGACATTGCAAGGATGCTGGAAGCAATTACTTCTGTTATTTTTGTTAATTATAATTCTTAATAATTATTTATCATTTTAATAATTTCTAATAGAAAGGTGGAAATAAATGTTCATCACTCGAGGTTGGGTGAATAAATCATGATATCCCCACAGACTATGGAGCTATTAAAAAAGATGATGTAGTTGGTTTTTTATTGTTGTTGTTGGTTTTTTATTGTGGTGGTGGTTTTTTTGTTTTTTTTTTGAAATAAAGTTTTGTTCTTGTTGCCCAGGCTGGAGTGCAGTGGCACGATCTTGGCTCACTGCAACCTCCACCTCCTGGGTTCAAGTGATTCTCCTGCCTCAGCCTCCCGAGTAGCTGGGATTAGAGGTGCCCACCACCACCCCTGGCTAATTTTTGTATTTTTAGTAGAGACGGGGTTTCACCGTATCAGTCAGGCTGGTCTCGAACTCCTGACCTCAGGTGATCCAACTGCCTCGGCCTCCCAAAGTTCTGGGATTACAGGCATGAGCCACTGTGCCCGGCCAGATGACATAGATTTATATGGACTGACTTTAAAAGCTATCCATGGTACATTAGGTGAACACAATCAGGTTTTTGAAAAAGAATATGTCTCATTATCTCATTTTTATAAATGTGTATGTGAAGATATATACGTATATTAGTATACGTCTGTATGTGTTTTCATAAGTACATCAAAATGTTGTCAGTAGTTTTCCCTGAATCGTAAAAAATGTGGATAATCTATTCTTTATGCACATCTGTATTTTCTAAAATTCCCATGCTAAATATTAACGTTTACATTCTTCCAAGAGTTATTTTCACTGCAAATAATATATACAAAGAGAATATGAGTTGCTTAGGTATAGGGTTATATTTTACATAGACAGAATACAATACCACATAGAAAAACAAAAACTAGAAGGCAATACACCAAAATGTTAATGGTTATTTTCTTTGGGTGACTTATTTCCTTCTTTACATTTTTTCATGACTTGGATATTCCCCCAATTTTCTGCAATGGGCAGAATTGCATTTACAACAATTTTCAAATATTTTAATTTTTAGAAGTCATGGAGGTCTATTCTCCCTCATCATTTGCCTCCTCAGGCCTTTCATGCCCCATCCATCCTCCCTGTCCTACCCTCTTCCATCCTGCCGTGACACTAATTGCTGTGACACCTTCTAGTTCTAGGTTTCCAAGGCAGTGTGGTATAGAGGACACGTAAATGTATCAAGAAGTAGGCGTTTGGTGAATATTTGATTTTTTAGAGAGAATGGGAAGAATTCAGTTACAATGCTGTTTGTGACATGTAATCTCATTTTTTGTGAGTCTGGACCTACCATATGTTAACTATTGTAAGATTATAGGTGAATTTTATTTTCTTCTCTACCCTTATCATTTTCATCAATGAAGCTGCATCACTTGTGTAAGGCTCTGGAAGTCAGAAAGACCAAGGTTCATATTCCTTCCATTCGTTCCTTAAACTCTGAGCCTTGCTTTCCTCATCTGTAAAATGGCCACCTTTTAGCCAGGTGCAGTGGCTCACGCCTGTCATCCCAACACTTTGGGAGGCTGAGGTGGGAGGATCATTTTAAACTCAGGAGTTTGAGACCAGCCTGAGCAACATAGTGAGACCCCTATCTACAAAAAAATACAAAAATTAGCTGGGCATGGTGGTGCTTACCAGCTACTTGGGAGGCTGAACTGGTGGGGGGGATCATTTGAACCTGGGAAGTCGAGGCTGTCAGTGACTGCACCACTGCCCTCCAGCCTGGGCAACAGAGTGAGACTCTGTCTCAAAAGAAATAAAAAATAAAATAAAATAAAATGGCCACCTTTAACTCATGAGAGAGTCATGACGATAAAATAAAATGATATACTTCAAGCCTTGGGGCCTGCACAGAGTAGGGGCTTGGGACATGTCAGCTCTACTTCCTATCCACCAGGGACACCTCTTCAGCACCCATGCCCTACAGGAAGGGGATGAAGGATGGAGACCTAAGTCACCAGTCCTGACTTCAAGCACTGCCCAGCAACCTGGTTTCTCTCCATCAGTCACTATTCCCAACAGATGTCTTTATACGGATCCCTCCCCTGGTTCTTCTCTTTTGCAATCCAATAGCCACCAGCCATCTACCATTAACATCATAGAGTACCTAGCACAGTCCATGCCCCTTGGGAGGCAATCACACAATGGTAGCTGCTGCATAACATTACTGTTTTTATTTCTACCATATTTTAACTCATCAACCCACCTCTGCCGCCTATCTGAGAGCTGAGTGACCTTGAGGAAGTTATCTCACCTCTCTGAGCTTCTCATTTGTAAAATGGGCATCATAATACTTAAACCTCGTAAGGATACAAGAGAATGGCTGGAAAGCACTTGGAAGGATGCTGAGAGCTCAGTGGGGGCCTGATAAACGACAGCTGTGTATGTTACATAATTATTGTATCTTGTCTCCCCAACTAGACTGTGAACTCTTTAGAAACAGAACCACATCTGACTTTGGCCTTACTGAACCACATTTTTGGCCTCACTGAATGGCCTGGCCTATAGGAGGTGTCCAGGGAGCACTGATTAACTGACTGACAACCTGGGGTTCCACACCTCCTCCTCAGCCTCTCTTACCAGCAGGATTTCGATGGTGCCCAGGATGTACATGGCTCCTGCAAAGGTAGTGCCCAGGTAGAAGCAGAGGCCCACGGCACCCCCAAACTCTGGGCCCAGAGACCTGGAAATCATGTAGTAGGAGCCACCAGCTGCAGGGAGAATCTGGTATCAGCGAGAGGGTCGGGGGCACTGGGCTGCCGTAAGGGGTGAGGGGTGTTCAGTGACAGAGGCAGAAGGGGGTTGCTCCAGGCCTCACAGGCTTATGGGCTGCAGCCCTAGAAAGGGGACTGGTGAGAGACCCAAGCAACCACTCTGCATGGATTTTGCAGCACTAATTACCATGTTGCTAATTACCCCTTTAAGGAGGTCATGGCTCAGAAAATTGGATGGTGGAGAGGAGGGTCTCAGGATGAGTTGGGGGAGGGCTGCCCTATTCAACACCGAGAGCTGCCTCCTCCTCTGCCCCCAATAGGGCTGAAAACAGATACAGCCCAGCCCCCTAGTCTAGAATATTATCTCTCTTGGGCCTTGATGTCCCCCAAAGCCCAGGGCACTATCCCTCCTTCCACCCAGCCATCCTCCCTCCCCACAAAGCCCCAGTCACCTACCAGGCACAACACCATTCGTTGCAATTGCACTCATGGAGATGGCCGTGAGCATCGTCTGTGAGGAAAGAGATCATCAGAGCGGTGGCTGGGGTAGGGGCCGCAGTGGCCTGGGTGGGGGCCAAGCCTTATACCCCATAAACACCAGCCAAACCCACAGGTTCTCTTCTGCTGAGCTGCTCCCTGGACCTGTTCCAACTTCTACTCCTGCCAAGTCCTTCTTCTCAAGAAAACCTTATTCACCATGCGAACGGAAGGAGCCCAAGCAAGCCACAGCATCAGAGAGCTCTGGAAATCCCAGCCTGGTCTCAGACCAGCTGCCTGACCTGAGACAACTCACTTCACTTCTCCAAGCCTCAGTTTCTCCATCTATAGAATAGGAGTAACAGCTCCGACACTGCGTACCTCACATGCAGAGCTGTCTCAAGGTTATGTACGAGGACATGTAAATATATCAAGAAGTAGGTGTTTGGCGAATATTTGATTTTTTTAGAGAGAATGGGAAGAATTTGGTTACAATGCTGTTTGTGACATGTAATCTCATTTTTGTGAGTCTGGACCTGCCAAAATGTTAACTATTGTAAGATTATAGGTGAATTTTATTTTCTTCCCTACCCTTATCATTTCCATCAATGAGCTGCATCACTTGTGTAATTACACACAGAGAGATCCAGGTGAAACCTGGTTAACAGCCATCAAGGACAAGCCTGTGAGATGCAGGAAGGACCAGTCAGGCCTAATTTACTCTCAAAGATCATAAGCAGTGGTTCCTATAAAAAGCTCAGGTCTCATGCTTCCATCCTCCCACCTCCCACCCCCAGGCCTCTGCCAAGCCCCAGCTGTCAGGGGGTGGTGAGGGGAGGGGTGTCACTCACACAGGAGCAGCAGATGAACACCATGCAGAAGGACTCCATGATGCCTGCAATGCCCACCACCCAGGTGAGCCGCAGGAAGAGGATGACGCCAAAGATGTTCTGCAGGCACGGCAGGTACACGCCCATGAAGGTGCCCATGCGTGGGGCCTGCCAGGGAGGCCAGCATCAGTCTCTGCAGTCCTCATCATTACGAACACCCCAGGTGTGCTCCTCCTCCATGTTTCTCTGCCCCCACCTTCCTCTTCTCTCTATTCTCAACCCTTCATCCCTCTTCTTTCTGATTTGTATCCCCTTTCCCTCCCTCCATTCAAATCCATTTTCCTCCCCCATCCTCCCCCACCCCCCATCCGTCCCTTTTCTTCCATTTCTCATCCCCCGAGGTCCTCACCTGCACCGGCTTCTTTTTTCCACCCTCATTGTTTTCTGCCTCTTCATGCTCCCTACTTCCCTGGGGCAGGTTGGTGTAGTTGGCCAGGCCACTGAGCAAGGAGGACACCATAGGGCTGGTGTCCATCTCCTCCTATGGAGGGAGGGTGTCAGTGCTAGGAGGCTGGGGGAGCAAGTGGAGTGAGCTGGGTGGCGAAGGGCAGAGGAAGAGATGGGGACAAGGAGCACGAAACTATTCAGGTTGGGATGAGATGGGAAAGGAGGAGGAACAGGTGAGGAGAACAGGGGTAAGAATGGTAGGATGAGGAGAGGGCAGGGAGCAGAGGGAGTAAATCCCAGGAGGGAGAAGGAGGGATGGGGAGGCTCAAGGAAGAAGGTAGACTCAAGGGAGGGGTGGAGACGAGGGTATTGCTCCCTAGGGAGGGAGGGAGAGAGCAGCTGATGAATCAGGATAATGAATTGTAGGTGGGGGCCCAACAGCCCTAGCAGCCCACCTCAAACAAGGCCATGTTCTTGCCATCATACTCCTTTCCCTTCTCTGTGTCGGTGCTGTTGATGAAGGGACTGCTTTCCTTGGGGTTGCCATCACCTGAGAAGGGAGAGGGGTCAGGGATCTGGAACCAATCAGTTGTTGTCCAACCACCTGGGCATACAGTGGTGTAGCCACAGTAGCCCTCTGAATCTCAGTTCGCGCATTGGGAAAATGGGGCTAATACCACCTTCCTTGCAGGGTTGCAGTTGACAGCATGTATACAGAGCCTAATGCACTAGCTGGTATGCACTGCGTATTAACAGATGTGTGAGTGCTTCCTTGCTCTTGGGGGTCCTATTCCATTTACCAGGACACCCCAAGACTCTCCAGAGTTTCCTTCTTAACTATAGCTGGGCTCATACCGGTGTTTGGGGTGGAGGCATGTTCTTTCCCAGTGGAGAAGGTCTGCCTTCCAGGAGCACTACAGATCAAGGCCCCAAGGATGTGCCACTTCTTGAAGAAGTGACCCCCTCTGACATCTCCTATGCCCTTTATTCATCTTCATTCACAATGTGTTTACCAAGTGTCTACCGTGTGCCAATACAGGCATGGGGGAAGCAGGGTAAGACACAGAAGACATCATCCTTGTTCTCAGGAAAGCAACCCAAGTGCAGGGAGACAAACCAGTAGCCAGGAATTTCCAATCTGGCATGGTCAATTCTAGGATAGAAGATCAAGGGACTGGGACACAGGAGAGGCATCCAGCCCAGATTGGGAGGTCATGGGAGTCTTCCCAGAGGAAGTGACGTGTCCGCTGAGAGCTGAAGAATGAGTAAGAGCTAGCCTGGGAGGGAGGAAGGGAGGGTGTTCCAGGCAGACAGAATAGCAGAACAGCATGTTCAATGGCCCAGAGGTGACAGTGAATAGAGTGGGTTAGAGGAATGAAGTATGATCTGGCTGGAGTCTGTGGAAGGGGCAGTGAAAAGTGAAAAGGTGAGCCTGGGAAGGGAAGCGCAGGCTGGTCCCTTAAATGATTAGCAGGTCGTGTTCAAGAATGTGGACCTCATCCAGAGGGCAATGGGGAGTCATTGAAGAGTTTCAGGCAAAAAAAAAATACCATGAATAAACCCATGTTTTAGAGCCATCACTCTGGCTTTTAGGTGAAGAAAACAGAGTACCGTAGTTAGAGACTTTCAGTAACCCAGGTAAGGGCTGATGATGTGCCTGACCAGAGCAATGTAGAGCAACAGACAGAATTATTGGCATATTTCCATGCCAGATGTTTGGGGAGGGGGAGAGGAAGAACCTAGGATAATGTCTGCGGTTTCTAGCATGGGTGAATGGTTGGATGATGGTGCTATTTGATAAATGGGAAGACTAGAAGAGAAGGAGTTTGGAGGTGGGGAAGATGCTGAATTTAGCTGAGGGTGAGGCACTGTAGGGCACTCAAGTGGATACATGCAGAAGCCACCTGGATATACGAATCAGGATACATGCAGCAAAGAGGCTAGGCAGGAGAAAGAGATGGGGGTAAGCTATGTAAACATGTGTAGTATGCGTGTGAAGCCATGTGCCTAGATGAGATCACTCGAGGAGAAAGTATCTTGGGCACCAGGGGGGAAGGTCCCTTCAGAAAGATATAAGAGGCCCCATAGGTACATTTCCTTGGCTTCAGCCATGACCCTTCCTCAATTCCGGGGCTGAATTCCAGCAGTTGACATCTCTCTGGACACTGGAGAAACTCCCCGCTGATCAAATTCCAAGTGAAATTGAGGCCCTAGGCACCTAGATTCTCCTGTCCCCTCGATGGCTGACATCCCTTTCTCCCCATCTCCATCCGTCTGCGTCTTCCCCATCCTCCTCTCTACCTCCGGGAAACCTTCCTCAGTCACCCAGCCAGAGCATGGCCTGTCTCTGTTATAAAACCAATCTCTTCCTGACTAAAAATTGGGCCAGGAGGAGTGATGCCTCGCCTGCTCCAAAGAAACCCACCACCCAGTCTTCTGCCACCACCTCCACCTCATCCATCAAGGCAGAAACTCCCGGTTGTCAAATAGGGTGCAATCGTCAGCTCTTTCTTCTCACATATGTGAGTTCCTGGGAATAAGAGACCCACCTCCCAGCACATAATAGGTGCTCAGGAAAAGTCTTTGGAGCTAAGTTCTCCAGGGCTCCCTTCTGGACCCCAGGGTCTCAGAAGAGCTCTCTGGGGCCAGAGAACAGGAGAAACAAGGAAGAGGTCCTTTTAAAATGCTGATAGTATGCCTCCTGTTCTCAGCACATCATGGTGTGGACTAGAGACTGAGGGGACCTGAGGTGAAAGGATGTTTCCTAACGGTTAAAAAAGGGGGCTGGAGTTATGGAAACTGACATTCCAGTCCCAGCTTCACTGGCTGTGTCGTCACTTTCAGCAAGTCACAAATTCTCTACGCCTCAGTTTCCTCCTTTGCAAAGGGATACTAACCAAGCTTAACTCATAGGGCTGTTGCTAGGATTAAATTAAATCATGCATATTAGGTGTGCCCGCCACGAGTGTGGCTATTGCTATCATTACAATTGCGATTATTATTAACATACTTGGTGCCCACCCAGCCGGGGCTCCCCATCCCACATCTCCAGCCGCATATCCAGCCGCAAGATTTTGGGGTCCTGTCTCCTATGGAGCTGGGTCCATTTCCCCGCAGCATCCCCTCTTAGGGCCAGGACAACCAGACAGGAGAACCCC
Source organism: Homo sapiens (assembly GCF_000001405.40). Taxonomy (NCBI): domain Eukaryota; kingdom Metazoa; phylum Chordata; class Mammalia; order Primates; family Hominidae; genus Homo; species Homo sapiens. Next base: position 46,032,339 of record NC_000020.11, on the reverse strand, counting down.
TCCCCTCTGCCTTTCACACCCCCTCCCAAGCGCCTCCTCCTTCGCGGGGGCGGGTGGCGCTCAGGGGACAGGAATAGGGGCTTCCTGGCCCGAGACCCTGCAACTAGGTGGCCCCGCGCCGGTCTCCATGGCGACCGCGCAGGCCGAGAGCGCAGCGCCGAGCCTAGCCGGCCGCGCGCCCGCAGCCGCTTATGTAACGCGGCGCGCAGCGCGGAGCCAGACTCCAGGCCGGATCCGGGCCAGGAGATGAGGGCAGGGGAGAGGGCGGCTAGGTAGGCTAGTTCTGGGTCCCGCCTTTCCAGTAGCTGCCTGGGCGGGACGCCAGGCTCCCGGGACTTGTCAGCCAGGGCTGATTTCGTCCCCTCCCTGAACGCCAGGCGCACTGGTTGAGGGGGATGGGGAATGAGCTTCCGAGTTCTCAAAGGACCAGAACAGCTAAGGGGAAACTCGCCCTGATTCCCCGGAGCCAAGGAGTAAGGGTGATGGCGGGAGCGCCGAGCGGCGCGCGCGCGAGAGGCAGGGCCAGACTGAGGCTGAGCCCTCCCCGCCCCCGCCCCCTGGGAGCTCTCAACCCGAATCGGCTTTCAATTAAGCTGCGGCGGCCAGAGCTCCCGGGGAGGAAACAGGCGAGCGGCGCAGGCTAAGAAGCCTCCCCGGGGCCTGGGGCTGGGCCTGGGGGAATCCCTAGGCCAGGTCCGAGAGGGAGACGGGGCGTCAGACCCCAAGGAGAAAGAAGACCGGGACACATCCCTGGGCTCTTCTTTAGTCCAGAAGTGCCCTCTTGCTCGGGTCATCCCCACCTGCCCGAGGTCAGCAACCAGTTCCTTCCCGTACATCCCCAAGAATCTAGAATCAGAGATGTCAGGGGCTCTTGGCCTGATGGTCCTCTCTCAAGCCCAGAAGGTCCTTAGCACCTCCTACTACCATCTCCAAGCACCGCTTGGAGGAGGGGGGACTTCTCTCTCTGGGACCCACAGCACATGACCCAGGTTCTGGCCATTTGAGTTCCAGGTCCTGGACCCTATGTATAGAAAGAAGGTCTCCAGATGGGTCCGCTGCACTCAGTGTCTAGAAACTAACGGAGAGGGGATAGAACTGAAGCGAGTTCCTAGTTCAACTCTTGCCTCACACACACTGATGCCTCTTTTCTAGGCCTCCTGAGCCCCTGTGGAAACCCCAAGGCCTGGTGAAACCTTGGCAGAGAAAGCGGGTGCTGGGAAATGGGACCATACCTGGTGTCTGAGGGAACAGAGAGATGCTCTCCATCTGAGTCCCCCTCTCAGAGTGGAGGCATCTGAAGGGGATCCCGGATGGAAAGATCCGCGTCGGGATGCCTGGCGCTGCCGCAGACTCAACTTTGCCAAACCCCCTCCCCCTCCGGCCAGAAGCCCGCGGGGGAGGGGGCGGATGCTGGATGAGGTGATCCCAGGGTCACTGGGGAGGTGGATGAGAGGGCCAGCTAGGAGTTCTGGCACCTGTATACCACTCAGCCCCCAGGAGGAATGAGGAGTTGCGGGAAGCGGCGGGGGGTGGGGGGGAGTCAGACAAAGGATCAGGGACCCTGGTGTCCCCAGCCTTTCCAAGCGGCCACTTGGCCCTGAGATCCAGGATCCGGAGGACCTCAGAGTCAAGGTTGCCAATCCCTAGAAGACCCTGCTCTTTCAGCCCTAGGCGCCATCCGCCAGAGGGATCTGCGGGAGTCTAGGCTCATAGGGTCAAGCAGTGCCCAGGGGAACGTTTGAAGGCGCTGAGCGCAGACAGCAGGCGCGGGAGGCGCGCTAGTGCGCAGGGGACGCAGCGCCGCTGGAGAGTGGGGGGTGGGGGTGGCTGACAGCCGTGATGGATGGCTGAGACCGCTCGGGGGCGGCGGGGGGCCTGGGAGCCTGAGGGGGTGGCTGGCCCCAAGACCTCGGAGCAAGGAAGCCGCGGAGGAGGGCGGGGGAGAGCGGGAGCAGCGAAAGGACTTGTCCCAAGCCCCTCGGCTCCTTGCGAGTCTCCGCACCCACCGCAGCGCGTCCGCAGTGTCCGCGTCGCGGCGCTGAGGAATCAGCCACTGGGACCCCATTTCTGAGGCCTCACTGGGGAAGCTAGCAGAGCTAACTAAAAAGACTCCCCCCCGCCCCGCCCTGGACCGCCCCAGGGAACTGAGAGGAGGGGGAAAGAGGGAAGAAAGGAGGGTGATCTTGCTTCCCGTCCTGAATAGGAACCCACGGGAAAGCGAGAGAGAGATTCTGCAAAGTAGAGCTGAAAATCTATGGAGGAAGTACGCTTCAGTCTGAGGTCGGACCTTGGGAAGCCTTGGGGGAGGGGTCCCAGATTGCACCAAGGGGACAATCTGGGTGTCTTAAGGAGACACCACAGCCCGGACGGGGGGCTGTCATATGGCTCCAAACCCCCTACACACACACACACACACACACACGCACACACACACATACGCACGCGCGCGCACACACACACACACACACACACACACACACAGCCACCTCTTCCCCCATCTTCCAGATGGAAGTCTTAGAACGAGGGACTGCAGCAGACTGCGCCCCCCGGCTCCACGGGTGCCTGCTCTGCGCCAGGACGCCGGGGTCCCCTGTCGGGGAAAGGAGCCCTCCTCCCGCCGTCGAGCTCCACATCAGCCCATTCTAGGTCTTCTATCCCCTTCCCACCGCCTCCTCGGTTTAGCTAACCCAAGTCAGCCCGAAGCCGTGGGCAGCGATAATCCCCCGGCCCGCAGCTCTGCCCCCGGGCGCGGCGCATTCCAGCACCTTGGACAGCGCCCGGAGCATTCCAATGGAGCTGAGCTCCAGGCTGCAACTGGCGCCCACCGCCCGGGTCAGTCCCAGCCTCCTCTCTGAAGGAGGTGGCCCCCGCTCCGCCTCTAACCCCAGAGCTGCCTCCTCTCCTCGCTGCCCCCTCCCCCGCCGCCCCCGGACCACAGCTTACCCGGGTTGGCTCCCCCATCGCCGTCCTCGCAGTCCGTCAGGTTGTTTAGCATGGTGGCGGCGCGGCCCCTGGTCCGGGGATGGCTGCGCCGCCTCGCCCGCGCCCCTCTACCCGCCTTCGCCGCTCTCTCGTTCGCTGTAGCTCTGTCTCGCTCTCCGCTCCACGGAGGAAGAAGCTGCAGTGCCCGCCCGCCCGGCGCACACACACTCGCACACGGACACACGCTCACACCCGCGCGCGCCCCCTCTCAGCAGCGGCGCTGCTCACCTCATCCCGTATGCAGGAGGCGTGAGCCACTGGCGGGGTTTTGGGGGGAGAGCGGGAGGGAGAGAGAAGAGAAGATGAGGGGCGGGCAGAGCCCGACTAGTGGCCCCCTTGCACAAAAACTGGGGGATTGCGTGGGTGGGATGAAGGGGGTGCTTCGGGGGACAGGGCCTCGCCTCCCTTGAGCAGACGCAGCTCCCCCCACCCACTCTCCGGGCGGGGCCCGGCACGTGGGCAGGTGCCATCCCGCGCCCTAAAAATAACGGCAGGGAACTAGGTCGCGGCCGCGGGGAGGCGGCCCCGCAGCGGCTGCTTGACTGGGGGTCTGGGGTAACCCCCAGGGGGAAGATAAAGGGCACTGAAGTGGCCGTGGAGGTGCGCCATGGAACATGGGGCCCTTGGGAAGCCTCTCTGCAAGACTGGAGAGGCCAGCCCTGAAGTGGGGGAGGAGAACCAGACCCTCTTTCATACCACTGCTCAAGAGATTGGAGCTGGAGGCATGTAGAGCCCAGGGCCCATAATTAAGCAATGTGCTACCCCCAGGGGCGTTCAGGTCACTGGGCTGACTGACCCAATCTGTCTTAAAATGGGTGGGGTAGCGCCTGAGAAGTTCCAAGGAACTCTCTCATTGTGCTTAGACTGACAAGAGTCCCAGCGTCCCACCCCCAAGACAAGTCCCTGGAGCCCACAGCCAGGGACCTTCTGACTGCGGACTGATCTAGAGATAAGACCTGGTGAGGAGGAGCAGAAGAGGCAGCAGTGAGTTTCCAGGGAGCACTGACTTTCCATCAGGGATGGTGCAGCCTCTAGGGAGGACAGGCCGGTCCTGAGGCTGGCCAGGGACAGAGTGGGGGAGGGCGGAATGAGGCCGCCTGTCGGTTTGAGACCAGATTTTCTCCTGGGGCAGAAGTGTCTAATCCCCTAATCCAGGATTGCTTTCTGAGGCTTCCAGAGCCGACATGCTCTCTGTCCTCCTCCCCTCTTCCCTTAGGCCAATCCCCCAGAAGCTTGATCATCCTGGGACCCCTCAGAGCCCCTAGAGTCCAGGTTTGAGCCAGTGGTGCAGACATCTCAGGAAGTGGCATCAGAGGTTTGAAAGCTTTGAGTCTCTAGAAGATCTAAACATCTGAGGGTGGGAGCAGATCGGGGTAAACAATCTTCACACTGGTACTAGCTCTCTCCCTGGCTCTCTAAGTTCCAGAAAAGTTCTTCGGTTGGGAAAAGATCAGTCATTGTATCTTACACACAGCTTTCATTTCACAGATGAAAAAACTAAGGCCCATAGAGGGAAAATGACTGCCTGTGGACATAATGCCAGTGGATGGCAGAATTTGGTCTAGCATCCAGTTTGCTTTACTCCAGTTTAGGACTCTCTTCATTGATAGAACTTATAAAAGTCGTCTTGCCTCCATAGAAGAGACAAGGATGCAGTCATATCCATGCCCCTCAGCAGCCTCTGATTATTAGCTCCTGAAAAACAAACAAACAAACAAACAAACAAACAGGCACTACATCTGAGATGTGCTTTATTCCTTTTCTTGTGCTCAGGCTTCAGAGGTGCAGGGCTAGAATGGACTCTTGGCTTGCAACTGAAGGGGAAGCCTCCAGAAAACCTGCAAAAATCCTAAAGAGCCATTCATATCCCTGGAGACCGGGGTATAGGACAGGACTTTTTTCAGGACCATGGACAGGATCCAGGGCTCAGCTTTACTTGTATTAATACAATTTGTCAGTGGCTTCAGATTGGGTCAACCGTGGAGTTTTCAGCAGCTGACTCAAAAGTGCCTCTGAGGGACCTACCAATCAAGTATCGCTGCCACTTGGTTTTTTGGATACCCAAAGGACCTTTCAGGGTGGAGAGTTAGCTATTCAGACAAGTTGTGGGCACTGGTATTCTTGGCTCTCCCAGAGAAAAAAACCACCAAAAGGGTGAGATGAGTTTGAATTGGTGACAGAGGTTAAAAGAAGCCAGTGTTCAAAAATTTTTAAGCATGCCACTCCACTCTACACACACACAGCACTAGCAGCAGCAGCAGCACTGTGTTCTACTACTCTGCAGAGATGCATAACAGTAAAACACGTGTAGCATGTTTGTCAGAGAAGTGCTGTAGAATGAAGGAGATGCTAAGGTTTTTCAGTAATCCTAGGTCTGGCATGTTCCCCTGGGGTTATTTTCCTTCATTTGTGGTCCAGCTTTGGCCACTCAGAGACTAAGCCCATGCATGGGGAAACCTAGATTCTAGGGAGTACGGGTGAAGGCAGGAGTGATTCCTCTTTCCCTGGGGAACCCATCTGTCCACCTTCACTAGAGTTCCCATCTCAAGAGCCATCTGAGATTCAGGAGATAGTGGTTCTGTCATATCCTCTGCCCCCAAATTCTCTGTGTATCTCTGGGCAAAATCAGGTTCCTCTCTGTGGGCCTCAGTATCCCGTCTGTAAAAATGAGTTAGGTCGTATAATCCATGGCACTTCTTCCTGCTCTGAAAACTCTTAGTGCTCTATTAATCTCAGACCAAAGCCACATATCCCTTCCTAAGGAGCCCCGACCAAGTGAGCAGACAGTCCCAAGGGGGGACCCCAGCCCCTCCACTGACACCCCTCACCTCTCAGGAAGACTGTGCCCTATTCTGGCCTCCAGCCAACTCTCTGTGGTGAGGTTCAGAGAAAACACATGGCAGGCACCCACCACACTGCCAGCCTGGCACTGGCCAGTAAAAAGTGACCCACAGCTCAGAGCCCCAGGAACCTGGCTGCCAGTACAGCATCCCCTCCCCACCAAGAACCCTGGGGAGATCTGGGGCCAGAGAAACCCTCTCACTAAAGCAGCACAAGATGCAGGGCTAGGGAGGGTCCTATTTCTAAACTCTGAGTCTCTCAAACTCATACCCCCTCCCACCATATGTCTCAGAGAGAAAAAAGCTCAGAGAAGCTGCCTCCTGAGTGTCAGGATTTGGGAACTGGAAGAGATATTATAAATTATTTTCCACTCTCCACTTATTGTGAAATTGGAGTCTGAAAATGGAAAGGTTCATATTTTCTTCATGGGGTGAACTTGTAACAGACTAGGGACTAGAACCCAGCCCCTTGACCTCCTGTCCGGGACTCCATCCACTGAACCAGGACAAGGGGCTGGTTGGAGGAAGCTAGAGCCACCGGACTGGGTCCTCTTTTCACAGGAGGCAGGCATAGCATTCCTCCTTATGGCTCAATCCCTCTCCCTCCGCATCTCCACTGCATTACCCCCACAACCTAACCCACCCACCGCTGGCTGTGGCCTTATGGGCCCAGGGTCCTGAATGCCCTCCTTCACTCTTCTTCTTCCCCACCCGCATGCCCCATCCTCGGACCCAAAACTGTAGCAGTGAATTGATGAGTCCAGCGCAAAGCACGCCCCACACACACAGGGCTCACTGCGGAGCACGTCAACCACCACTGTCTCCGTGGCAACCGGGGGTTTAATTAACAGGCTGCAGCCCCATCACCATAGCAACAGCACCCCAACAGCCCCTCATTCCTCTGCAGACTCAGTCCATCTTCCCTCTTTCCCAATCCGGACCCCTTTCTCACTGCACTCACCCCCCGATCCCCACCCCACCTGGAGAACTGAGGCCTAAAGATCGCTCTGGTTCATTGAGAAAAGGGGAGGGGAGAGGAGGGGGATGAGAGAGAAAGAGAGAGCAGCCTGTCACCATGGCAACTGCAGCCCCGTTCATAACCAGTTTGTTGCCATGGAGATTCCTAGGGCTCACCTTGGGCTGAGGTACCGGGCAGTGAGGTTCTGAGTTCTGGCTTGGGGATGAGATGACTGGAGATCTCCTTAGACAGACTGGAAATCTCCAGATCCAACATATATACCAATAACAGCATTATTCTTCCCAATTTACAGATGGAGAGACTGAAACATGAGGTTTGTGTCTAGAGAAGGCAGACAGCTTCATCCTTCCAAATCATCACAAAATCTTAGCATTTTTATGGTTAGAAGGACCCTTAGATAGCTTCCTGTTCAACTCCTTTATACTACAGATGGGTATATTAAGGCCCAGAGAGGGGAAGAAGTGTGCCCAAGGTCACACCACAGAGCCTGAGCTAGAACACAGATGGGCTACATTGTGGTCTTGCTCCATCCTCCCAGCATAAGTTAGCTCCCTCTCCCTCCATGGGGACACATCCCAACTCCTGTTAGTCCTACCAGGCCCAGGGCTCTTTTCAGGGCCCTGACTCCCCCCTGAGAAATGGAGGCATAGTAGAGGATCAGATAAAGGAATAGGGGAGCATCTCAGAGTTGTAACAACTGTCACCAGGTCTACTTCTGTTCATCCAAGTCACCATCAATCTCCCATGACACAGGTGAAGCAAGTGAGGTGTGTGGCCCGCAATCCAGGGTTAGTGGCAGATTTGAGGCTTGGCCTTGCCTTGCTTCTTTAACTCCCTGTAAGTCATGTTCTCACCTATGGCTCATCCTCTGGCAGCAGAAAGCCCCCCAAGTGGCAAACCCCACTCATTTGGCCCAGAGTAAAAGATAATACACACCCACACCATCTCCCCCAACCTTTCCCAGTCTTAGACATGCTGCTATCCCTCCCTTTGGGTGAAGACAAGAGGTGGAAAGAGAATCTATCAGGGGCTAGAGGGCTGACACAAGAACAGCTATGGGAAAGATACCAGCAGATGCTGGGTTCCCCTAAGTAGCCCTTGTCTACTTCCCCATACAGTGATCTGCCAGAGAGGAGGTGCTTGAGACTGCTTCAGGCTTAAAAGGTTAAAAGTCACCCAAATCATTGTCCAGATGGAACTTCCAATACACTCCTGCACACAGGTACCCACCCCTCAGATAGACACAGAAATGTACACATCAGCACACCCTTCAACGTGCTGGCAATATAGTGACACACAGAAGCACTGAGTGAGTCACTGACCACCCCACAGGTCATCAAAACTAATGGGGGATGCTCCTCCCACAAGACACACACACACACACACACACACACACAGCCTCTGCCACAGCACACAGCATTCCAGGCTCATACACACCTGCACACCCAAAGCTTGGGGGCTGTGTTTCACTTCGACCCCAGCGAAGTAGTGTGAGTACCGGCATCTGAGAGTGTGAATGGGAAAACAGCAATCACCTTGGGACATGAGAGAGGGCCGTCTTATTCCTAAGCCAGGGGATGAGGAGCGAGAGAAGAGAAGGCAAGGGTAGAGAAGCAGGATCCCACAGCCACCCTCCTCTCATCTTATGAGCATTACACACCTACTAAGTGCCAGGCTCTGGGTCTGGAACTCAGAACACAAAGATAAAGGAGATGGTCCCTGTCCTTGAGATGTTCCAATGGAGGATACCCATAAGTAAAGAAAACGACTGCCATCCACCGGGACATGTGCACTAAGGGTGCAGTGGGTGGGCCGAAGAGGAAACTGAAAAGGTTTTTGGAAAAGGTTAAATGAGCTATAACTTACAGAACGAATAGGAGTTTTCCTGGCTGATGGAGGTGGGAGAATGAATGTGGACAAGAACACCAGAAGCAAATGAGGAAAGAGAATGACAGACTTAAGGCTTTGGCCTTTATTTTGCAAGTGATGGGGGGCTTCTGTGGAGGAGGGCTAGGGAAGGACTGGAGGCAGGGAGGCCAGTGGAGAGGATGTGGTCGTGGCCATGTGAGGCTTGGAGCAGGGCGATGATGACAGAGGGGGGACCGATGCTGCCAGATTCAGGATAAGTTTCAGAGGTGAATGGCCAAGACGTGGGGATCAGTTGGATTTGCTGGAAAGAAAAAAGGAAGGGTTGAGAATGGCTCCAGAATTTCTTACTTTCAAATCTGGGAGGCTGGTAAGGTCATTCATGAAAATGAGAAAAGAGATTATGAGAAAGATGAAGAGTGGAAGGAGCCCAAGAAATCCAAGTGGCCACAACCAGGAGGCGTTCGGTTCCCGGGACTGGGGCCATTCGGAATTCCAGGCCTCAATTTGGTCATCTGTACAATGAGGAGGTCCGCCAGATAACCCCCTAAGGGTTACTCTAGGGGTTTCGGCGCTTGGGTTTGCTTCGGGGCGAGCTCACCTGCGGCTCGGCAGCGACCCCTGGCGGTCTGGGGAGGCTTCTCCTCCTCCTTCTCCTCCTCCTCCTCTTCCTCCTCCTCTTCCTCCTCCTCCTCTTCCTCCTCCTCCTCCTCCTCCTCCTCCTCCTCCCCTCGCTGGGGCCACTACAAGCCGATTCGCCTTGTTCCTTCCAGACCCGAGGGCCTCAGAGCCAGGGAGAGGACCCCTGATGAGTGCCCCCTGAGGGGAGACTGTGCACGCGCCCAGGATGCTACTTCTCCACCGAAGGCCAGAAGGATCTTTCCCCTCCCCTATACTCTGTGCCCTGCGTGTAACTTCCATTACAAGACCCTGCACAGGGCCCGCGAGGAAGACGCCCCCAACCCCGCCTGAGCTGGCTCCTCCCAACCCTTACGGAGCTCGAGCAGACAAGGAGCTAAGTGGGTCCCCAAGAGTCGGGATCAGCGACCCTACGGCATCCTCCCTGAATCTCGCTGCCCAGGATCCATACTAACTTCCCTGCCTCCCGTCTCCTTCCCGGGATCCCCAGTCGCTGTCCGCTAAGCCTCCAGGGAGCTAGAGGATTGGAGGATCCGCCAGGCACCGAGGACCCGCTGACCTGGCACCTGCCTCGGCAACCCTGACTCAGTTTTCCTCCCGCCCTCGACCCCACCCCCCTCCCAGGCCCCACTCCCATCCTCCTGGCCCAACTCATTCCCTACTAGTCCCGCCCTTTCCTGACCCCAAACCAACCTAGTCCCGCCGCCTCCCCTTTAGGGGCTCCTGACCATCCCCCTTCAACACACAGCCCCCTTTTTCCCTAGTTCCACCTCCTCACTCTGGTCCCGCTCCCTACTCGAGATGTCCCCGCCCCTTTAGTGCCCTACGGCCTACTCTCCACCTTGACCCCGGCCTTTCCATCACCAGACCCGCCCCCTTCGCCTCCGTCCAAACCCCTTCCCTGGCCCCACCCCTTTCCCTCGTGGCCACGCCCACCTCGCGTTTGGCCCCTCCCCCTCCACACTTTGCGTTCCGCGGCCCCGGCCCCTTGGTTTCCTAGTCCTGGCTCCATTCCCCTCTCAGGCCTAGGGCTGGGACCCCTCCCCGCCCCCGGTCTTGGCCCTGCCCCCTTCAACAGACGGTCCGCCCCGGCCCCTCCCCCTCGTCCCGCCCGGCCCTGGCAGGCCCCGCCCCCTGCGGCCTCTACCTTTGACGTCTTCCCCCGGGAGGTGGCGGGGGTCTGCGACCGAATGCCGGCGGGACTCTGGGTCAGGGCTTCTGGCGGGCCCTGCGGGGGGCAGCGAGGTGACCGTGAACCTGCGGCTCATGGCGCGGAAAGGAGCCAGGCGGCCGCGGCAAGGTCCGGGATCGCACAAGTGGCTGCAACCAGGCTCTAGGAGGGAGAAAGAGCGGATCCCCCAACCCCCTCCGCCCGCCCGCCCCCCGCGAGACGCGGCGCCGCGCAGGGTCCTAGTGCCCGCTGTGCGAAGGGTTCCTGAATCTGGCCACTTCGCTGGGAGGCCCTGGGCTCCCCAGTGCCACCCGAAGGGCCTGAGGAGGCCATCTGCAGGTGAGAGTCGTCCCTACAACGGGGGCACCTCTGTTAGGGTCTCCTAAACACCTGGGGCTCATTCATTCATTCATTCATTCATTCGGCACATGTCGATAGCGCTCCTGTGTTTCGGTCAATGGTGCGAGGGATACGTCGGTGGATGAGATCCACTGGCTTCTTGCCCTCAAGTGGCTTAAATTCTAATAAGGAGAAAAAGATTATAAGTGAGCAAATGCATAGATGAGATCATTTGAGATTGGATGTATGTTTAAAACTAGGGCCATGGGATAATGGGTAAGAGGGAGGACTACTTTAGGGGTGGCCTGAGAAGGCCTCCTAGAAGATGTGGTATTTGAGCTGAGACCTCACTGATGAGAAGGGCCAGCTATGCAAAGATCTAGGGGGAAGAGTTCTCTAGAAGAAGAAACAGCAAATGCAGAGCCTTGGAGTGAGAAGGAGTCCCGACTGTCCAAGAAACAGCAAGGCCATTGTGTCTGGAAGAGAGTGAGTGGAGAAGAGAGTGACTGGAGATGAGGGAGGAGAGAAGGGCAGATCATGTGGTCTTCTGAAGGCTTTGGGGAGGATCCTGGATTTTTTGAGCAGGGGAATGATGTGATCCAATTTATAATTTAACAGGATCATTCTGGCTGCTGGGCGAAGGTTCAACTAAAGAATGGCAAGAGTAGAAGCTGGAAATCTAATTAGGAGGCTCCTGCAGACCCCAAGCTGGGGGGTGATGACAGCCAGACTAGAGTGGTGGCAGTTGTCTGATTCCAGTTAGGTTTTGAAAGTGAAACCATCAGGACCCACTGATGGATCGGATGTGACACGTGACCATAAGAGTGAAGTCAAGGAGAAATCCTGGCAATTCACACACTGCTGGTGGGAGTGTAGTTAGGCAAAAACTACTTTGGGAAACTATTTGGAAACATCTACTGAAGGTGAACGTACACATATCCTTCAACCCAGCAGTTTTTCTCCTAGGTATATACCCGAAAGAAATGACTACTTGTGATCACCAAAAGACATTTACCATGAATGTTCATAGGGGCATTGTTCATAATAGCCCCAAATTGGAATCTACCAAATGCTTGTCAACAGTAAAATAGAGAAATAAGTCGTAGTACCTTCACACAATGGAATACCATCTACAATTCTCAGAACAATATGGATGAATCTCACAAATAGAACCTTGATAAAAAAGAGTCCAGACACAAAAGAATACATACCCTATAACACTATTTAAATACAGTAAAAAATAGTCAAAGTCTATCTAAGCTGTTAGAAGTAATGATAGTGGCACTGGGCGCGGTGGCTCACACCTGTAATCCCAGCACTTTGGGAGGCCAAGGCTGGTGGATCATGAGGTCACGAGTTCAAGACCAGCCTGGCCAAGATGGTGAAACCCCATCTCTACTAAAAATACAAAAATTAACCATGTGTAGTGGTGGGTGCCTGTAATCCTAGGTATTTGGGAGACTGAGGCAGAGAATTGCTTGAACCTGGGAGGCGGAGGTTGCAGTGAGCAGAGATCATGCGACTGCACTCCAGCCTGGGTGACAGAAAAAAAAAAAAGTAATGATAGTGGTACCCCTTGGGGAGAAGAGGTAGTGATTGCAAGCAGGCTTCTAGGGTGCTGATAATGTTTTGTTTCTTTCTTTTTTTTTTTTTTTTTTTTTGTCTCTTGAGACAGAATCTCACTCTGTCGCCCAGGCCAGAGTACAGTGTCATGATCTTGGCTCACTGCAACCTCCACCTCCCAGTTCAAGAAATTCTCCTACCTCAGCCTCCCAAGTAGCTGGGATTACAAGGTACCCACGACCGTGCCCAGCTAATTTTTGTATTTTTAGTGGAGAGAGTTATTCACCATGTTGGCCAGGCTGGTTTTGAACTCCTGATCTCAGATGATCCACCTGCCTTGGCCTTCCAAAGTGCTGGGATTATAGGCATGAGCCACCATGCCCAGCCTCTTGTTTCTTGACCTGGTGCTGGTTACACACTTGTGTTCCATTTGTGAAAATGTCTTCAAATGTACACTTATGATAGATACATTTGTATATTTATTATATTATGGCAATGGTTCTCAACTGGGAGCAATGTTGACCACCAGGGAATGTTTGGCAATATTCAGAGACATTTTTGGTTATCACAACTGGAGCAGGGGCTAGTACCAGCATCTAGGGGCTAAAGGCCTCTTGGGCCCTCTAGGTTTGTACCAGGGCTGCCTGGCCATGAGTCACAGTTCAACATTACCCTGCTGCACCCCATCCCCACACTGGGGCCTTCCTTAGCAGAGAGGGCTGACCCTGAATGGGCCTGGCATCTGGCCGTGGATCCTGTCACCTCCTAGAGGAAGACACCAAACATGCTAGAAGGTACAGTGTAGATGTACAGTGTAAGACAATCCCCCACAACAAAGTATCCAGCCCAAAATGTCAATAGTGTAGAGGCTGAGAAACCCAGTACTAGAAAAGAAGTTTAAATAACTGATTCCTAGATTTTAGGACTGATTAGGTGTTCAGTTTGATTGAGGGTGGATGATGCTGTCTCTTATTAAAGTGGTAACAACAGAGGAGCACGTTTGGAAGGTGAAACCCAGGAGTCAGTTTGGACCCGTTAGGTTGAGAGGTCTGTTTGCCAGCTAAGGAGCCATGTAGAGTAGGCAGTTGAACATGAGTCTGGAGCTCGGGGCAGGGGAGAGGAGGTTATGGTAGGAAACATAAATTTCACGGTCTTTAGCAGAGAGATGCTATTTAAGGCTGTGGGCTACCAGACATCACAGGGAATGAGTATACACAGAGCAGAGGATTCCCACGATTGAGCACAAGGGTGCCTCTGTCACCAGAAGAGGAAAATCCACCCAGTGAGGTAGGAGGAGACCCAGAAGTAAGGTTCCAGAGGCCGAGAGTTTCAGGAAGAAGGGCAGGATCCACTGTGTCAATGTGGGGAGAGTTGGTGTGGGATGAGCAGAGAGGAGCTCCTGTCACATCTGGCTACAAGAAGGTCATAAATGGCTTTGAAGAGGGTGACTTTGGTGGTGTAGTGGGGTGGGAGCCAGGCTGGAAATGGCTGAGGAGAGAATGGGAATTGAGGAAGTGGAGACAGTGAGTAGAGACCATGCTTTTGGGAAGTTTTATTGTGAATAGGGATAGGAAGGTAGAGAAATAGACTAGTATCTAGTGGGAGGCAGGGGTTAAGACAGATTGTAAACAAGCCATGGCGGGGAATGTTTGTACGCCAAGTGGGAGTGGGTCATTTGAGCAAGAAACAGATGAAAGAGGAAGCTCAGGAGGGCAGTTTTCTGGACTCCTACTTAAATTCCCACGTGGGCCCTGATCAAACCCATCATCTCCACTCACGGGCCCCAATCTTTCAGTCAAGTCCCTTTGCTAACCTGTAAGGTCAAATTCATATTCAGCTTGGCATTCAGGACTTCTCTCATCTAGCCCAAACTAGCACTGCTATCTTAACCATTCTGGAATCCTCTCCATTCCCTCTTAGCCACCTGCTACTACCCCATGCTGGAGTTCTGAGCCATTTGAAGTTCTCCAGACACCCACTGCTTTTTCTCTTCTTTTTCTCTTCGTGCACTTGCACCAAGAACCCACATTCAAATCCCACTCTTATCACTCACTAGCTATGAGACTTTGGGTGAGTTGTATAACTCTCTGTGCCTTAGTTTCCTTATCTGTAAAACAAGGGATTGGTGATGGCAGTAATAATAGTACATACAAAGTAATAGGAGTACCTATCTCCTCTGGTTGTTTTGTCACACAAAATGCACATAGAACAGTGCCTGGCACATAGTGCTGTACCGTGGATAGCTACTAACGTCAGGTATATGATCCATATTTTATTTATCCACTGACTTACTCCTGGGCAGCTAGGTTATTGCCAGTTTTTCACTAACAAACAATGCTGCAATCAACATCCTTCTATGTGTTGTCTTGTGCACACATGTGAGGGTCAGAAAGTAGTTACATTTTTAGGTTTAGTGGTTCTTGGTAAATTACCCTGTAAGAAGATTGTCCCTTGCACAGGAAGAAGCTCGTTCATCCTTTCTGATTCAGTTCCGGTTCAGATGTCATCTTGACTGAGAAACGTTCCTGGACCTCAACCACAACACAGACACACACACATGTGCACACACACACACCATTATTGTAGAATAAAAGATCATGCACTGCACACTCCCCAAGTGTGATCCCACCGCCACCAGCCATAGAATCACCCTTGTAAATAGGTCAGACTCTCTGGAGGTGGAGCCTGGAGTTGCATTTTAAGCAAGTTCCAAGGGGAATCTTATGCATTCTAAAGTCTAACTCATTTCTCTATCCCCATTGCCCAGTACAGGGCCTGGCTCCATGTAGGGGCTCAATAAATGTTTGATGAATGAATAAACAGGTTGATCATTTCCTTGACTGTAAAATAGAAATAATCACATCATACTTTCCTAACAGGAATGATTGAATATGTTAACATTTACAAAGTGCCTAGAACACTATTTTTTTTTTTTTTGAGACGGAGTCTTGCTCAGTCACCCAGGCTGGAGTGCAGTGGCGTGATCTCGGCTCACTGCAAGCTCCACCTCCCAGGCTGGAGTGCAGTGGCGTGATCTCGGCTCACTGCAAGCTCCACCTCCCAGGTTCAAGCCATTCTCCTGCCTCAGCCTCCCAAGTAGCTGGGACTACAGGCGCCCGCCACCACGCCCGGCTAATTTTTTCTATTTTTTTTTTAGTAGAGACAGGGTTTCATCGTGTTAGCCAGGGTGGTCTCAATCTCCTGACCTCGTGATCCGCCTGCCTCGGCCTCCCAAAGTGCTAGGAGTGAGCTACCGTGCCCGGCCTAGAACACTTTCTGGCACGTAGAAAGCACTCTATCAGTTATTTGTTTTTCCTTTTTTTTTTTTTTTTTGCACTCTATCAGTTAAATACATACATGCATACATACGTGCATACATATATAAATAAAGTCTGCTTCTAAAGGTTAGAGAATCCAAGTTTATTAGAAACACTCCAACAAAAAACAAAGGTGAGAAGAGAGGGCCCAGCCCACCTCCACTCCTCCCTTTCCTCCAGAACAGAATACCAGTTTGTATCCGGCAAACTGGCTCCTTCCCCAGGGTTGGTCCCAGTGGGGATTTACATGGCACTGCCAAAGCAGGACGGGAGCCCTAGTCCTCAGGGCACTGCAGGATGTCATAGGTCACGTAGCCCACTTGGTCCACCTGGTTCAACTCACTCCGGGAACTCACGCGCCAGTAGAAGCGGTCCTGGCAGAAATAGGCTTTCTCTGCAGGAGACAGGCAGGCATAAGAGGAGTGATTCTAATTCTCCCACATATACAGAAATAGGAACAAGATCTTGACAACCATCTCTTCTGCCATTTCTAGAACTTTCTAAGGTTTTCACATATCACCTCCATCCCCCCAACCTGTGAGATGCTGTGAGGTTCTGTGAGATGCTGGAGGGCACAGACCTCAGTGCCCAAAGCACTGCCACAGAGCCTAGCACACAGTAGGTACACCATACACATTTTGTGAATGAATTAACAAATGAATAGACCAACTATCTTAATGCTCAGAACAATTCATTCAACGCTCATTCATTGAACAAATCTGTTCATTCATCATTTACTGAGCATCTACTATGTGCTTTGTTCAAGATACTGGGGATAAGCAGAAAAAATGCAGGCATGATCTCAATTATCTTGGTGCTTACACTCTAGTGAGGCAAGAGACAATTAAGCAAACACATAAATAAATGAGATTGGTTTTGAAAATATAGAAAGCGGCTGGGTGCGGTGGCTCATGCCTGTAATCCCAGCACTTTGGGAGGCTGAGGCGGGTGGATCACGAGGTCAGGAGTTCAAGACCAGCCTGGCCAAGATGGTGAAACCCCGTCTCTACTAAAAAATACAAAAAATTAGCCAAGCGTGGTGGCAGGCACCTGTAATCCCAGCTACTTGGGAGGCTGAGGCAGGAGAATCGCTTGAACCCGGGAGGCGGAGGTTGCAGTGAGCTGAGATCGTGCCACTGCACTCCAGCCTGGGCGACAGAGCAAGACTCCATCTCAAAAAAAAAAAAAAAGAAAAAAGAAAAAAAAAGAAAATATAGAAAGCTATGGAGAAAATAAAAACAAGTAAATAGATAATAAGCATCAAAGAAGGCCTCATTGAAGCAATGGCCTTAGCACTGAAACCTGAAGGAAGACAGTGGGATGGCCCAGTGACAATCTGGAGGGGAAGCTTTCCAGACAGAGGGAACAACTGGCACAAAGGCTGTAAGCTAGGAATGACCTTGATCTGTTCAAAGAGCAGCCAGTGTGGGTGGAGCAGAGTAAATAACAGGAGGAGTGGGAAGAGATGAGAACACGGGGGTGGAGTGTCAGATCCTCTTAATTTCTTTGACCTTGGAATTCATCTGGGGTCACTCCCAAGACCATTGCCCTTCACTCCTACCCCCTCTCTAATCTCATGGAATTTGTTAAAGGTCCTGGACAGCCAGTATGGTTTGGGCTGGGGTGTTTATAAAGAAGATGGCAAAAAAAATGACAGACTCGAAAAAGATTTTGGTGGCAGGAAATCTTGTTCACCTTGTCAACTGTTTGGATGTGACTGGTAAGAAAGGGAAGTCAAGTGTAATTCCAGCTATAGTCCCCATATTACAGATGGGGAAACTGAGGCTCGAAGAGTAGAGAAGCAGTGACTTGCCCAAAGTCACAGAGCTGTGAATTGTCTTATCTCTCCCTGTAGCACAGTGCCTGGCACATTATCGGCACTTGATGACTGTTGTCTAATAACTGAGCTTCCATACAAACCACCTGCCGTCCTGTACTGAAGGAGAAAGAGCTTCCAGCCGGGGAGGCAGGAAATCTGGGTCCTGGTCTTGGTTGCATCCCTGACTTCCTAAATGACCTGGAGAAGGCCTCTGCCTCTGCTGGGATCTTGTCTGTGCTGGGGCATTTGTTTCCATTTCCAAGGGCTTTTTCTTCCTCGCTCAGAATTTGACCACTCACTAAGAGGAGCTTAGTGTGGTGTCTCACGAAGGGATCCTCCTCAGCCCTCACCTCGGTACTGGAAGACGTCGTGCGTGTCCAAAGGCACCCCGGGGAACATCCGGTCCACCTCGCTGGCGCTCCGGGGATCCACCATCTGCGCCTTCACGTCGAACCTGCGGGCAGGCGCGGAGGAGACAGGTGCTGAGCCGGCTAGCGGACGGACCGACGGCGCCCGGGCTCCCCCTGCCGGCGGCCGCGGCGGCGCTCACCTCCAGAGGCGCCGCCCGCTGAACAGCAGCATCTTCCCCCTGCCACTCCGGAGGGCCCCGGTCACCTGGGCCACGTCGGCTCCCAGGCCCAGCTTGTCCAGACGCCTCGGGCCCAGCACCGACGCGCCTGTGTACACCCACACCTGGCGCCCTGCAGGGGAGGAGGGTCACGTCGGTTTGGGGGCGCAGAGGGAGCACGTACTCCTAGAACGCGAGGAGGGAGATTCCGGCGAGGCCTTTCCTAGCCCGCGTGCCCGCAGTCCCTGCAACCCAGGGGCAGAGGCGCTGGGTAGAGCGACGCGAGGGCGTGGAGAGGAGGGGGCAGAAACTCAGCCGCCCCTACGTTTGCTAAACTGCGTCCGCCAGGGGGCGTATTTTTCTAAAACGCACAAGACGTTTCGTGGGTTATCGATGGTCTCTTGAGCCTCCTTGACTGATGGGGATTGACCGGGCGGGGGAGGGAAAGTAGGTAACTAACCAGAGAAGAAGAAAAGCTTCTTGGAGAGCCGCTCCTCAAAGACCGAGTCCAGCTTGCGGGGCAGCGCGGGCCACTTGTCGGCGATAAGGAAGGGGCCCTGCGGCCGGCTCCCCCTGCCCTCAGAGAATCGCCAGTACTTCCTGAGAAAGCGAGGAGGGAAAGGACGGGCTCTAAGCCTTGGACACAGGGCCAGTGGGCGGGAAGGGACGGGCAGCCCCTCCGCAAAGCCCCCTCCCGCATCCACACAACCCCGCCTCCTCACCCATCCTTGAACAAATACAGCTGGTTCCCAATCTCCGCGATGGCGTCGAAGATGTTCACGTTGCAGGCATCGTCCACCGGACTCAAAGGCACAGTAGTGGCCGTAGAAGGGCCAGCAGTGGGGGGACCTGTGGGGCCAGCTGAGGGGGGACCTGTGGGGCCAGCTGTGGGGCGCTCTGAGGGGTGGACAGTGGGGGGTCCGGTGGGGCAGACCGTCGGGGGAGCCGTGGGCTGCGGTGTGGTGGTGGTTGGAGGCCGTGGCTCAGGTTCAGGGCGAGGACCTAAAAAGAGACACGGGGTGAGACTCTTCCTATTCCTGCATACCTCTGTACCCCTAGAACATCTGCTCCCCTAAGCTTCTCAGTGAAGCCTCCTCTGGCACACAGGCCCCTCCTCACTCAGCCTCCCTTCCCAAACCACAGGACTTTCTTCTTCTTCTTTTTCGTTTTAAGCGACATCCTCTATGGCCCAGGATGGAATGCAGTGGTGCAATCATAGCTCACTACAGCCTCGAACTCCTGGGCTCAAGAGATCCTCCCACCTCAGCCTCCAGAGTAGCTAGGACTACAGACATGTGCCTTCACGCCTTGCTCATTTATTTTTTGTAGAGATGGGAGTCTGGCTATGTTGCCGAGGCTGGTCTGGAACTCCTGGGCTTAAGCAATCCTCCCGCCTTGGGTCTCCCAAAGCCCTGGGATTAGAGGCGTGAGCCACCATGCCCAGAGTAGACTGGCTTTTGAAGTCACACCTATCTCTCTCTAGAGTCTCTTTATCACCACCTCTAAGCACTGACATGGCAGCGACTGGGCCCAGGCTCTGCTTCCAGACAGACGTTGAGGTCCCACCTCTCCTGCACGCCCCGTTCCTCCCCCGATCCCCAACCCCCAATTCTTTGGTACTGTGGCACAGCCACGCCCTTTCCCCTCCTCCTCCCATCCCTGCCCCTGCCTCACCATAGAGGTGCCGGATGCCATTCACGTCGTCCTTATGCAAGGGGGGCCCCTCAGTGAAGCGGTACATAGGGTACATGAGCGCCTCCGGCACTGAGGAATGATCTAAGCCCAGCGCGTGGCCGAACTCATGCGCCGCCACGAGGAACAAACTGTATCCTGGAGGGAGAGGGAGCCTGAGACGTGAGCGCCGGGCCGAGCCCCCAGCCCTGGCCACCCCACCACCACCACTGCCGGGAACCCCAGCCCCGGAGCCGCGGGACCACGCCTACCTTGGTCCGGGCAGAAGCCCCACTTCTTGTCGCTGTCAAAGTTCGAGGTGGTAGCGCACCAGAGGCGCCCATCTCCGCGGCCCTCGCTGGTACAGGTCGAGTACTCCTTACCCAGGAAAGTGAAGGGGAAGACGCACAGCTCCCCCGCCGAGTTGCCCCCCATCACCGTCGAGTCAGCTGGAGAGACCCAAGGCCTTGGATGAGCCAGATGGATGAGTCCAATAAGGAGTCAGGGGCCGACCCGACAGGGAGCTAAACAATCTTGGTGGCCTAGGGGGCGCTGTAGAGCACTCCTGAGAAGAGGCTAGACCCGTGGGCGGTGCCTGGGACACCAGACCAAGGAAGAGGCGGCCAGCTGGGCAGAAAAGGCCGAACCTTAGTGGCTGGGGCGGGGCCATTGGAAGTCAGGGATAGTGGTGGAAATGTGGTGTAGGTGGGCGGAGTCACGGTCGTCCTGAGGACCAATGAGAGTGGAAAGACAAACTGATGGGAGGGAAGAGCCGCGTTTTGGGGGCCAATACATGATGAGAGGGCGGGGCTGAACCTGGTAGACAGGGTGGAGGTACCTCGGGTCGGGCAGAAGCCGAAGAGCTTGTCCCGGTCGTAGTTGGCGGTGGTGGCGCAC